>NC_000002.12:60796412-61099443 GCF_000001405.40 Homo sapiens
ACAGGCGTGAACCACCATGCCCGGCCCTAGATTTTGCCTTCTTTATGTAATAATCTTTAATGCCCTCAGAATCCCTCAAACCGATGTCCCTGAATTTCATAACCATCAAAGTTATCTAGCCTAAGTACAAAGTTCAGTTTTCCTGAGAACTTAAGTATCTCACAGATTGAGTCAGTGGTCTTCTTCATGAATGTATTACAGAAACAAATTGAGGGACATAACTCTCAGATATTAAATTTTTCTCTACTGCACACACTCATTTTTCACTTCACACCCCAAGAGCTTCCTGTTTAGTCACCATGAACTTCCTTTTTTTTTTCTTTGCTTGACCTTAAGGACTGTGTTCTTTATGCATTTCTTGATCCAGGCATGGCAGTTCCTCTTTTCCTGTACATATTCACACTCCTGCCACTTCTACCCTTTCTCTTATCCCTCTGCTTTTCACCTCTGACTGTAAAAAGAAGTAGCAGTTCCGAAAGCAAGAGTTCCCTATGAACACGGAAGGAAATATTCATTGCATACTTGAGTGTTTAGGAGCTAGAGGGTTTGGGAGAAAAACTCCCCAAGTTTTGTGACTGACTTTCTAGCTGGGCCTTTATAATATATATGATGTGCTTTTCCTTTTTTGTTTCCTCTTTCTTTCTAATAGAGACTACCCAGTAAAGAACTACCAGATTCATCATCTCCAGTTCCAGCAAACAACATCCGTGTCATCAAAAATTCCATTCGACTGACCCTTAATCGGTAAAAGCAGTGCCTCCTCACTTAAGTGAACAAGCAATCATTTAGTGGCATAGATGCAGCCACTTGTTTTTTAAATAGAAGTGGCTGTCATACGTGAAATAAGGTGAAAGTGACAGCCTTCAGTCTAATAACCTTGAAGTGGTTTTTGAACTGTCAAACTTTGACCTGTAGATGCTGTAGCATTCTCTCACTGATTGCTACATACACTTCTCTGAGGATCACCTGCTGTCAAATTGCCATCTACAGTATTACAGCTTTGCATTTGGGGGTTTTACTGCCTTAACTTTCAATGCTTGTTATGGGAACCAGTTCTTAGCCACTTGGACACTGATAACAAGTCCTGAACTCCTTTTTTGTTTTGTTTTTTGTGTTTTTCTTTTTTTGTCTTATGTTGTAATCATTGTATAGAGCTAAAAAAATTGAAAACAAACAAAAAAATTGTCTTGTATTTTCCAAATGTTAATACATTTACTTTAGCATTGAAGCCACTTTGAAACCTGAGATAAATGAATGTGAGGTATCTTTTCTGCTTTCCTCATTTGTGTAGATGTACTGTCTGTTCTGTTGATTTAAATTATTTTTTTCCAGATTGGCACATGAAATATTTAAACTTTTTTGTGTGCCTTTCTGTCCAAATGTTGCATAGTTACCAGGGAAGATTAGTCCAGTGATTACATAAGAGTTGGGCACCATAAATTCTCTATATTTTGCCTCCCATGGAGGCCTTTGAAATGCATCTTTATTAAAAATCAAAATATAACCAGGATACTGAAAGTCAGTATATGAATGGTAAAATTGTTACATATCCTATTTCATGCCATTCTTGTTAGTTGACTGGTATTTTTTACTGAGGAGCAACTCATTCCAGCATCAACAATAAGATAACCTTTAAGTATGGCACACTTGTATTTTTGAGGTGTAAAATTAACTTGGCATGATAATTCCTGATCATTATTTACCCCACAACTTCAAATAGTTTCTTCACGGACTAGGCATGCAGAAATAAGCAGTGGATTTTATTGAAACCTAAAGGCATTTTGAATGACATTGTTACCAACCATTAATTGGCTCAGGACCTTTGTAATTTTTATTTAACTATATGAGTTGTCTTTTTTTACGCTGCTTTTTTCAATGCATTTCTTAATATTTTTTAAGTTTCATGAATGCATGCTCAGTTTATTAAAATCCATAACCATGTAATTCTTGTAATATGTTGATTCAGTGTTTTGTAAATGAAGTCGTATGTATTTTCAGAGTATTTTTGTATGTACTGTAAGATACCATCTTTTCAAAGAGAAACGTTTAAAACCTTTATTGTCTCTCCTTAGTCTAATTTTTTAAATATGGATTATGCTTGAATTACTATATTTAAAATGAAAATGTATAGATTACACAGCCAGGAATGCTAGTATCTACCACCTTCTTTAGATTTCACTCAGCATTTAGTAGGTCCAGTAGGAAAAACCCAAAATGGTACATTGAGTAGTGTGGGGAAGACACCTCGTGTATTATAGGACTCACGGGATGCCATCTAGCAAGTGGAGAAATAGCAGTCCATTTTCTCTTGCAAGCCCTTTACCATTGAGTTGAAATTCTTGAATTGCCAGAGAGCCGTATCCTCCAGGTCCCACTCCTGTTCATTGCCCCTTAGGTCTCCAAAATGTAAATTCTAATGTTTACCTTGTACCATGGAAAACATGAAAAGAGTCTTAGAAGTAAAGAACAACAAGGAAAAAAATGTTTGTTCTATTATTCCCTTTTTATATAGCAGCAAAAGATAAGAATAAAATCACATAACCAAGTTGAAGCTTCCTTGGCAAAGCTGTTGTCTTAGCTGACTCTTTCCCTTTATTCAGATGTTTTGGGATTGTTCTACAAATAGTCTATTTGAGCAAAAATGAATGATTATGAAAGAACCGAAGAATTATCACCTGACTTCAACTTTTGAAAGCTTTAGTAAGGAATTTGATTAAATTTTATATACTGGATGTGTATGCATTTCTGCATTTCATATCTTTTGCTTTTAAATCAGCCTTCAAAGTATCTTTAGGAATTCCTTCTGTATCCATGTTTACCCCATTATGTAAATAGATCTTTGGAGTGACTAGTGGAGTTTTTCTTTAATAAGGAAGCAACAAGTCTAACCTTGTACTATAGGATAGGCATTTATTTTAGATTAAGGAGCCCATTCAACATGTCAATGAGTCAACATTAGAGTCCTCAAAGATAGCATTCTTCAACCTGTTTGGTAACTGAGGAGTTGATAAAATACTTTTGAGATGGTGGGGTTTGTCAGAAATAAAATATTTTCTATCCTGACCAGTAGGTAGAACTTTGAGTACATTTCGTTAACTTGGTGGGAAGCTTCCATTGTACTAGTTCCAAGTAAAAAAGGAGAAAGTATGATCTGGGATTTTGTGTTATGATGAGAGGCACTAAGTACATGTGTTTGTTTTGTTTTGTTTTGTTTTGTTTTGTTTTGTTTGAGACAGAGTTTTGCTCTTGTTGCCCAGGCTGGAGTGCAGTAGCCCAATCTCGGCTCACTGCAACCTTCACCTCCCGAGTTCAAGCTATTCTCTTGCCTCAGCCTCCCAAGTAGCTGGGATTACAGGCACCCACCACCTCGCCCAGCTAATTTTTGTATTTTTAGTACAGACAGCGTTTCACCATGTTGGCCAGGCTGGTCTCGAACTTGTGACCTCAGGTGATCCACCTGCCTCGGCGTCCCAAAGTGCTGGGATTACAGGCGTGAACCACCGCACCCGGCCGTGTTTGTTTTCAAGTGTGAAAAAATACCTAGAAGTATATTTTATGAAGTCAAATAATCTGTTCTTCAGTATATAGACACATGTTCATTTTCACAAGGGCATTACATTTTAATTTGCTCATTTTTCAGTAGCTCTGGAGAATATGTATGAAAGGAAAACAATTACCTGCTAGCTTAAACCTTAGGGACTTAACCAATTCAAGATAGAGGTACATGGCTTAAAACTTTGTAAAACTGGGACAGGAGAATTATTATTTTTTTATTTTTTATTTTTTTATGAAGACAAGAGTTTCACTCTGTCACCCAGTCTGGAGCACAGTGGCATGATCTCACCTCACTGCAACCTCTGCCTCCCGGGTTCAAGTGATTCTCTTGCCTCAGCCTCCCAAGTAGCTGGAATTACAGGCCTGTGCCATGCCCAGCTAATTTTCGTATTTTCAGTAGAAATGGGATTTCACCATGTTGGCCAGGGTGGTCTTGAACTCCTCACCTCAAGTGATCTGGCTGCTTCGGCCACCCTAAGTGCTGGGATTACAGGCATAAGCTACTGTGCCCAGCCAGGAGAATGAATTTTAAAAATCTATGTTAGTGTTTAAAATGAGTGCTTTGTTTTAAAGCAGCAATTTAGTAGCATTATTAAAATGCTTACTTCACTATAGTAGCAATTAGGTAAAGATGGGCAATATCAAAATGGGCTAAACTTATTTTCCACTATGTTCCACACCTTTGAAATAGGAATTCCTAACTTGAGAATCATGAACCCTTAGGGAATCCTTTATAATTGTGTATAAGAAGTTCTAGTTTACATGCATTTTTCTTGGGGAAAGTGCATAGTTTAGATCAGCTTCTCGAAGTGGCAAAAGTATGGGAGTTAGGGTTAGGAACCACCAGGATTGAATAATCCTGGAATATTATATAATTTTCTACTTTTGATTTTGCTGTGGTATATTTCTGAAAATGTGCTGTGGCTCCTAACTAGTAAAATGGGCTGGTGAGGGACTCTGGAATTCTGAATTTCTAAGTTTATAACCTAAAATGAAACTGTAAAGTCCTCGGTATTTAGAAAAATGCTTAATCTCAGATTTACAGATGGCCTCATGATAACTTAGATTCGTTAACAGGGTCAAACTTTAGTTCAACAAATTTCAACCCAATATTATCACAGTACAATAGCTTAGAATGATCATTAGAAATGGTAGAAAATAGAATAAATCATTAAAGATCCCAAAATGTTGAGTTCTGTAGCATGAAAACTCTCTTGCTCCTCCATGTTTGTAGTTCAGGCCAGAACAAACTAAACAGACCAATAAATATAAAAGTGATAGTTTAGGGAAAAAAAAAAACTTTGTATAAATAAAATTGTATGTGTGTTCAAATAACTACCTATTAAATCATCCAAAGCTTAGAATTTAAATTGGTCATAGTAGCAAATAGTGCAGATGATGGAAGAAAACCAGTCTCAATAATGGTTTTTTTTTTCCAATTGCATAAGGTCACGTCATCCCCCAAATTGTCTATTTTTTCTTTTCTTTTTTTTTAAGATGGAGTCTCGCTCCGTCACCCAGGCTGGAATGCAGTGGCGCAATCTTGGCTCATTGCAACCTCCACCTCCCAGGTGCAAGCGATTCTCCTACCTCAGCCTCCCAAGTAGCTGGGACTACAGGCGCCCGCCAC
Source organism: Homo sapiens (assembly GCF_000001405.40). Lineage (NCBI taxonomy): Eukaryota > Metazoa > Chordata > Mammalia > Primates > Hominidae > Homo > Homo sapiens. The sequence goes on from NC_000002.12 coordinate 60,801,598, forward strand.
CATGTGGGCCTGGCTAATTTTTGTAGAGATGGGGTTTCAACATGTTGGCCAGGCTGGTCTCAAACTCCTGACCTCCAGTGATGCACCCGCCTCGGCCTCCCAAAGTTCTGGGATTACAGGCGTGAGCCACCGTGCCCAGCCCCTATTTTTTCTGAAATAATTTTTCGGATATACTTTTATATTTGAAATTAGTTGAACATAAGATGATCATCAAGCTTGCTATAAGTTTTAAGCTATTGCTACATTTGAACAAAGACCCACGTACTTATCTTAGAAAGTACTTAGGATATCTTTGAGATTAATGGTGCTACATCACTCTACAGTACTATGTAAAATGAATGGAGCTGCTGTTCCTTTCTAGCTAGCTGTTTGTGTAGTTCATATTAATTTACCCTGCCTTTTATTTGGATTGTCTGATTTCTTAGTTGTACACATGAACCTCATTATTTGCCTGGAATAAGTAATCAAATAAAATTGCTTTGATAAATAGGTGATGATTGAGTGATGTTATTTGGGACTAACTCAAAAGTACCAGAAGTCTTAACTTTTCAGTGACAACCAATTTTGTCATTTACCACTCAGACTCTTTTTGGTAGATAATGGTATCTACTACCCACTTAGTATGAATGCAAAGCTCAGACCTAATGTGCATCACACAGAATCATTTATTAAACGTTTATCAGCAAGCGGTGGCACAACAGTTTATACAGTCTGCTCTATAACCTTAATGGAGTGTCCCAGCTTTCTGTCCCTTTTGGTGGTCTGACCACCCTTTCATGAAAAGGCCACTTGAGGTGTCTATGTCAAGCACTAGGGGCAAAATTCTGTCACCCTTCTGATCAGGATCAGGCAATCAGTCCTCCGTACTAATAATGGCTGGACACAGGATCAAGCTGTGGGTACTATGCATACAAGTACAGGTTACAGGGCTCGTTACATTCTTAAACCTCTTGTAAGAATGGACAGTGACTGGTTTTTAGCCAATCCATGTGCTAGTGCTGAATTCACAAATAAGAGCTTGTGTCTGCGTCGTTAGTATTACTAGCAAGCTGTTCATGTCACCAATGGAAACACATTTGACATTTATTAAGCTAATTGGCAAAGTCTGCATTGATTGAGCTATGGATAACAAGGGCTTCTAGTAGTCACTTTTGAAGTGTGGGCTTCTCGATTGGATTGCTAGGTGGCCATCTCTGGAGTGTAAATTTCTGGTTGGGGCAACTCACTGCTCCTAGGACATAACATACTAACACAATTACCATGCTGTGATAAAATGTTTTCTAAAGTCAATTAACATCATAACAGGTTCTTCGTGGATCCAAATGTGTTACAGTACTAAGGACAAAAATAAAACGTATTGGGGTCGGGTGCAGTGGCTCACACCTGTAATCCTAGCACGCTGGGAGGCTGAGGCAGGTGGATCATTTGAGGTCAGGAGTTCAAGACCAGCCTGGCCAAGATGGTGAAGTCCCGTCTCTACTAAAAATACAAAAATTAGCCAGGTGGTAGTGGCATGCACCTGTAATCCCAGCTACTCAGGAGGCTGAGGCAGAATTGCTTGAGCCTGTGAGGCAGAGTTGCTGTGAGCCGAGATCATGCCACTGCACTCCCGCCTGGGCAACAGAGTGAGATCCTGTCTCAAAAAATAAAGAAAAATATATTGGGCCAGGCATGGTGGCTCACTCCTGTAATCCCAGCACTTTGGGAGGCTGAGGCGGGTGGATGGCCTGAGGTCAGGAGTTCAAGATCAGCCTGGCCAACATGGTGAAACTCCGTCTCTACTAAAAATACAAAAATTAGCCAGGTGGTAGTGGCATGCACCTGTAATCCCTGCTACTTGAGAGGCTGAGACAGGAGAATCACTTGAACCCGGGAGGCAGAGGCTGCAGTGAGCCAAGATCGCACAACTGCACTCCAGCCTGGGGGAGACAGAGTGAGACTCCATCTCAAAAAATAAAAATAAAATAATGTACTGCTTTTTAATCCCCTATCCTAAAAACCATCTTTCAAACCATATGATCCAACCAAACTGTTTTAATGGATAGTGTTTAAAAATATATACTTCAGGGCCTTCCTTGCCAATCTTTGATTATTGACATTTTTGGCTTACTGCTGCATAGAGACTTCCATGATACCCTAGCCAGACTCTTACCTTTTCAGTATGTTACTTGTACGTTTGAACGTTTAAATTATTCTGACTTGTGTAATGCTCAGTTTACCTGTTTCCCCTGACAAGATTGTAGGTTTGAGAATAGTGACCTCCGGCCAAGCACAGTGGCTCATGCCCGTAATCCCAGCACTTTGGGAGACCAAGGAAGGAGGATCGCTTGAAGCCAGGAGCTGAAGACCAGCCTGGCCAACATAGTGTCTCTACAAATAAAATTAGCCCAGTGTGGTGGTGCTCACCTGTAGTCCCAGCTACTCAAGAGGCTGAGGTGGACAGACTGCTGGAGCCCAGCAGGTCAAGGCCGCAGTGAGCTATGATCACGCCACTCCACTCCACCCTGGGTGATAGAGTGAGATTCCATGTCTTAAAAAAAAAAAAAAAAAAAAAAAAGAAAGTGAGCTTTATCCAAAAATCTTTATGTAGTGAATACCCAGAAAATATTTAAGAGGAAAACACATGAGTCCTTGTTTGGTTTGAGGGGTAGGATTGTTTTGTTTTTAAATTTAAATAGGATTATCTTAAAGAGAAGCCCAATGAAGGAACTAAGATGCAAGAAGGCAAACAAAACTTCCTGAGGCCATTAAGACACGTTGTCTGTGCCGGGCACAGTGGCTCACACCTGTAATCCCAGCACTGTGGGAGGCTGAGGCAGGCAGGTGCCCAGGCTGTTCCTACCAAGGGGCACCTGCAGGCCCACGTGGAGCCACCGTCAGTACCCCCTTGGCCCCCATCCTGTGCTCCTCGGTGCCCAAAGTCCGGAGGGGCTTAGGCAGCAGGGGGCTGGTGTGTCGGCGCCACTCCGGGCGCACACACACCTGGCCGGGTCGTGACAGCACCCAAGCTCGGCTCCAACTTTGCTCTACCCTGGAGTGGGAGCCGGGAGCAGGGAAAGGCCAAGCAGCGGGAGCAGGCACTTCCGAGCCTGTCGGGGAAGAGGGGCTTCCCAGGTCCCTAAAAGCTAGGGATGCCTGGGTCCGCAGTCGTGACTGGGTGGCTGCAGCTGCACCCAGGAACATCAGGCTCCTGCCCTTCCAATTCAGAAGTGGGCAGGGGTCCCGCCTGTTCCAGGCTCCTGCTGGCTCCATGGCACACGCAGCCCTGGCCGCACCTTCCCTGCTGCAGCCGCTCCAGGTGGGCCACTGCTGCCATCAGTGGCTTGGCTGTGAATGGTCACATAGTCTTTACAAGTAGAGAATAGAGAATATTGAACTAGCCAAAAATTGTAACTATATTCGGAAGAATCGGGGAGGGAGGTAGGACAGGGTGTGAGAGTGAAATCCTCATCTTCAGTGGCAGTGAGTAGTAAATATCTAAGACAAAAATCTAGGATAATATATGCAAGTTATTTAGAAATTTGTAAGTAATCAGTAGGAGAAAAGTCTTAAAATTATGAAAATGTTTGCCTCTAGGGAGCAGATATCAAGAATGAGAAATAGGAAAGTAGATTTTTTTTTTTTTTTTTTTTTTTTTGAGACAGAGTCTCGGTCTGTTGCCCAGGCTGGAGTGCACTGGCACAATCTCAGCTCACTATAACCTCTGTTTCCCAGGTTCAAGTGATTCTCCTGTCTCAGCCTCCTGAGTAGCTGGAATTACAGGCATGTGCCACCATGCCCAACTAATTTTTGTATTTTTAATAGAGACAGAGTTTCGCCATGTTGGCCAGGCTGGTCTCGAACTCCTGACCTCAGGAGATCTGCCCGCCTCGGCCTCCCAAAGTGCCAGGATTACAGACGTGAGCTGCCGCGCCCAGCTGAACTTTTTGACTTTTAAACTAATATATCCACTGTCTAACCAGTAGGGGGTAGGAGAATGTTGCAGACTTTGAAGCCCACAGACCTACGTAGATACCTCAGCTACATCTCTTACCACCTGTGAGACCTTGGACAAATTGCTTAACCTTTGGGTTCAAGGTTACTAATCTGTAAAGTGGAATCTCAACACTTATTTCATATGACAAAAAATGAAGGGTTTAAGAGGCTCTGTAGTTCAATGGCCTAGCCTCAGTTGCCAGCTCTAGCACTTACTTATTGACTATAAGAAATGGTGGAAGTTAATGCCTCAGTCCCTCAGTTTTCTCTTCTGAAAAAGTGGTGACGATCATAACAGACTCTACACCCAAAAAGCTGCTAAATGGATTAAAAGAGGCAATCCAAAAGTTCCTAGTATAAAGTGGAGTTCAAGAGTTTTTTTGTGGCATGATGAGTTACATGAAATAGCATATGTCATACACTATGCATCGTGCTTGACCCACAGTGAGCGTCCCTTCTCCTAAAAATACATCACAAGAATCGGGGAAGAAGGCCAGTGTCTGTCTCTCCAGCCAGACTGAGGAATAGATCTCCACCTCCTGTGCAATAGTGTGAAAATACATGGCCTTTGCCCTGTTACCAAGCCCTTCTCCAAGTATACCTCTCAAAACAGTTTTATTCAGAGAAATGTGTAGAACTCATTGAATTCTTACAAAGTTTCCCTGAAGGCCTGGCTCAGTGGTTCATGCCTGTAATCTCAACACTTTGGGAGGTTAAGGCGAGAGGATCACTTGAAGCCAGGAGTTCAAGACCAGCCTGGGCAACACAGTGAGACTCCTGTCTCTACAAAAGAAAACATCAGCCAAGCATGGTGGTATGTGCCTGTAGTCCCAGCTACTTGGGAGGTTGAGGAAGGAGGTTTGCTTGAGCCCAAGAGTTGAAGGTTACAGTGAGCTATGATTGTGCCACCACATTCCAGCCTAGGCAACTAAGTGAGATCCTGTCTCTGGCAAAAAAAGAAAAGAAAAAAGTTTTTCACTGAGTACTTTAGTTCACTTAAAGATTATAATAGGGCCAGGCATGGTGGCTCATACCTGTAATCCTAGCACTTCGGGAGGCCAAGGCAGATGGATCACTTGATCCCAGGAGTTCAAGGCCAACCCGCGCAACATAGGAAGACCCTGTCTCAACAAATAATTAAAAAATTAGCCGGGCATGGTGTCACATGCCTGTGGTCCCAGCTGCTCGGGAGGCTGAGGGAGGAGAATCATCTGAGCCTGGGAGGTTGAGGCTGCAGTGAGCGGTGATCACACCACTGCATTCCATCCCGGGTGACAGTGAGACCTTGTCTCAAAAAAACAAACAACAAAAGATTATAACATTAAACTGAGATGAAAAAGCTTATCAGGCTCATCTCTGCCAGCCCAGGACTCCCAGAATGCCTGGCAAAGTGCAGCACCAATGTGTAATAGATGTTCTATAGCAGAAACAGCCATCCTAATTTCAGCTCTGACTAGATCTAGAAAATGGGCCACACATGGAGAGATGGCCACAGGAATGATCTAAAGCCACGCCCACACACAGATGCAACTGTATCTCATTACTCCCACCTCTCCTGGGAGTGAGACAAAACTGTCTAACCCAGATCCCAAGTCACTTCCTGCCAGGGCTTCTCAGCAGTTCAAAGAACTTCTATGTGCAGGTTCTTTCCAAATAGATTGGTTTCTTGAAACTCACAAGAAGTCAAACACCAGAAAAGAGGGGATTTCTGAAAGCCACCCACTAGGATGGCAACTGGTACTTGGTAGTTTCAAATATTAAGAAAAGAAAAAAAATTGGCGTTGATTAGGCAGTATCTAATCTCCCTAAGCACAGGAAGTGAAGGCGATTGAGTCTGATTTGCAGGAGGCCCCGAGGTTGCACAAAGCAGTCACTCCCCTAGCATGGCCCACTCACTGCCTGCTGAGAAGCCTGCTTTGCCTGCCTCCAGCTGAGCACACCAGAGGGAAAGCACCATTAAATTCCCTGTGCACTCTTCAACCAATTAGCTGCACCAAGGTCACCAGGTGAAGGGCGTGGGGAAGCAGAGAAGAAAAGATGCTATGGGCTTGACAAGGTTAAATTGATGGGGCCCGTGGGACATGGCTATTCATTCCATAAATGTTTATCGAGCCCCTAGCATCCACCTGGCATTGAGCTAGCTAGGCACCCAGAGCATAAACAAGATTTAAACCTGTCCCTACACTGAAGGACCTCTCAGACTGGTAGAAAGTTAGCTGACAAATATCTAGGTTATGCTGTGCTGTTGGGAGCACTGCAGAGGGACCCCTTAATTCTGCCTTGGTCAGGGATGGTGTTGGGGAACAACAACCCCAGAGCTGAATGTTGTAGGCCAATTAAGAGTTTTCCAGGTGAAAGCTGGGGGAGGTGGAAGGCTGGAAAGGTTCTGGAAATTGGATGTTGTAGTAGGGCTGTGTGAAAGGAGCATTAGTTGCATTTGGGGAAAAGGTATGAGGCTGGAATGTAGACAGAGTCCTGCTTCCCATGGACAAGAGAGGGAGAGGAAAAGACAGAGGCATGGAGATGGTAAGGATAAGGAGGCTCCTGCAGTATGGGGAGAAGAAACTAAAGTAACATAAAGGAATACGTTCCAAACTTTGGAGGTAGAAAGGATGGGGTCGCTGACAAACTGTATTCAGGGAAGAGTGGAGGAGGGTGCCCACCTTCCTTGGACTGGAAGGCTGACTGTATTGTCATTAATCAACTCTGAGATACCAGGGGAGGGCTGCGGGAGAGGGTACCTGAATTTAGATTTGGGGGTGTTGAACTGGAGCTAGCCTCATGGCCATCCACGTGGAGATGTACGGTAGACCATGGGAAGTATTGGTCTGGAGCCCTAGAGAGAGGCCTTGGCTGGATGTCCAGGCTTCACAGCGTGACAGACTCATCTTTATGGATATTTGTTAAGCGGGAATCTCGGTTCCTACCTCCCCAGACCTGCTGCAGGAACTCCGGGCCGCTCTGGGCTTTGCCCTGACAAGCAGGAGGGGTGGCTTACCCGATTGGTCAGCTTGGGGAGGGAACTAAGCATGTGCGGCCACACCCTGTGGCTCCTCCCTTTTACGTTTTTCCCGCCCTGCGCAGTGGCTCTGCTGTGTCTGCGGGTGGCCTTGACTGTGAAGAGCCCGTGCTTGGAGCACACTCAAAGCCGCTGTCTTCAATGAGCTGTATTAGTAATAAGGCAAATGTTTTGGACTCCGTCTGTGTCCTAAACTCACAAGGGAGAAAAGAGAGTGTCGTGTATTGAATCCCACTGGCAGGCTCCCAACAGTATTAATTTGTGTGGGTTGGTTTGTTTTTTGGAACAGAGGCTCATTCTCTTGCCCAGACTGGAGTGCAGTGGTGTGATCCCGGCTCACTGCAGTGTTGACCTCCTGGGCTCAAGCGATCCTTCTGCCTCAGCCTCCCAAGTAGCTGAGACTATGCCCAGCTTTAAAAAAAATTTTTTTTGGAGAATTGTGGTCTCCCTATGTTGCCCAGGCTGGTCTCAAACTCCTGGCCTCAAGTGATCCTCCCACCTCAGCCTCCCTAAGTGTTGGGATCACAGGTGTGAGCCACCGTGCCAGGCTAATTTGTGTTTTGTTTGCTGTTTTTCCCTTCTCTGCATTCCAAGCTGGTGGCCAGGCCTAGTTCCTTTCCTGAGATGTTTTTGCAGGGTAAAGAACAGATACTGGTTGTCTTTGTTTGGTGTTCGTGGGGTGGGGACTTTGAGAGTTGCAAGAGGAGAGAGAAGAGAGTCACCCTGGGATTGGGAGAGAGGAAATAGCAGGTTACAGCAGACTGGGGTCTGGGTGCTGCTCCATGTCAGGTCACTGGTGGAGGTGACAAGTCCTAAAGGGGGTGGTTTGATCTGTGTAGTTAGGAAGGCTGGACCCCAGGCCTGGGAGCATTCACTTTGCCAAAGGTTCCTCTGCTCTAAGCAGCAAGGCTATTAAACCTCAAGGGACAATGCAGTCAGACCAGGAAGCACCTCAGCAGTGATTAGCATGAGCCGAAGACCAGTGCCTTTGCCTAGCAAGACTTCCCAGGAGGAGCCGACTTTGGCACACCCCTGGGTAGAATGTGGGACATTCAGCAATTACTGAGATTAATTTCCTGTCAGCTCAGTAGAAGGCGGCTCAATATCAGATTGAAGTTGATTTAAACAAAGTCAGGAAGTGTGTCATGGCCAGGTGCAGTGGCTCACGCCTGTAATCGCAGCACTTTGGGGACCGAGGTGAGTGGATCACCTGAGGTCAGGAGTTCGAGACCAGCCTGGCCAACATGGTGAAACCCCGTCTCTACTAAAAATACAAAAATTAGCCAAGCGTGGTGGTGGGCGCCTATAATCCCAGCTACTCGGGAGCCTGAGACAGGAGAATCACTTGAACCTGGGAGGCAGAGGTTGCAGTGAACCGAGATGGTGCCACTGCACTCCAGCCTAGGTAGACTGAGCAAGACTCTGTCTAAAAAAACAAAAACAAAACAAACAAAAAAACCCCAAAAAAACCTGTGTTACTTCTTTCACATGTGAGTTGGAAGACTAAAATTCACAGCAGCAATAGTAATCAGAACATAGAGGTGCTGGAAGTACGGGAGGTGGGGAGTCAGAGGGAGTGAATCCAAGGAGTGTGGGCAAAGCCTGGACAATCTCAGATTTAGGGGTAAGTGAAGATAGAGGAGGCCAAAAAGGTGAAGTCAGCAAGACAGGAGAAGCTGAAGAGGAGGGTTAATGGCATTCAGTGCTGCGGAGGACAACTAAGACTTGGATTAAAAGGTATGTATGTGATTTGGCATTTGGAGGTCACTGATGACCTTAGCAGAGCAGTGCTGTGGAGGTGGAAGTGATTGCAGAGAAGAAAGGTCACATTCTCAAGAAGAGTTGCAGGGGAAAGAAGGAGAGACTACTGGTCATAGATCAAGGTGGAGGGAAGGTTTATTTTTAACTTGGGAGATTTATGGACATGGCTTAAGGTTGAGGGGAAGAAGGCAATGGAACAATGGTGGATACTCTATAGAGCCAGAGCCAGAAGACAGGGACATTTGCACATATTGAGGAACTGGCCCTGGAGGCAAGTAGAAACATGGAAAGAAGAGGAGAAGTTGTGGTAGGCAGCTTCTAAGATGGCCCCCAACGATCTGTGCCTCCTGGTGTTCATGCTTTGGTGTAACCCCTCCCCTTGAGGGGGCACTACACTTATTGACCCACGTCTAGCACATAAAATACTATTCACATAGCTGGGTGTGGTGGTGTACACCTTTAATCCCAGCATTTTGGGAGGCCGAGGCAGGCAGCTCATTTTAGGTCAGGAGTTCGAGACCACCCTGGCCAACATAGTGAAACCCTGTCTCGGCCAGGCATGGTGGCTCATGCTTGTAATCCCAGCACTTTGGGAGGCCGAGGCAGGCAGATCACCTCAGGTCAGGAGTTCGAGACCAGCCTGACCAATATGGAGAAACCCCGTCTCTACTGAAAATGCAAAATTAGCCGGGTGTGGTGGCGCATGCCTGTAATCCCAGCTATGCGGGGGGCTGAAGCAGGAGAATCACTTGAACCTGGGAGGCAGAGGTTGCGGTGAGCTGAGATTGTGCCATTGCACTCCGACAAGGGCAACAAAACGAAACTCCGTCTCAAAAAAAAAGAAAGAAAGAAAAAAGAAACTCTGTCTCTACTAAAAATACAAAAATTAGCCAGGCGTGGTGGTGCATGCCTGTAGTCCCAGCTCCTCGAAAGGCTGAGGCATGAGAATCCCTTGAACCTGGGAGGCAGAGGTTGCAGTGAACTGAGATCGTGCGACTGCACTCCAGCCTGGGTGACAGAGAGACTCTGCCTCAAAAAAAAAAAAAAAAGGATACTGTACAAGTGATGGGATGTCACTTCTGATATATTAGGTTATAAAAAGCATGTGGCTTTCATCTTCGGCACTGTATTGAAAAACAAACTTTTTCCTCTGCTGTCATATCACAGTAATCAGCACAGAAGACTTCTGTGAGCAAATGTGTGGAGATATCTCCCCACCAGCAAGCGAGCAGTCAGTTCTGCAGTGGACACCAGCTGGATGTCTTCTAATTCAGTTTTGTTCTGACACTGACACCATCTACCTGGAGATAGCATCAGATCCCACAAGTTGAGGGCTCAGTCCCACAAGACTGCCCCCACTTCAGACACCAGTCGCAAGTCTAGGCCTCCGTAACTTCAGACTGACCAGCTTCAAGTTGGGGTTCCCACGATGCCCTCTGTAGGCATGATTCATTTGCTGGAGTGGCTCATGAAACTCTGGGAAACACTTACGTTTACTGATTTATTATTTTATTTATTTATTTATTTTAAAATTTATTTATTTATTTTAAGACTTGCTCAGGCTGGAGTGCAGCGGCGCTATCTTGGCTCACTGCAACCTCTGCCTCCGGGGTTCAAGGAATTATCCTGCCTCATCCACCCTAGTAGCAGAGATTACATGCACCTGCCACCACACCCGGCTAATTTTTGTGTTTTTAGTAGAGACAGAGTTTCGCCAGGCTGATCTCAAATTCCTGGCCTCAAGTGATCCACCTGCCTCAGACTCCCACAGTGCTGGGATTACAGGCATGAGCCACCACGCCTGGCCTCTTTAATGAGTTTTTATTCACCTTCCTGGAAGCCTCCATGAGTTCAGCTGTTCAGAAGATTGACATGCCCCGTCTTCCTGGGCCTGGAGACTTCATTGGATAGGCATGACTGAAGCCTGGACAACTATGTAGAAATGTGATTGGACCGAAAGGGTATAATCTAATAAGAATAGGCTGAGTGAGGAAATTCAGCAAGGCCCATCGGTTTAGATTCTTCTTGGCCCTCTGTGCAGCATTCCTTTCTCCTGGGTATGGGGCACGACCCCTTCTAAAATGGGGGTCTTATAACCTACAATCAGACAAAGTAGGCCAGAGAATTTATTTATGACCAGTACCAAGGCAGAAAGGTGGGGGAAGATTATACTTTTAGTTCCTATGGCCTGCCTTGGGGAGAAAAAAAGATCAGGTGAAAGGGGCGCAGGAGAAGGTCAGAGAAAGAGATTCTGCTTCCTGAGGCCTAAAGTGCCCCAACATTATAACAAAACACTGTCTTTCACCTTTATCATTCTGAAGCTACTTTAGGAACCAAGGACAAAGGGACAAATACTTTAACAAAAGATATGCTTATTGTTTTAGTCACTTAACTTAGGAGTCACATAACTCCTAAGAAGGACTATAGGAGTTATCAGCCAGGAACTGTGGACAAAAATACACACATATATGTAATATGTTATATATATCATAATATCACAGGCACTCTGTCTTGTTCTCTCTTGGATTGCTCGCCCTGGGGGAAGTCAGCTGTCATATTGTTTTAAGTCAACCCTATGTAAAGCTGCATGAACGACCTTAGGAGCCTTCAGCCCGTCAAGCCTGGAGGTGACTGCAGCTCCAGCCAATAGCTTGATTGCAATCTTATGAGAGACTCCGAAGGAGAGATACTCAACTAAACCAAAACCAGAGTCTATAGACTATAAGATAATAAATGTTTATTGTTCTAAGACATTCAGTTTTGGAGTAATTTATTACACAGCAATAGACAGCTAATAAGTAGACAAGTGGCCAGGCACAGTGGCTCACGCCTGGCAGGTGGATTACTTGGGCACCAGAGTTCCAGACCAGGCTGGGCAACATGGTGAAACCCTGTCTCTACAAAAAATAAATACAAAAATTAGCCAGGCATGGTGATGTGCACCTGTAGTCCCAGCTACTCAGGAGGCTGAGGTGGGAGGATCAATTGAGCCCAGGAGGTGGAAGCTATCTCTAGAATGGAGACAGCTGCAGGAGCAACACATTTTGGGGTGGAATCAGGAGTTTCTCTGTGATATGTGAAGTCCTGAGAGGCTTATGAGAGAGGCCATACGCATTTGGGAATTGTGTCCAGAATTCAGCATGGGAGTCATCTATGCAGGAGATAGAATCTAGGAGCCATCAGCGTATTCATGGAATTTAGTCTTGAGACTGGATCAGACCCTCAGGAGGAGCAGAGACACACAAGTCATGGCCAAGTGTCTGACCCTTTGAGGCTTAGTTGTCAAAGCTATAGGAGATCTACCTTCCGTGGTTGTTGTGAGTGGTGGCATAAAGAAGCGCCTCATTCCAGTGAGCCATGTTCATGTACTGCACTCCAGCCTGGGTGACAGAGCGAGACCCTGTCTCAAAGATAAAATAAAATAAAGTACACAAGTTTGCATGCAGGGAAGGCAAACATTTGAAGGAGCATGAGCCCAAAAGCCTTCCATTTTCTTTGCTGAGAACAAGTTAAGAAGAGGAACAAAGGTTTGGCATGGCCACCATGAAAATGGAAAATTAAGCTGGGTAAGGATGCATAAAAGAATGGAACAGTACTCCTAAGGACCCAGTTGAGACTAGGGGCAACAAAGTTAAAGCTCCTGCCATATGCAGTTGAAGGATTGTTGTCCAACCACCTCGACATCCTGAAATAAAAGAAGAGAGAGAAGCTATTGAAATGATCCAGGACTCAAAGTTTATAAGATGATGGGTCAAAAGCCAAAGAGGCAAACAGTTGAGGATGCTGGCAAGAGATGGGCCACAGCGATAGAACCACAGGACGGGAATAGAGGAGGTTAGCTCCTGGATGGCTGGGCAGAAAATGGCAGTCTCGTCTAAACTAATGAGTTAATGTGCTGGGCTTAAGAGTGAGAGGAGCCAAAAGATTTTAGGGGAGGAATTCTGGGAACTAGACAACTCGGGGTGTACCCGTGGGTGATGCTTGCTAACATGGAGTGGCCCCCTGTCAACTCCTCCAGTCTAGCTCAAGCCAGTCTGAGTCCCCTCTACCCTATCACCACAAACACCCTGCTTTAGCCATAAAGGATTTCTCTGGTCTGTTCTCGTCACATCTGCCTGTGCTGCCCTCCCTTCCACTCCCACCCCATCTGCTCTTCATCTTTCCCCAACACATTCCTTTTCAACTCTCAAGCTCAAGCTCATGTTCTGCTTCCTTGATGAGTCCCACAAATGTCCCCAGTCTGAATTAATGTCTCCCCAGCCCCAGTCCAGTGTTGCACCTGCACAGCCTTGCTGTTGGCCGTACATTCTCAGGAAGGCGATGGGGTTTTCTGTTTTCTCCATTGGAAGGTGCATCCCTGAGGAGTGGAAAGTGTGGGCCAGGATCCTCAGGTAGCTGATGTTCTAGCAGAGCAGCTTTTTCTCAGTTGGTGCTCAGTGTTGAGCTGGATCAAGTAGTTAAATAATAAGGCTGAGGATTAGCCTTCACTTCTAATAAGGGTACAGAAAAAAAAAGAAAGAAGACTGAAGACACTAAGATCCAAAGGGAGCTAAGCCGACAATAGTGCCATTCTGAGACCAAAAAAAAAAAAAAAAAATTCAGTGGGAGAGAGCTACCCACTGAGCACTGGGTCCATTCTGCATCGGCTGTTCACTCACAACCACCATGCAAGGTAGATATCCTATAGCTTTGACAATAAGCCTCAAAGGGTTAGACACTTGTCTGTAACTCGTGTGTCTCTGCATCTCCTGAGGGTCTGATCCCGTCTTAAGAATAAATTCCATGATATGCTGATGGCTCCCAGATTCCTGCACAGTCTCCTGCGCAGACTGCTCCCATGTTGAATTCTGGACACAATTCCCAACTGCCTAGGAGGTCTCTCTCACAGGCCTCTCAGACTTCACACATCATACAGAAACTCCTGATTCCAACCCCAAATGTGTTGCTTCCACAGCTGTCTCCATCCTAGTAAATGGCAGCTCCACTCCAGAACCAGCTAGAACCAAGAAACCTCAGCTCCTCTCTCTCACACACCCACAGCCAGCCATACTCGGGGCACTTGCTGCCAGCTCTGATATTGAAGCATGTCTACCTTCAACCACTTGCGCCCCTGCTTCCAGCACCTGGTTGGAAGCCACCATCACCTCTTACCTGGATTCTTGCATTAAGCTCCTTGCTCCTCTCCCTGCATCCACGAGTGTCCCCCTTCAGCCAATTCTCAACACAGCAGCAGAGGGAGTCTTTTCTTTTTCTTTTTTTTTGTTATTTATTTTAATTTTTGAAATAGATATGGGGTCTTGCAATAGTTGCCTGGGCTGGTCTCAAACTCCCGGGCTCAAGCAATCCTCCCCCTCGGACTCCCAAAGTGCTGGGATTACAGGTGTGAGCCACCATGTCTCAGCGGGGATTCTTTTTTTGTTTGTTTGTTTGTTTGTTTTTGGGATGGAATCTCGCTCTGTTGCCAGGCTAGAGTGTAGTGGCACGATCTCGGCTCACTGCAACCTCCACCTCCGGGGTTCAAGCAATTCTCCTGCCTCAGCCTCTCTAGTAGCTGGGACTACAGGGGTGCGCCACCACACCCAGCTAATTTTCGTGTTTTTGGTAGTGACGGGTTTTCACCATGTTGGCCAGGATGGTCTCGATCTCTCGATCTCATGATCCACCTGCCTTGGCCTCCCAAAGTGCTGGGATTACAGGCGTGAACCACTGTGCCCAGCCTGGGATTCTTTTTTAATGTAAATCTTATCATTTCACTCTTCTGGTTAAAACCAACTGGTAGTGTCCCATCTGAGTCAAAGTGCAAATCCTGACCGTGGACCACCAGGCTCTGCATGGTACAGTCCCGTGTCAGTCACTACTCTGATTCTTTAAATAGCTTTATTGGCCAGGCGCAGTGGCTCACACCTGTAATCCTAGCACTTTAGGAGGCCGAGGCAGGCAGATCACTTGAAGTCAGGAATTCAAAAGCAGCCTGGCCAACATGGTGATAACCCGTCTCTACTAAAAATACAAAAAAAATTTAGCCGGGCATGGTGGCAGGTGCCTGTAATCACAGCTACTCAGGAGGCTGAGGCAGGAGAAGCTCTTAAACCTGGGAGGCAAAGGTTGCAGTGAGCTGAGATCGCACCATTGCACTCCAGCCTGGGCGACAGAGCGAGACTCCATTAAAAAAAAAAAAAAAACCCACACACAATAAATAGCTTTATTAAGATACAATTCACACACCACACAGTTCACTCATTTAAAGCGTACATTGAAAAAACCATTGTATAACTTTCCATATATTCACAGAGCTGTGCAGCTGTTGTCATCTCAGTGCCTTTCAGGTTATTTTCATTATTTCAAGAAGAAACTTGCACCCCAAAGTCACCTCTCCCCATTGTGCCTACTCCTGTAGCCCTAAGCAACTTGCTTTCTGTGCCTATAGATTTGCCCATTCTGGATATTTCATATAAACCTCTCTGATTTTATCTACTTCTGAAACCCTGTTCTCTACCCATTTTCTCTTCCTCCTTGCGTGCCTTGTACACCCCCAGCACACCTTCTTCCCAGGGTCTTTGCACAGTTTCCCCCAACCCCCAATCCAGCTTCCCTGATCTCTCCATGGCCACACCTCTCAGGGAAGCCTTTCCTGAGTTCCCTCCTCCCCCCTGGCCCCGCCCCCACATGCCCCACTTAATTTTTTAAGTGTAATAAGTATATATTATCACATGGCACTAATCATCATGTATTCCATGTTTCTCTTTTAATCATCTGTGTCCTCCTGTCACTCATGGAACATCAGCCCCAGAGGCAGGGCTTTTACCTCTTTTATTCCCTGCTGTACCCTCAGTGCCTTGAACAGCACCTGAAATAGAGAGATACTCCATAAATATTGTCAAATGAATGGCAGGAATGGGATGTGAACACAAGTCTGTCAGACTTCAAAACCTGTGTCCCTAACTATCATACTTAAAGATCGTAGAGAATGCAAACGATTTAAACTCGTGGCAGTGGCTGGGTGCGGTGGTTCACACCTGTAATCCCAGCACTTTGGGAGGCCAAGATGGGCGGGTCACCTGAGGTCAGGAGTTTGAGACCAGCCTGGCCAACATGGTGAAACCTGTCTTGACTAAAAATGCAAAAAATTAGCCGGGCGTGGTGGTTCATGTCTGTAATCCCAGCTACTCTGGAGGCTGAGGCAGGAGAATCACTTGAACCTGGAGGCAGAGGTTGCGGCGAGCCTAGATCACACCACTGCACTCCAGCCTGGGAAACAGAGTGAGACTGTCAAAACAAACAAACAAACAAACAAACACACTTGGTAAAAGTAAGAAAGGTCTAAAGCCTATGCCCAGTGTGGTGGATGCTGGGCTGCAGTAGAGGTGTTGATAATGCCAGCTCCCAGGAGTGTTGGCAGCTGGAGCTTGCAGCTGCATCTTTTCCAGGGTTTGCCCTGGGCTGAGGAGAAGCTGCCTCACTCAAGGCCATTACTACTTTCTAGAGCAGGGGCTGTATCCCATGGTCAATACAAGGGTAGCAACCTGCCCTATGCTCCAATTTCAAAGGGCCATCCTTGCTCCAGAGCTCCTTGTGGCATTGGTGGAAGCCATTGTTTCCACAGCATTAAAGTTCAGCTTCTTCCTCTATTCATCTGGCTTCCTGCTCTCCCCACACAGGTGTTAATCTTGACAGCATTCCCCAATAAACTTTCTGTGCACAAACTGCCGTCGTGGAAACTGTTTCCTGGATAATGCAACCCGTGATGCTCAGAATAATTCATTCGATGGCTTCCCAAGGAGGTTGAAGGATCTATGGGTAGGTGGACACAGAACAAATAAGCTGGGCCCCTGAAAGCCACACCAACAAGCAGAGGAATCAATCGTACCTGTGTTTTCGTGACCCCAGCTCATCATATCCCTCTTAACAAACTAACATGGGAAGGAAGAGAATGTGATGTGCAGGGTCCACAGTTACCGCCACGGCTCTGAAGCATCCCTTGTGTGAAAACAGCTCCATTTCTTGGCCAAGCTCCATTTCAGACCCTGAGCTTGGGCTCCCTGTCTGTACTGTGACCTCACCCTGTGGAGTCCAACGTAGAGTGACTCATGAGTCATCAGGGGTTCGATCAACATTTCCTCTTGGCTACATATCCCACCCCCACCCCAAAGTCAGTGATCATCCCCTTTGGGAGCCTGGCTGCTGAGGGGGAAAGAAGGGGAAAGTGAGTCAGTCAAGAAATGACAACCCCAAGGGGGCAGCAGTATCCCTGCCTGAAGTCTAGATAAGAACAGGCAAAAGTATTATTAAAGTCATTCTTTCCTGTCAGCCTTTTCAGTTGAATAAGAAATGGAAAGGTGGTACCCTCCCTAGTGTGGGAGCAACTTGAGGGCCGGTATCACTTGTTTTTTGTAATAATAAAAGCCAGTCCTTGGTGGGGTGTGGTGGCTCACATCTGTAATTCCAATGCTTTGGGAGGCCAAGGTGGGAGAATCACTTGAGGCCAGGAATTCAAGACCAGGCTGGGCGATGTAGCAAGACCCCATCTCTACAAAATATATATTTAAAATTAGCCAAGGATAGTAGCACACCCATGGTCCTAGCTATTTGGGAAGCTGAGTGGGGAGGATCCCTTGAGCCCAGGAGTTCAAGGCTGCAGTGAGCCATGATCTTGCCACTGTACTCCAGCCTGAGCAACAGAGCGAGACCCTGTCTCAAAAAAAAAAAAAAGAAAGCCAGTGCCCACATAGCGAGACTATGTCCCAAGATCTGTTCTGAGTACTTAACATATATTCACCAATTGAATCCTCGTAACACCACAGTGAGGAAGAGACCATTATTCCCAGCCCTGTTCTGCAGATGAGGAGACCAAAGCACAGAAAGCTAAAGAATGGATGGGTCTGTAACCTGCTCAGGCCACACTGGTTATGAGTGGGTTCCACCACCGTCCTACACTGCCGGTATGTATCATCCAGGGCTGAAGGCAGTGCCTGGCCTGGTGGGGTGCACTGCCCCTGTGGTCCTTCTCACAGCTGGCCACATACCCCTCAGATGCAGTGAGCGGCCCACCAGACACCTGGCTTACAGAGAACAGGGGTGAAGGAGAGCTGCAAGCCTTCTCTCAAAGCCTCCCTTCCTTCCTGGTGTCTGTGGGCTGAGTGTGTCTCCCTCTGGCTTGATTCATGGTTTTTGCTCTCTCTTTGGTGCATTCATTCTTTCCAGATTTTTTACTTTCTTTCCATTCGCTCACAAGGGAAGACCTGCTGAGGGCGGAAACATCATGCATGAGTTAAAGGAGAACAATGGGTGAGAGGTGCCGAGTAAGCCTCGAGTGTGGCGGCTGTGTTGTGGTTCCCGAGCTTCCTCCACGCCGGATCTGATCTTCAGTGACGCCCAGCAGGGCCTACGGAGACATTCATCACTTCCTCCCTCAACGAAAGGTGTGAACCCAAGAAACTTTTCCTCTTCTATGTCAGGTGGTCCCTGTGCCGACTAGAGCAGGATCTATCTAGACTGTGGTTACTTACCTGTCCTTTCAGGGCGCCATTGTGTCCTTGTCCCTACAAGCCCCTACCCTACCCGACATGCACACAAGAATTTAGCGATTTGGGAGTTTTAGTTTTAGTTTTTGTTTTATTTATTTATTTTGGAGACAGGGTGTCGTTCTGTCACCCAGGCTGGAGTGCAGTGGCATGACCGAAATGGTAGAGTTCCCTGATCCCCCCGCAGGATGCACAACAGGGGTGTGGCTCACCTGTTGGGTCGCCACCGCCACCGTTGCTCAAAGCCCTTAAGGGAGGGGGAGCACGCAGATGGACAGGTGCAGGGGCCCAAGTGGGCGTGTGTTACAATGTGCCCCTTTAGCCTTGCGGTCCATGGACGGCTCAAGTGTTAACCAGCTCCGTGGACCCTCTGCCTTTCCGCAAGGGCAGAGGGCCAATGTGACAGCTTTCTGTATCCTAAGCTCTTGTCCAGCATCCCAGAAAAACCAGTCACACACGAACTTGAAGGATAAATGTGAGAATTTCACTGAGTAGTGGAGGTGGCTCTCAGCGGGGATGGATAGAGAGACAGAAGCAGGGGATGGAGTGGGAAGACAGTCTTCCCCTGGAGCCGGGCCGTCCAGAGCTGAACTCCTCTCCCACCACCAACAGCCCAACTCCTCTCGGCGTTCAGATGTTTCTCCTCTTCTGTCTTTCTCTGCCGCGCCCTCCATTCCACCCTGCATCTGCTTGTCTTCTCATCTTTTCACCTGCTTGTCTGCTTCTGGAGCCTGGGGTTTGGTGTTTATATGGGTACAGGATGGTACAGGATAGGGGCCATGGCAGGCCAAAAGGCAACTTTTGGGGCGTGAAAACAGGAATGCCTGTCCTCGTTTAGGGCCACAGGTCTTCAGGCTTGAGGGTGAGGTCTTTGCCGGGGAACCACCCTGTTCTACCCAGTACTTCCTTGTCTCCTGTCCACATCACGATCCTGGCTCTCTGCAGCCTCAACCTCCCAGGCTCAAGTGATCCTCCCACCTCAGCTTTCCTAGTAGCTAGGGCTACAGGTATGTACCACCACTTCTGGCTAATTTTTGTATTTTTTATAGAGATGGGGTTTCCCCATGTTGCCCAGGCTGGTCTTGAACTCCTGGGCTCAAGCTATCCACCTGCCTTGGCCTCCCAAAGTGCTGGGATGTTAGACGGCAGCTACTACACCTGGCCTAGCTGTTTGGTTTTCCCTGGGCATCTCTGCGTTGTGAGGCTTATTATTCCCAATTTACTCTCCTTGACCAAAGAGTGAGATCACCCTTGCAGGTTCTGCTTTGGAGATATGAGAAAGTCCAGACTTATCTAGACTGATGTTTCTCAAGCTTTTTTCATTTTCACCCCCTCAGGAGCCTTGGAAGATATTTTTTTTCTTATCGCTCCTCTCCCCATGACATTACTGTATGTCAGCATATCTAAAGGCCACAAACCATTGTAATGTCTAAGATTTTTTTCCACATACACATCCCTCTCAGTAAACAATTTTCAGCCCCTTGGGGGCAATATCACCTTTTGATTTTTGGGGTTTTTGAGATGGAGTCTCGCTCTTCGCCCAGGCTGGAGTGCAGTGGCACAATCTTGGCTCACTGCAACCTCCACCTTCCAGGTTCAAGCGATGCTCATGCTTCAGCCTCCCAAGTAGCTGGGACTACAGGCACACACCGTCATACCCAGCTAATTTTTGTATTTTTAGTAGAGACAGGGTTTTGCCATGCTGGCCAGGCTGGTCTCAAACTCCTGACCTCATGATCCTCCCACCTCGACCTCCCAAAGTGCTGAGATTACAGGCGTGAGCCACCGTGCCCAGCCTCAATATCACCTTTTGGAAGTCCATGAGCTAGGCTCAGCCACTGAGTGCCCCACCAGGCCTTCTCTTCCTTTGGGGTGGCAGCTGTTGATGTTCCTGCCCAACATGCATTACTTGTTCATGGTTATATATAAGCCCTCACCTACCTCTCTGTCAAACCTTAAGCCTGATGCAGTTTCACTCCTAGGTAGTTGCCCAAGAAAACCTCAAGTCCCCAAGACAGCCAAAAGACTATTACAAGAATGCTCGCAGCAGCTTTATTCATAATAACCACAAACTGGAAACAATCGAAATGAACTTCAACAAGACAATCAATATATAAGTAAATGGGGCTATATTCATACAATGCAATTTTACCAGCAGTAAAAAGGAACTAACTACTGCTACACATACAACATGGACAAATTGCAAAAGCATAGTATAAGTAAAAGGAAACAGATGCAAAAGAGTATGTGCTGTATGATCTATGAAGTTCAAGAACAACAAAAACTAGCCCACGGTGACAGTCAGCATAGTATGTACCTCAGGGAAGACTTAGAGGGAAATTTTTCTTCCCTATCTTGATTTGAATGGTTATTCCACAAATGTGTAATTAGGTTAAAATCTGTACCCTTATATAAAAATTCTAGCTATAATACACTTAAGATTTGTGTACTTAGCTCTATGTAAATTGTACCTTAAAATTTTAAACAGATCCTTGAAAATTCCTTCAAAACATTCAGACAGGGGTTCCTGGGTAAGATGCATATTTCAGGGTCTCATCCAAGGACCTGCTCTATGGGCTGAGACGCTAAATCTTACCCATGGCTCCAGGGATTCTGATGCAGGTTATCCTGGAGCTACACTCTGTTAATGGAAAAAAACAAACTGTGTACAATATTTTAAAGAGGTTTATTCTGAGCCAATGTGAATGACCATGGCCTGGGGAAACACAGCCTCAAGAGGTCCCAAGAAAGTATGCCAAAGGTGGCCGGGCAAGGTGGCTCACGCCTGTAACCCCAGCACTTTGAAAGGCTGAGGCAGGCAGATCACCTGAGGTCAGGAGTTTCAGACCAGCCTGGCCAACATGGTGAAACCCCGTCTCTACTAAAAATACAAAAAATTAGCCGGGCATGGTGGCAGGCATCTGTAATCCCAGCTACTCAGGAGGCTGAGGCAGGAGAATGACGTGAACCCGGGAGGCAGAGGTTGCAGTGAGCTGAGATCACGCCACTGCACTCCAGCCTGGGCAACAGAGCAAGACTCTGTCTCAAAAAAAAAAAAAAAAAAAAAAAGTGTGCCAAAGGCAGTCAGATTAGTTTGCTTTTATACATTTTAGAGAGGCAAGAGTTACAGGCAAACACATAAATCAATACATGGAAGGTATATATTGGTATGACCCAAAAAGGCGGGATATCTTGACGTGGAGGGCTTACAGGTTATAAGTGGATTCAGATATTCTTTAATTTACAGTTGGTTAAAGGAGTAAGGCTCTGTCTAAAATTTGGCGTCAGCAAAAAAGAATGTTTTAAATTAAGATAAGGATGCTACATAGCAAAATTGATGGCCTGCAGGCATGACTTCACCCTGGCCTCGCATGGTTTAAAATCTGGAATCTTAGTGCCACAAAGAATCTGTTTTGTCAGTCTTGTGATCTCTATTTTAACATTAAGGCTGGCCAGTTGTGCCTAAACTCCAAAAGGGAGTGGGTATAATGAGGCTGGTCTGACCCTCCTTCCCATTATGGCCAGGTAGTCTGTTTTTCGGCTGTCTCGGGGGTTCCCCTTGACCAAGAGTGGGTCCATGCAGTTGACTGGGGGCTTAGGATTTTAGTCTTAGTTTTCACTGTAAGACACACTGGTCAAGAGTTTCAGCAAAATACACTTACTGATTCCATCAGCTTCTTGGTCCATGTACCCATAAATGGGAAAACATAAGTCTTAAGAACTTGAAGTGAATGAAACAAATATTGCAAAATGTTCCTTGAGAAGCACAATGGAAATAGACCCTGAAGTCCTGTAAGCCTAAATCAAATCAATATGCAGACAAACTGGCTTCAAGGGGTGAAGGTGGTAATGTTGCAGGCAAGCAGCAGGCAAAGAAAGGGGTCCTTATACCCAGCAGTGTCTCATGGGCTACAATTGAGTGTTCTGACTCCAGCCCACCCTACATCACTGTGCAGTAGAAGGCACAACGTTATATTTGGACGCTAATAGGAGGCCCTCCTTTGATGAGCTGTGTGACTTTGAGTAAGTTACTTAACAGCTCTGATCTTCAGTTCCTCCTCTGTAAAATGGGAATAGTAGAATTTACCTCAAGGGGTTGTAAAAATTAAAAGAGAGAAAGTATGCAAGGACTTTGTACAATGCGTAGGGGAAGAAAATCTTTTTCCCTCTACTCTCCTAAATTTTCCAGCTGGGGCCCTGTAAATTCAACTGACGAAAAATAGATTAACATGTGCATCACACGTACGTACGTATTCCTCTGGTGCCCTCTCTGGGTTTATAAAGGTCTAGACTTCTCGCCAGTGATTAACTTCTGTCCTTCTTGGTAGAGAGGAGAGGAGGAGAAACCTTTACAAATTGGTGTCCTGGGCCAGGCGCCACAGCTCATGTCTGTAATCCCAACACTTTGGGAGGCCAAGGCATGCGGATCACCTGAGGTCAGGAGTTCGAGACCAGCCTGGCCAACATGGTGAAACTTTGTCTCTACTAATAATACAAAAATTAGCCGGGTGTGGTGGTGCATGCCTGTAGTCCCAGACACTCACAAGGCTGAGGCAGCGGAAATGTTTGAACCTGGGAGGCAGAGGTTGCAGTGAGCCGAGATCACACCATTGCACTCCAGCCTGGGAGTAAAAAGAGTGGGCAACAAGAGTGAAACTCCATCTCAAAAAAAAAAAAAAAAAAAATTTGTGTCTTGCTTTTGGGCAAATAGAGGGCAAGCAGAGAGCCTTTCATGTATCTGCTTCTTCTCAATGGTTGTCAGCTCAAAATAATCCTATGCCAAAGTAGCATATTTTGGGGTGCCGTGTTCTGCGCTGTCCTTCATATACCTGGCATACAGAAGGAGCTTGTTAAGTGTCGCTTTCTCCAATCTTTCCTGAACTTTAAGCTCCTGTTTGCACTAGCTTCAGCCCCTCATTCACACATTAAATAGTCACTGGCACCTATTCTGTACCAAGCACTGTGCCAAGGACTGGGACTGGAGGAATGAATGAGATGTAGACACTCAGAGTGGGGAGAACCACCTGGGGGGACAGGTACTGGGGATACCTTGTGATAAGGAGGATCATATCTCCCCAGTGTCAGCGTACTAGGAGGGGCTTCCAGGGCTCCCCTGAGTTGAGTTTAGCAGGATAAATAGAAATCACCAGCAAGTCAAATCACAAAGAACCCAGGGTGAGGAGAAGCTCTAGCTGTGCAGACTTTCTGGGTTCTCTTTCACGGCGTGCATTAATTCAAAAGCCAGTATCTAGTGCAAGATTGTGTGCCAGTCACCAAGCCAGACACTGAGGAACACACGGATACCTGAGACAGTTCATGCTCTCAGGAGACTCTTCATCTGAGACAATCCATGCTCTCAGGAGACTCTTCATCTGAATCAGGCCCTCCCAAAAGCACGAGGGTGGTAGAAAGCTGGGGATCAGAATTACAGAATTACACACATAATTTGTGAGGTCTTTTTGTTTGTTTTTATGTTTTGTTTTGCTTTTGGGTTTTTTGTTTTGTTTTGTTTTTTGTTTTGTTTTGTATTGTTTTTTTGAGACAGAGTCTCGCTCTGTTGCCCCAGGCCGGAGTGCAGTGGCGCAATCTCGGCTCACGGCAACCTCTGCCTCCCGGGCTCAAGCCATCCTCCTGCCTCAGCCTCCTGAGTAGCTGGGATTACAGGCACCCGCCACCAGGCCTGGCTAAATTTTTTTGTATTTTTAGTAGAGATGGGGTTTAGCCATGTTGGTCAGGCTGGTCTCGAACTCCTGACCTCTGGTGATCTGCCCACCTCGGCCTCCCAAAGTGCTGGGATTACAGGCATGAGCCACTGTGCCTGGCCTACACCCATAATTTCTAACTGTCCTATGTTGCTAATCAACTGCTAGTCCTCAGAGGAGAGAGATGAGGTCCTAGGTGCCTTTACTATTTGTCCCAGGACGTGGTAACAGTCTCTGGCCATGGAGGGAATTAGCAAGCAGTGCTGACTGGCCAAGTCCAACCCCCTCCATCCCCCTCAAATGACAGCAGTTAGGAAGTTCTGTTTCTTGAAAGCCCATTGCAGGAAACATTCCATGAGTGACAGAAATCATGCTAGATCTTTAGTAGGTTGGCAGCAGCTTTTTCCAGCTGTCTGAGGCAGGATCCAAAGGCTGTCGTGTCACTTTGTCATAAATCCAATCTTTTCAAGAAAATTTGTGATGCTCTGAGAAATTGGGCATCTTCTCTGGGACTGTGAAAGGTGGCTCATGCTGTGGCATGCTAGTAAATATTTATCATCAGCTCTCTAAGAAAAACAAAATGCCCTGCTTTGCAGTGTGTGCTGATTTCCCTGGTGCAAATACTGCCACCATAAGCAACAGTGCCACTAGACCAATGTGACATCACTGAATGTGCAGTTGGGAAGGGATATGCGCAGTCAGCCCATGCGAGCAGAAAGGAACCTTCTCCAACATGCCACTGAGTCATGCTCTACTTGGACCTGAGGGAACACTTGCCAGAATGATATGCAGATGTCATCTCAGTGATGAATAACAGCAGATTCTTAAAAGACAAAAAGCCTTGTTTGAAACACTTCTGGGCACTAGCATGACCTGCACCATGAGCTGGGTCCAGGCCTCTGTATTTTGTTATATCAAGTTTAGCCTGAAGCTACCTCTTTACATATTTTAAGTTCAGCCTAAATGTTTTTCTGTACATCATGAACTATAACCTAAATGGAATTGTAAACAGACTGTAGCCTACTCTTGTGCCAATCACTGAGTTTTGGCCAATCAAATGTAGCCAACTGTTCAAACTGCGCTCAAATAAGGCAAATGCCGAGCTATAACCAATCCAGCTGTTTCTTTTCTTTTCTTTTCTTTTCCTTTTTTGTTTTTTGAGATGGAGTCTTGCTCTGTGGCCCAGGCTGGAGTGCAGTGGAGTGATCTCAGCTCACTGCAACCTCTGCCTCCCAGGTTCAAGCCATTCTCCCACCGCAGCCTCCTGAGTAGCTGGGATTACAGGTGCATGACCCCACACCCAGCTAATTTTTGCATTTTTAGTAGAGACAGGGTTTCACCATGTTGGCTAGGCTGGTCTCGAACTCCTGACCTCAGGTGATCTGTCTGCCTCAGCCTCCCAAAGTTCTGGGATTACAGGTGTGAGCCACTGCACCTGGCTTCAGTCCAGCTGTTTCTGTACCTCACTTTCATTTTCTGTACATCGCTTTCCTTTTTCTGTCAATAAATCTTCTTCCACTATGTGACTGCACTGGAGTCTCTGAGCCTACTCTGGCTCAGCAGGCTGCCTGATTGGCGAATCCTTTTATGCTCAAACTCTTAAATTTAATTTGGCTGAAGTTTTTCCTTTAAGAACTTCTTTGGACCAGGCTACTGCTTTCCACATGTCCCATCCTTTCTCTGCCTGGTCACCTCCTACCCATCCCCTAGTCTCTTTTTTTGTTTTTTTGAGACGAAGTCTCACTCTGTCATCCAGGCTGGAGTGCAGTGGCACACGCATGGTTCACTGCAGCCTCGATCTTCCGGGCTCAAGCAGATCCTTGCACCTCAGCCTCCCAAGTAGCTGGGACTATAGGCACATGCCACTGCACCCAGCTAGTTATTTATTTTTTGTAGAGACCGGGACTCCCCACGTTGCCCTGGCTGGTCTTGAACTCCTGGGCTCAAGTGATCCACCCACCGCAGCCTCCCAAAGTGCTGAGATTACAAGCATGAGTCATCGCACCCAGCCACTGTCCTTCTATTCTCAACTGGAATCACTTCTTCAAGGACGTCTTCTCACCCCCACCCCTCCACCTTAGGTGAAGTTCCTCCACCTCGTGCTCTCAAAGCCCACCCACTCCTCCTTTCTGGCCCTCATCACAGTTTTTGTTTGTTTGTTTGAGACGGAGTCTGGCTCTGTGGCCCAGGCTGGAGTGCAGTGGCACCATCTCAGCTCACTGCAACTTCTGCCTCCCAGGTTCAAGCGATTCTCCTGCCTCAGCCTCCCCAGTAGCTGGGGTTATAGGCGTGTGCCACCACTCCCGGCTAATTTTTGTATTTTTAGTAGAGAAGGGGTTTCACCATGTTGACCAGGCTGGTCTCAAACTCCTGACCCCAAGTGATCCTGCCGTCTTAGCCTCCCAAAGTGCTAGGATTACAGGCGTGAGCCACTGCACCTGGCACTCATCACAGTTTAATGTCCATGTTGTTGGTGTGATTATTTTATTTGTATCTCCCTGTGGACTGCAAACTCCCTGAGAGCAGGGTCTGTAATCCCTGGTTCACACATGTTGGGAGTTCAGATAGTGGGCCATGGAGTGCATAGGTGAAGAAGTAACTGAACTGAAAAAGTACGGAGACAGGCAGAGCCCAGAACCAGCTTTTGGGATCACCCTCTGAAGCTCCCTCTCCCTCATCTTCAGTTAGAGGGGTCGACTGGCGACCAGGTGACCTTTGTCCTAAGTTTCAAGATTCTGGCTCTAGTGTCAACTTAGCCACATGGTCATCATCCAGTAGGGGAGAAAATTCTCCAGCTCTGATGAGGAGGCCCTCTAGCCCAGCCACCACTACTAGCCTTATGTGGTGTATATAAATTAGACAAAGATCTCCCCATTAGCCAAATGTAGCTCCAAGGACCCTTGACTTTGCTACAGGATGCTGTATTTGGTGAAGAAAAATGTACCTCTTCTCAGAGCACAAGACTTAGCAGACAGCACTGGGACTGAATTTCAGATATCACCACCCCCACAGTCCAGCATCTCTGTGCAGTGCCCAAACTGGCAGCCCTGCTGGCTCGGCCTCCGCAGGAGCCAGCCTTGCCCAGATCTAGGGGCAGAGAGTTTCAGGCAGAGGGGGACAGCAGTGTAAAGTTCCCCAGGCAGGACTGAGCTCAGGCTTTGAGAAATCAGAGGAGGCCTGAGTGGATGGAACTCAATGGGGGGCAGGAAGGAGTGGAGGTATGAGGGGGTAAGGGCTTTGGGCTAAGCGAAGAGCTTATATTTTATTCAAGGTGTCTGTTGAACTGAATGGGAATCATAAATTCAGATAAAACAGCGTATCTCATTTTTTAATCTATTGACAATGAATGCATAATAGACCCCGGGGGAATATGACAAGGTTGTCCCAGCCTTATGTAGAGGAGTTTGGGGACCACATCCTTTCCTAGGGCATGGAGGACCTGAGCCAAATTATATTGTGTACTCTCCTTCCACAGGCTCTCCTCCAGGTAAAATCATATTAAAATATGCATCAAGGATGGCCTTAAGAGTGTGGATGTTTATTGTTCTGCCCATCTCCTTTCGTTTCTTTTGGGATTATTGTTTTCCCTATTCTGGACATGTGGTTTGAATGGGGGCTGCCACGTTCATTCTTTCTTTCTTTCTTCTTTCTTTTCTTTTTTTTTTTTTTTTTTGACAGGATCTGCTCTGTCACCTAGGCTGGAGTACAGTGGTGCAATCATTGTCTCAATGCAGTCTCAAACTCCTGGGTTCAAGCCATCCTCCCACCTCAGCCTCCCAAGTAGCTGGGAAAACAGGCACATGCCACCACATTGGGCTAATTTTATTTTCTATTTTTATTTAGAGGCTGGGTCTGGCTTGGTGTCCAGGCTGGTCTCAAACTCCCAGGCTCAAGGGATCATCCTGCCTTGGCCTCCCAAGGTGCTGGGATTACAGGTGTGAGCCACTGCACCCGGCCAGCCACATTCTTATAGAGCCTGCTCTTGGCCACAGTCCTGAGGTGGAAACTTGGTCCTAGCTAGGCCATTCAGAATTCTTCCCCAGGATTTTAAAAACATAGACCAGAGAGGTCTGAGTAATTCCTTTGTGGTGCATTAATGTATTCAACATTTTTCTCTTTTGGGGTGAACACTTATTATAATACCGTGCTTAGGTATAAAAATACAGTAGTAAGAAAAGGAAAAGTCAAAGTCCCTGCCTCCCCAGAGCTTACAATCTAGTGAGAGGGATATGTGTGAGTCCAAAGCTGATGCAAATAAATATAAAATTACACTGAAGACAGATGCAAAAAAAGAGAGGCTGGTGGCACTTTGAGAACCTGTGGTGGGGGAACTACCTGGGGAAGTAGGTCAAGGATGGTTTCCCCAAGGAAACGATGACGGAGCTGAGATCTAGGTAGTGGGAATGGCATGTGAGAAGACTGAGTGGCAGGAGAGGGCATGGCAAGTGCAGGGAGAGCAAGAGGGCAGTGTGACGAGAGAGGGAGAAGGGTGCAGGGGGGCCAGGTTCCAGATAAGGCTGGAAGGGTAGGAGGAGGCTGTTATATCTGTTAGGAATTGTGTTTGGCTTCTAGTTATAAATAGAGGGGACTTCAATAAGATAGAAATTTATAATTTCTCACCTAAAAGTTGTCTAAAGCTAGGAAATAGGTACCTTTATCCCAAAATCCTTCTACGATTCTCTCTGCCATTTTGGGTGCTAGTTTCCATCTTCAAGTTCTCATAGTCTCAAGATGACCACTGTAGCACTAGCTATTATGTCCACATGCCAGGCAGAAGGAGGAAGGCATAAGGATGAAAATGGCAAAACATCCAGCTGAATCAGCCTTTTGTGAAGGACTTTTGCAGGAACTCAATCTAATTACTTCCATTTACATCTCATTGTCTACCTCTGGCTGCAAGAGATGCTGGGAAATGTCGTGTTTTCACTGAGTTCATTGCCACTTCCAACAACATGGGGATTCTGTTACCAAGAAAGAAGGGGAAAGTTTCAGATGCCTTTGAGATACCCAAGAGTAGATATCAGGAAGGCATTTGGATACACAGGCCTAGAGCTTGGAGAAAGGCCTGTGTTGGAGAATACATTTGAGAATCCTTTAGGTAGAGGTGGTGATTGACCTCACATGAGCAAGATCTCAGGGAGGGAGTAAGAGGGCTTAGGATGCAGCCTGGAGGAACTCCAGCATTTGATGGGCAGGTAGGGGGCTGAGCCTACTAAAGAGACAAAGAAGGAAAAGGATAAAGTCTGGAAGATGTGAGGCTGGGGCACCACCATTGTGGGGAGAGCCCCTCTCCACAGAGAGAGAAGGAAGTGAGTTGGCCAGAGAGGAGTGTGGAATGGAGAGCAGGGGTGAGGGAGGGAGGGATTCGCTGGTTCCCTCATTCCTGATGCCCTGCCCTTCCTGTGATTTGGTTGTTGAACTTTCTGTTACATGCCTTCCAATCAATCTCCTCTTTTGTCTAAATCATTCTGAGCCTGTCCCTCTCAACTTTACTAATACAGGTAAGTTCAGGACTGAGGAATGTGGAAGATAACTCAATCCATTGTGCCTTGTGAAAAGGGGAGGCAGCCTGCTGATTGCAAATGCACGTCTGTTCTTTTCAGCACCTTTGATGGGCCCACTTTTGGGCAAGTCCTAGCGTGAGCTCTCGAGGTCAGACCTTGTGTCTTCCTAGTGTGTGCTCATAGTAAGCTCTATTTGTCTGAATGAATAAATGGTTGTGGAATGAGAACCACCATGGCATGCTTATTGTTCCAGCACTCATGAAGACACTGGTTTGGTAGAGTTGAGTTTGTTAGTCGTTCACTTCCCTTCTCCTCTTCCATTCAATCACTCTCTCAATGACTTCCAAGCCAGAAGTGCCATGCCATCTATTTTCTCACTACTGTGACAAGAAAACTCAATGGCAACAGAGAAATAAACAAGGATAAAGGCTTATTGCTAACTGCTAATTTTCTGACCACAGTATGGATCTAAAGGGCACATATGTCAGCCTATGTCCCAATGAAAAAACGGGTTAATCACTATATAAATGACATTCCTGATTTTTCTTTTCTCTCTTTCTTTTTTTTCTTTTAGAGACAGGGTCTTACTATGTTGCCCATGCTGGAGGGCAGTGACTATTCACAGGTGCGATGCTGCTACTGATCAGCTCGGGAGTTTTGACCTGCTCCATTTCCAACCTGGGCTGGTTTACCCCTCCTTAGGCAACCCAGTGGTCCCCTGCTCCTGGGAGGTCACCACATTGATGCCAAAATCAGAGCAGAGCAGACACCTGATCAGCATAGCACATTATAGCCGGCATTCCTGAATTTTCATAGTGATGAATCAACTAATGATTTATACAATAATTCAACAAGCAGAAGTTTTCACCAAGCTTTCTATCCACTTGCCTGAAAGGAATTACAAAATCAGATCTGGCCAAGTGGAAGAAAGAGTTTTAAATAGTAGTAAAAGGGCTGTCCATTTTTTGGTGGGAGGAATGGTTTGAGTAGACAGAGCTAACTGATAAACCATATCCAATTTCCATGTGACTTTGAGTTCCCTAGGTACTGGTATAAACAAGGATACAAAACACACACACTCTTTCTGCCTTAACCAAACCAATATGTTCATGCTCATAGTCATTGGTCATCAGCTTTTCCAAAGCTCCTTTTCCAATCCAACTCATGACATATATCCAGTTTCATATATATTTATATATATACACACACATAATATATGTTTGTGTATATATAATATGTATAATATTTTATATTATATGTATGTGCACACATACTCTCCAGACCATCAACTCCACCAGTGTTGAAAATAAACATGGAAAAGTCCTCATCCATATCACCATAGGCGGTCTTGGAGATGGGCCTTTCAACTCAAGCTGGTCTCAGCAGCTAAGGGATTAGTCTATCCCTTGAGAAGGAACTAGGCAACTGGAATGAAACAAGAAAAGTGAGCATTTGGGGGTGACACTTCTCAAACTGAAGAATTTTTATTCTAGGGAGTATTAATTGTGAACAAATGTTCAATTTCTCATTGGGTAAAGGGTTAATCTCACTGGTGGGTAATTGCCCATGAGAAATTATCTGGTCGTGAGAAGTCTGCTCTCCATGTCCCACCCTTGGGTGAACTGTTCACACACTTCACCACTTTGAAGTCTTCCCTTGCAAAATGTATGGCATTAAAGCCTATTTGTCTTCCCCCTTAAGGGCTATGAAGCTCAAAATCAGTCACTGAATGAAACAAAACTCAGCTCCTTTGAATAAAACAATTTACTCCTTGAGTCAACTTGAGTAATTCTCACTTATGCCATTCGTAATTATAAGGGGGAAAAAAACCTTCTAATGTGTAACTTTCAAGAGCCTAAGTCATTCTCTGACAGAAAATTAAGAGCTTAGTGATTCATACCAACCTTTCTAGGCAAAAAGATGCCTCTGATTATATGATGATGTGGTCCCTCATATTTATCCCCTTGAAGGGACACAGGCTGGACCCCTATCCCAAAATGTCTCCCTCAATCTCCCCTGCTAGTTAGGGTGCTGAAAACGTGCTGGGCCCTACCCGATTGAAATGAAAATCCCCCCAGAATAGCAGTACTTTTGCCTTAATCTGACTTATGGAGGGCAGCAGGCAGAGGAGGACAGGTTTTCTGGGGCTGACATTCCCCCTTAGACTTCCCACTGAATATAAAATTACTGCCTCAATCTACTCTTTTCTCCTGGAGCCTCCAAACCATAGCTGGGAGGGAATTTTGAAAATTATCTCATCAAGCCTGCAGTGAACTGCGATCACAACACTGCACTCCAGCCTAGGCAACAGAGCGAGACCCGGTCTCCAAAAAAAGAAAAGAAAATGATCTCAAAGGCAGCAGTGAAGGGCACAGATACTAGGCTTAGTCAGGATCTGCTACGTACTAGCTGGATGACCTTGGGCAAGTTACTTAACCTCTCAGTGCCTCAGTTCCACATCTGCGAT
Organism: Homo sapiens; assembly: GCF_000001405.40. Taxonomy (NCBI): domain Eukaryota; kingdom Metazoa; phylum Chordata; class Mammalia; order Primates; family Hominidae; genus Homo; species Homo sapiens. The sequence continues at coordinate 60,833,547 of NC_000002.12, forward strand.
GTGGGGATGATAATGGCACCCACTTCATGTGCCTGAATCTTTCTCCATTCATCTCCTCTTCTCTGATCCAGTAAGCATTAACTTGTTGGTCCCTTAAAACTCTCTTCTGTCTTTCTGTCTCTGTTTCTCTCTCCCTTGACCTGGGCCTTCTAAACGTTATTCTCTCTTGTTTGGTCAGCCTCTCCTCGCAACCTGACCCCTTCCACCTTCACCTACCGCTTTTAGAGTTTACCTTAGATGTTACTTTCTCCTAGAAACTGTCCCTGACTGGCTGCCCCCAAGTCTGGGGTCAGCGTCTATGTGGATGTTCCTGCCACACCCTACATTTCTCTTATCCAGCACCTGTCACCCTGAATTGTAGGTGCCACGTTAGACTTCGCTCTTTGAGAACAGGCACAGTGTCTTTCTTCTCTCTTGTCCAATGACTGAGCATACAGGTTGGATAAAGATTTATTGAATTAAGGAATGAACCAGTAGATAGATGGATGAAGGTTAGACAGAAGCCTAATACCAACTTATGGAAATTCCTACAGACATTTCAGTGGAGAGGGTATGAGAATGGAATTACCCAGAGCAGGGATCTTTGCCATCAAATATAGATTTAGATGTTACTTAATTTCCTTTTAAAAATGGATGGCCTTTACTGCCAACAGCTCAGAAACTACTTGTTTCATTTAACTTTATCTCCACATATGTAGGAGTAATATACCCTCAGGATAACAATACCAAGAAGTTTCTTTTTTTTATTTTAGAAGAGGACAAACAGGAAGGAAAAACAGGAATTGAATCCCCTAGTATGTAGTCATGTGTTTCTGTTTTCTCAGAGCCTCAGTTATAGTGAAGAGATACATGACATTTAGATATGAAGCTTGGATCTCAGTCCCTGGTGAAAATAGGGTATTTCCATGAGGTAATCACTGCTCTAAATATGTCAATAGTGTGTTGTCATTCTGTTGAATAGAGCTCCAGCCCGAAGGAATTTCCCTAGGAGCCCTGCTTCAGCCATCTCCCTGGCCCCCTGGGAGGGAGGGGTTTATCTGGTTTTTGCCTTGGTCTGAATGTGAGGTCATCCCCATCACGCACACTCTTCAGGGCACTGTCCCAGGCACTGAGAAACAAAAGGGTGGGAGGTAGACATGGTCTCCATCCAGAGAGAGCAGAGGGTCCCAAGGGTACACAGACAAATCACCATCCTGAGGCACGGGGCCAGGGAAGAGAGCAAGACTTTGTTCATGGACAGGACAGGAAATGAATGAGGGAGCAGACGAGTGGCCAAACTGAGACCCTCTTACCTTTGACAAGTTGACAGTGAAGCAAAGGAAGCAGATGAGGCAGGACTTTGCTCGTGAAGCAGGGTCGGGGGTGCATTTGTAAAGGAAGGAGCCGCTAGAGAGGAGCTAGGAGGCTGTGATAGATAAAAGACAGAGTGAAGGACAGTGGGAGACAGCAGAACAAGATCAAGATGGAGGAGTCAACTTTGGTTTGAAAGAACTTTTCCTCATCTAAAATCCAGGGATTGGCCGGGCACGGTTGCTCACGCCTATAATCCCAGCACTTTGGGAGGCCGAGGTGGGCAGATCACCTGAGGTCAGGAGTTCGAGACCAGCCTGGCCCACATGGCAAAACCCCAACTGTACTAAAAATACAAAAAAACAATGAGCCAGGCGTGGTGGTGCATGCCTGTAATCCCAGCTACTCAGGAGGCTGAGGCAGGAGAATCACTTAAACCTGGGAGGCAGAGGTTGCAGTGAGCTGAGATTGCTCCACTGCACTCCAGCTGGGCCACAAAGCAAGACTCCATCTCAAAAAGAAGAAGAAAAAGAAAGAAAGAAAGAAAGAAAGAAAGAAAGAAAGAAAGAAAGAAAGAAAGAAAGAAAGAAAGAAAGAAAGAAAGAAAGAAAAAATAAATCCAGGGATCAATATAAAAACAGATTTTTCTGGGGAGAGGAGAGAAGTAAGCATAGGGAGTTCCTACTGGAGCCAGGCAGTCCTGGGACCAAGTGCCTGCATTGTGACTTGGAGGACCAAGTGCCTGCATTGTGACTTGGAGGAAGTTGCCTCTTTAAACCCGGGATTCATCATCTGCAAGACAAGGTTATTGATACTCGCCTCGCAGATGAAGTGTAGTTATGGCGCCAGCCTAGTGCTTATGGCTGCTGCATACATGGTAGCAGCTGTGATTACTACTGTAACTCATCTCAGGGAAGCAGGAGGTGTAGGCATCCACAGAAGGGTAACAGGGAAAGGATGGTTTAGGGGCTTTGGGGAAATGAGCCGCCATGGGACTATTACAGAGATAGTCAGAAGGGGACTAGAAGGAAGGCCATGAGGTGGTAAAGGACCAGCAAAGGTCCAAGGGCAGGAATTTGGGGCAGTCCATTGGTAACTCTGGGACTTTAACTGGTAGGGTTCAGCAGCCTGGGAGTGGGATCTCAGCAGCTGGGGAGAGGGATTGACATTTCCATTAACATTGTGTGGACATTCACATCCGTGAAGGAAGTGTCTAAACTCTAGTTTTAGGGAGGCTGATCTTTTGATCAGGGTTTGCACAACAAAGCACCACTCCGGTGCCTGTAATTCTAGGACTCCCTGTTTCGCAGCCGTTAGCATCAGACAGGTTTCCACCAGTTTTCGTTCAAGTCACTGCCCTAACAACCTTCCTATGTGTGTGTACAGAAGGAAGAGCCAGATATATGATGAACAATGGTTTATGACAGACCCAACAAATGCCTTTGAGACAGAATGCCTTTGAGATGTTACCTTACGCTGCTGGTCATTCATTTTGACAACTTGGATTGTCAATTGACTTGTAGTAAAAGGAGCACCCTAGAACAGTTTCTAAACCTCAGCACTAACCAGATATGGTGCCAGATAATTCTTTGCTGTGGAGGTTGCCCTGTGGATTATAAGATGTTTAGCAGTATCCTTGGCCTCTACCCACTAGATGCCAGTAGCAGCCCTCCCCGCTGGGGGTAGAATTTGCCCCTGGTTGGGAATCACTACCCTAGAAGTACAATGATAATCCTTGATGAAAACCATACTAGTGTCCACATTTTACTACTTTGAACTCAGCTGTGATAATCTCCCCAAATAGCAGTTCTCCAAGGACCTTCTTCCTTATGGCCAAGTCCCCAGTTGTTGCATCACTTCATTTAGCAAGGCAGAGCTAAATGATTGCAAAAAGGTAAAGCTGAGAAACAAGAGCTACACAAATTTACAGGCATTTCATCAGGAGTGGTTCAAGTTTTATAGAGCCTGAAACGTATGCACCTTAGGAAGCCCTTTTCATGAACACTAATGCATAATTGTAAACACAAAATCGCTAGGGCCCCTCTTGGGGTGTTGGAAGAAGCTGGGGCTCAGACTTTATTGGTTTCTCCATGAACCTGCTTCTATACATCATGCAAACTTATTCTTTGCTCAATTTTCTTCTCCTGTCTGAACTTTTTCCTCCCAGAATACTATGTTGGATAATCCTACATATAACATTCACTTCCAACGTGCTTTTCTCTTGTAAACAATTACTTAAGATATTATCCCTTTTGCTTCTTTTTTTCCACAAGTTATGAAGGCGAAACCATATTGCTTTCAGCTAAAGAGGTGCAAAGTTGATGTGAGACTAGGTAAAAGAAACCATCTAGATCTCAATTTCCAAGGCTATATGGAAAATGAAATTGTTCTACTTATTAAAATAGCATTTCTTAACCTTCTTGTGACTTACTAAAAATGACCATTAACATTTTCAGTGGGTTCCATTTTGGTTTTGGTCAGAGTTTCTTCTGTTTCACTGAGAATTTCGGTGACATTTATCCTTCACTTCCTTTTTTTTTCTGCTGCCCTCTGGGGCTGAGGCTAGGGGATGTGGTGCTCTTGTTGGTCAAACAGCTTCTTTTGGATAGGATTAGCTGAGACCCAATGCTCCAATTCATGATAATAAATCATGTCTTCCTTTTCAAAGTACTCTAATATTTATTCTCATTAATGTTATATGTAAGAAACTGTTATGAGTGCAGCATAAACCAGGCTCGCTTGGGAATCCATCAGTAAATAAGGTCCTCTCCTCACCCCAACAAGGCTTACAGTTGAGTAGGAATGACACATATATATACATAAACAACAGCAATAATAATGGCCATCATCATCATTTGAGTGTGTAGTATGTTCCTACACTACCCTAAGCACTTTACAAACATACCTCAAAATATAAGGCAGAGTGTGATGTATAATGATAAATCACAAACTGTGTTATCTGGGGCCATATTAATTACAGCTGTCCAGGGAACAGCAGGAACACTTCATGGAGCAAAGGGAATCTGAATGGAGCTCTTGGGGTCACTGTGCTCTATCCAGGCAGAGATGCTTCAAGACATAGCACAGACATTCATTTCTTAGTAGCCCTGATGTGGTTCAGGACATGGTATCCCCAAAATACAGCACCTTGGCACACTGAGTATTTCAAGCTGAAGGAATTTGAGAAGCCATTTACTGGAAGGTCTCTCTGACCCTTCCCTGCCCTTCTGCCCTGAAGCAGATCATAAGACTTTTATTCAAGAGGTGCCCTCCCTATATCCAGAAGAAAGGAACAGTCTTTTTTCTTTTCTTTTTTTTTTTTTTTTTTTTGAGACAGAGTCTCACTCTGTCACCCAGGCTGGAGTGCAGTGGCGCGATCTCAGCTCACTGCAACCTCTGCCTCCTGGGTTCAAGTGATTTTCCTGCCTCAGCCTCTCAAGTAGCTGGGATTACAGGCATGTGCCACCAAGCCTGGCTAATTTTTGTATTTTTAGTAGAGACAGGGTTTCACCATGTTGTCTAGGCTGGTCTCGAACTCCAGGGCTCAAGCGATTTGCCCACCTCAGCCTCCCAAAGTTCTGGGATTACAAGAGTGAGCCACCGTGCCGTGCCCGGTCAGAAGAAAGGAACATTCTTATCTCTGAAGACATAGGAACACAAAGAAGAATTTGAACAAACGTATGTTGCTAAGCTCCCTGCAGTTTATTATCATTAGATCATATCCCCTTTGTCCTGTTATATTTCTCCATGACCGTCCACTCTTCATCAAAGCCAGCAATAATACACAAGTCTGTTTCTTTGGGTATTCATTTGCTTAAAAGGCCCCTGTGTCACATAAAACATACCAAATAAATTTGCATGTTTTTCTCTTGTTAATCTGTCTTTTGTTATAGAGCTTTCTCCACTGTAAACCTAGCGATGGGTGAGGAAAAGATATTTCTCCTTATGTTCTCACACAATATTTGAAGCTACTTATTTAAAAAATGCAGCCATAATAGATTGTTAAAACAAGAATGGAAAGCAAAGATCACTTTAAGCAAGAGAAGAGAGAGCTATATGAGAAAACCTAGACTAAGAATATTTCTTAGAATTGAGCTAAAATGCTGGGCGCCGTAGCTCATGTCTGTAATCCTAGCACTTTGGGAGGCCGAGGCAGGCAGATCACTTGAGGTCAGAAGTTCAAAACCAGCCTGGCCAACATGGTGAAACCCTGTCTCTACTAAAAATACAAAAATTAGCCAGGCATGGTGGCGGGCACCTGTAATCCCAGCTACTCGGGAAGCTGAGGCAGGAGAATCACTTGAACCCAGGAGGCGGAGGTTGCAGTGAGCCGAGACCACGCCACTACACTCCAACCTGGGCAATAGAGCGAGACTCCATCTCAAAAAATAAAAAAAGAATTGAGCTAAAATGAAAGTGTCCTGGCAATTTAGGTATCATGAGTTTCATAACTTCACCTTCTTTTCTAAAAAAGGACACACGTGCTTGCTCTAAACTCTAAGAAAGCTGACAGAATCTTTATCCAGGGATGGTGAATGGCAGTAAAATTCTTTTTCACAGATACAGAAATGTCTTTCATGTGTTGATTTCTTACACCTAAATTGTTGTCTTGTGACAGCATTTCTGTGGGGTGCCGAGAAGCTTTGATCTAAGAGTACCCCTTTCTGGTGCTCTAATTCTAATCTGACCGTGGGGGACAGTCGAGAGCAGTGCTTTTCAAGCTCTAATGTGCATCTGAATGACCTGGGGATTCTAAATCAGTCATCTGGGGTGGGGCCTGAGGTCATGCATTTCCAACAAGCTCGAGAGGCTGAAGGCTTAGAGCAGCAGTTCTTAAACCTGAGCATGCATCAGAAACACAGGGGGCCTTGTGAAAATGGGTGGCTGGGCACCACCTCCAGGGTTTTTGATATAGTAGTACTGAGGTAGGCCTCAAGAATTTGCATTTCTTGGCTGGGCATGGTGGCTCATACCTGTAGTCCCAGCACTTTGGGAGGCTGAGGCGGGTGGATGGCTTGAGGCCACGAGTTCCAGATCAGCCTGGCCAACATGGTGAAACCCCACCTCTACTAAAAATACAAAAATCAGCTGGGCATGGTGGCAGGTGCCTGTAATCCCAGCTACTCGGGAGGCTGAGGCAGGAGAATCACTTGAACCCAGGAGATGGAGGCTGCAGTGAGCCGAGATGGAGCTACTGCACTCCAGCCTGGGCAACAGAGTGAGACCCTGTCTCAAAAACAATAAATAAAATAAAGAATTTGCATTTCTTTTTACTCATTCATTTATGAGCAGGGAAGTGGTGGAGTGGGGGCAGTGGGGGGCGGTCTCACTATGTTCCCCAGGCTGGTCTTGAACTCCTGAGCTGAAGAATTCTCCCACCTTAGCCTCCTAAAGCACTGGGATTACAGGCACAAGCCGCCAGGCCTAGCGGAGTTTGCATTTCTTTTCTTTTCTTTTTTTTGAGACGGAGTCTTGCTCTGTCACCCAGGCTGGAGTGCAGTGGCGTGATCTCGGCTCACTGCAAGCTCCGCCTTCCGGGTTCACGCCATTCTCCTGCCTCAGCCTCCCGAGTAGCTGGGACTACAGGTGCCCACCACGCCCAGCTGATTTTTTGTATTTTTAGTAGAGACGGGGTTTCACTGTGTTAGCCAGGATGGTCTCAATCTCCTGACCTCGTGATCCGCCTGCCTCGGCCTCCCAAAGTGCTGGGATTACAGGCGTGAGCCACCGTGCCGGGCCCAGAGTTTACATTTCTAACAAGATCCCGTGTGATACACATTTTAAGAACTGCTGGCTTAGAACATCCCTCATGACTGTGAGTGGTCCCTCACTGGCTTCACATGAAAGTTGATGGTTACAAAATTCAAGATGAAACAACCATGATAGGCCTTCTAAGCAGGTATTTTGTGAGTTTAAATGAAAAGAGATCCACATGCCTTATTTAGATAATGAAGATAAGGATAGCTAACATTTATTAATCTTTTCTCTTTGTAACACACTAAGGGTATAACACACATTATCTCACTTGGCATCTGGCATGGGCAGCAGTGTTGGTGTTTGATGTTTGGCTGAGGAGCCAGACTTGTGTGCGTGCTGGGAGGGGGTGTTTTCGGTGCACTGTTGTGGTCTGCAGAGGTACCTGCATGCCAGGCCAAACTGTCCCTCAGGAAACACCTTTAGATCTAGACTAGCAGACGCTAGAGGCCCGAGTTCTGCTTCACAGAGTCTGCAGGAAATAAATGAAAGAAGTTGAGGGCAGGTGTTAACAATCATCTGTTTCAACCGCAAAAGTACCTGAATATAGAACAGAATTTGTCAAGCCTGGCGCACAGCAGGAGCACCTGGATGCCCGGGACCCATCCACAGAGGGTGTGATTAGATTGGCCTGGAGAGACACCTGGGCACAGGCATTTTTAAGAGCTCCCCAGCCAGGGTTGAGAAACACTGGTACAGGTTTGATTGCAGCAAGATGAATCGGGTTGGCTGAGGAAGGGAAGGGGCAGAGACCAAATTGAACAAAACAAAACATCTATTCCCAGACTGGATCTCTCTTAAGCATTTGCCAAATTGGTTTTGTGCTATCCTTTAGAACAGTGGTCTTCAAATTTAGTATGCATCAGAGTCACCTTGAGGTTTCCTTAAAGCAGATTGCTGGACCTACCCCCAGAGTTTCTAATTTAGCAGGTCTGGGGTGGGCTCAAGAATTTGCATTTCTAACAAGTTCCCAGGTGATGCTGATACTGCTGGTCCCAGAAGCCAGTTTCTTTGCTATTAAGACCTTCATTGCAACATACAGAAGGATGCCTATATTTCTTATTTTCTACTTATTCTCAACTCTTTTTTACTGAAGCAAAAAAATACAAACAAAAGTGAAAACAGGCCGGGCGCGGTGGCTCATGCCTGTAATCCCAGCACTTTGGGAGGTGGATCACCTGAGGTCAGGAGCTTGAGACCAGCCTGGCCAACATGGTGCAACTCCACCTCTACTAAAAATACAAAAAGTAGACGGACATGGTGGCATGTGCCTGTAATCCCAGCTACTCAGGAGGCTGAGGCAGGAGAATTGATTGAACCCAGGACGCAGAGGTTGCAGTGAGCCGAGATGGCACCACTGTACTCCAGCCTGGACGAGAGTGAGATTCCACCTCAAAAAAAAAAAAAAAAAAAAAAAAAAGTGAAAACATGTGAAATCATTCATAATCCGATGATAGCCACAGTAGATGGCTTTTTTTTCCCACATAATACATATGTATGTATACAGATTTTCTTTCAGAAATTATAATGGTCATATGAAGAATGTGTTTGCATCTAGAAAGACATTTGTGCATTATTTCAAGGTCCTTATATAATCTATATAATACACAAAATCTATATAATTTTTGCTATGAGTTTAGAATTATAACAAAGTTTATTTCTTTTGATAATATCTTCAATATTATGTAATAAAAATAACTTTAAAAATCTATATCTAGCTATTTTAACAAATGTTAAAGAGGCCACAGTCTTGTTAAAATGCTATTTAAGTTGAGGTCTAGTGGTATTATTTTGGTAAAACCCCTGATTTGTTAAAATTGTAGTAGGATCTTTTATCAAGCTACATAGCTTGACCCATAAATGTTTTTCATTTATGAAACCAGAATATCTCCACAGAGGAGATCCATAGAAAAAAGAAATCAGAATAAAGTCAGGAGATACTAAAGGGTCTCCACGTTTATAAGCCTTTTCTTAATTGAGAATAGTCGCGAATAGCGAAGACTAAGAGTGGCATGCATTCAGAATTTGTCCCTCACATGTAGGACAAGAGTTAGAAAACCAGCCCACACCACCTGGCAGATGATGGCACAATTGGATGTGGTTGTTTAATTTGTAGGCTAAGAGATTATAGTATTAAAAGGAAGACAGAAAAGAATTTAAACTAGGCCACTACAGTAAAACACAAAAATACAAATGAAGAGACAAAACCTCCACAAAGGACCAGGCAAATAAAAATACCGAAAAGCTGCAACTGTTCTGAATAGTAAGCCTGAAATTAAATTCAGGAATTGCTTAAGGGAGGACGGTCAGGAGCAGCCCCTGAAGGCTGGTGGTAGTCTTCATTCACTACCTCAGGGGAGAAGCCTGTCCTCACTTTCAGAGGTGTGGAGGTGTGGGCCATTCCTGTTGCCTTCCTTCCCTCCCGAAGACAGCCCTGTCCCCCCACCACCTAGAGGCACTTTCAGCAGCACCCAGACACAGTCCTCGATCTTCCCCCTGGGACGGAATGGCACCAACAAAGGAGAGGGCAGTGTTCTCACCCCTGGCTGCACTCCTGAAAACACCTGTCCCGGGCCCCACCCGCAGGCTTCTAATTTAATTGGTCTGGGGTGGGAAACTAAGCAGCAGTTTTGCTTTTTGTTTTTTTTCTGTGTGTGTTTTGTTTTTGAGACAGGGTCTTGCTCCATTGCCCAGGGTTGGGGTGCAGTGGTTCAGTCATGGCTTACTGCAGCCTTAAACTCCTAGGCTCAAGCAATCCTTGTGCCTCAGCCTCCTAAAGTGCTGGGATTACAGGCATGAGCCATCGTGCCCAGCCAGTTTTGTTTTCTAGTTGAAGTAATATATAAATAGCCAAAAAAGTGCACAAGTCATGTGTGCAACTCAGTGAATTATCACAAAGCATACATTTTTTTATATTTGCATAACTGGGTATATCACAATTTGTCTGTTCTGCTGGGCATTTGAGTTGTTTCTAGTTTGAGCAATTACAAATAATGCTGCTGCAAACATCCTTGTATGTGCCTTCCAGTGCATGTGCGCACACTTTTATCTGGGTATAAACTGAGGAGCAGAATTGCTGGATTGCAGGGTAGGATTTGGTTCAATTTTAGTAGATGCTGCCAAACTGCTTTTCAAAGTGATTCTACCAATTTATACTCCCATTAGCAATGTTTGTGAATTCTAGTTGCTCCGCAATGTTTGTGAATTCTAGTTGCTCCACATTCTAGCAAGAAAACAGTATACGTAAAAGCTCCCTGGGTGATTCTGCTGTGCATGAGGAGAAGAACCACCAATGCCATCATATATCACATGCTTTGCAAATGGCATATGGTCTCACGTGTGCTGGAGTGCTAGGGATACAGGGCATAGACTATGATGTCTTCACAACTATCCAGGAAGAAAACAGTACAGACATTTGTGTTCCCTTTTTGCTAATGAGGACACAACGCAAAGTTAATTGACTTACCAGAAGTAACACAGCCATGTAGTGACAGTCAGGACTAAAACCCAGAATTCTTGATTTCCATCCCTTTGCTTGTCCCAACATACAACACAGCCTTATTCAGAAGATGTCCAGTGTATAGAGGTTTGGGGCAAATCAGATGTCGAGGCACCTTCTCAGTTGTTTGAGAGTTTCTGTACCAGAGTTTAAGAAAAAAAAGAAAGCAGAATAAATGACTCAGACTTTCCCTGCCACCAAAGTCTCAGGCCTTGGTTGTGAGAAACACAGAGACCCTCCCTTCAGACAGGAATGAAGAACAGGAAATGTGTCCCTTCTGTGCCTGGGACTCTACACAACCAGAAAAGTGAAGGGTGCCTTCAGGAGCAATTTGGCCTGAGTGTCCCTCAGACCAGCTAGGCTCTGACCCCCAGCTCTTCCCTGTCCTCACCGGGTGACCTTAGACAAAGGGTTCAATTTCTTCGAGTCTCGATTTCCTCATTAGTAAAATAGGAATAATAATATACATACTTTAGGTTCTAAGAAGAGAATATTATCTATAAAAACAAACATATAGTAAGCATTTAATACAATGTAGATTTTTTAATTTTTATTTTTAGACAGTGTCTTGCTCTGTTACCCAGGCTGGAGTGCAGTGGTGCTATCATAGCTTACTGTAACCTCAAACTCCTGGGCTCAAGCAATCCTACTGCTTCAGCCTCCTGAGTTGCTGGGATTACAGACATGTACCACCAAGCCCAGCTAATTTTTAAATTTTATTTACTTATTTATGTAGAGATGGGGTCTCACTGTGTTGCCCGGGCTGGTCTGAAGTCCTGGGCTAAGGCCATCCTCCCACCCCAGCTTCTCAAGGTGCTGGTGTTACAGATGTGCACCACTGCGCCCAGCCTGATATTCTTAATACTACCAGAAACAGCCCATGAGTCCTCTACATCTTCAATTTTTCCCTCTCTACTGAATCCTGTTTTTTCCTCTCTATTGGATCTTTTCCATAAATTTAAAAGGCAATTATTTCTCCTATTTTTTTTTTTTTTTGAGACAGGGTCTTGCTCTGTCACCCAGGCTGGAATGCAGCGATGCAATCATGGCTCACTGCCACCTCGACCTCCCAGGCTCAGGCGATCCTCCCACCTCAGCCTCCTGAATAGGTGGGACCACAGACATGCACCACCACACCTGGCTAATTTTTGTATTTTTTGTAGAGATGGGGTTTCATCATGTTTCCCAAGCTGGTCTCAGACTCCTGGGCTCAAGGGATCTGCCCACCTCAGCCTCCTAAAGTGCTGGGATTATAGGAGTGAGCCACCACACCCAGCTTCTCCTATCTTTAAAAAAACTCTCCCAACTCTTCTTCCTCCTCTACTTCCATTTCTCTCTTCCACTTACAACTAATGTCCTTCAAAGAGTTGTCTGTGGTCACTGACTCAAATTCTTTGTTTGTTTGCTTTGCTTTGTTTGTTTGTTTGCTTTGTTTGTTTGCTTTGTTTGTTTGTTTACGGAGACAGAGGTTCGCTCTGTCGGCCAGGCTGGAGTGCAATGGTGCCATCTTGGCTCACCGCAACCTCCGCCTCCCGGGTTCAAGCGATTCTCCTGCCTCAGCTTCCTGAGGGGCTGGTATTACAGGCATGTGCCACCACACCTGGCTAATTTTGTATTTTGAGTAGGGACGGGGTTTCTACATGTTGGTCAGGCAGGTCTTGAACCCCCGACCTCAGGTGATCTGCCTGCCTAGGCCTCCCAATGTTTCTTCATTTTTTAACCTTTTCTATGAGACTTTCACCCTCTCCACTCCATTGGCACAGCTCTTCTCAAGGTCACCAATGACTTTGACTTTCCTAAATGCAATAGTGGATTCCCCAGTCCTCATCTTACTTGCTCCATCAGCAGCACTGGGCATGGTCAATTGCTCCCTTTTTGATTCATCTTTGCTTGGCTTCCAGGACACACAACACACTCTCCTTATTTTCCTCCTGTCTCACTGGCTGGCCCTCCTGTCTTTTTTGCTTGTTTTCCTCTTCTTCGTAATCATAAACACTAGACTGTTTCAGGGTTCATGCCTTGGACTTCTCTTTTCCATCTACCATCATTTTCTCAAAAATCTCATCATCTTTTGGCTTTATTTTATTTTACTTTATTTTTGAGACAGAGTCTTGCTGTCGCCCAGGCTGGAGTGCAGTGATGCGTTCTTGGCTCACTGCAACCTCCGCCTTCCTGGTTCAAGTGATTCTAATGCCTCAGCCTCCCAAGTAGCTGGGACCACAGGTGTGCGCCACCATGCCTGGCTAATTTTTGTATTTGTAGTAGAGACGGGGTTTTGCCAGGTTGGCCAGGTTAGTCTCGAACTCCTGGCATCAAATGATCCACTCGCCTCAGCCTCCCAAAGTGTTGGAATTACAGGTGTGAGCCACGGCACCCAGCCATCATCTTTTGGCTTTAAATGCCATTTATTAATTCCGGACTCCCAAAATTTATCTCCAGGCCCTGACCTCTCCACTGAATTCCAAACTGACTAGTTACTTGGCCTTTCCACTAGGACATCTCACAGGGATGTCAACTCCCGTAACTGAATACCTGATCTTCCCCAAACCTGGACCCGTTAAGTCATCTCTTTCAGTTCATGGCAATTCCCTTTTTTTGGTTGCTCAAGTCAAATTCCCTGGATTACTGCAGTAGTCTCCTAACTGGTCTCACCCTTGTCCTTCACAGTTTATTCTCCGTCTCCCGGGTCCAAGCGATTCTCCTGCCTCAGTCTCCCGAGTAACTCTATTTTCAAAATATTTCCAGAATCTCACAACTTCTCACTGTCTCAATTACTACTGCCCTGGTCTAAGATACTTTCTTCTCTTCCCTGGATTACTGCCATAGTCTCCTAACTGGTCTCACCCTTGTCCTTCACAGTTTATTCTCAATCCAGCAGCCAGAGTGGTCTTGTTAAAATGTAACTCAGATCTTGTCCCTGCACTGCTTAGATTATACAGTGGCTTCCCATCTGGTTCAGAGTAGATCCAAGTCCTAAGAAAAGCCCTCCATGACCCCCACCCACCCACCTACACCTTTCTGACATCACCTTCTACTCTTTCTCATGCTCACCCTGTTCTCAATTCAGCCGCGCTGGCCTGCGGACGGATCCCTAACCTTGCCAGGCTTGCTCCTGCCTCTGGCCTTTGCACTTGTTCTTTGTGCTGGGAACGCTTCACCTCCTGATGTTCTCATGCCTCTTCCCTCCTCCTCCCTTTTTTTGTTTGTTTGTTTGTTTTTGAGACAGAGTCTTGCTTCGTCACCTAGGCTGAGTAGCGCGATCTCTGCCCACTGCAACCTCTGCCTCTCGGGTTCAAGTGATTCTCCTGCCTCAGCCTCCGGAGTAACTGGGATTACAAGCTCCTGCTACCACGGATTCTCCTGCCTCAGCCTCCCGAGTAGCTGGGATTACAGGCTCCTGCTACCACGCCCGGCTAATTTTTGTATTTTTAGTAGAGACGGGGTTTCGCCATGTTGGCCAGGCTGGTCTCGAACTCCTGACCTCAGGTGATCTGCCCACCTCGGCCTCACAAAGTGGTGGGATTACAGGTGTGAGCCACTGTGCCTGGCCCAGGTCTTTAACTGTCACCTTCTCAGTGCTGCTTTCCCTGGCCACTCTCCTTTATTTTTTCCCTAGCACTTCTCACCACCGAACACACTCGCACACACGTGTGCACACACGCTTGCTGTTATTATTAATCTTGTTTATTGCTTGTTTTCCTCAATAGAACGTACATGGCATGAGCGCTGCAGGGTTTTTGTGATTTCAGTTCACTCCGTTTTCCCCAGCACCTGGAGCAGTGCTTACCTGTAATACAAGCTCAGTAGATGTTGCTTTAATGAATGAATTAGTCCCTATTCACAAAGGAAAAACAAAACATCCTTCGCAAAAAGAGCTCCCGGGGGAAATCCCTAAGAGGTCTTTGGCCCAAGAGAAACACAGTTAAAAAGTTGAAGGGGGAAATTGTTTTGGTTTTCCCCTTTCCTTCTGAAAGTTCCATTTAAGGAAGACTAGCCAGGCCTGGCCTAGCAATCCCTTTCTAATCCTTAATATGCCTTAATGAGAATGCAGAAATGAGTGGGAGTGTGGCAGGCCAATTCTCCCTGACAATCGCACAGACAGGCCTGCATGACAGTCGCACAGACAGGCCTGCGTAGCACCCGTTACACAGACAGATTTCCACAGTGCTGCCTGAACATTGAGCAAATAGTTAAACCTAGAGAAATCGGTGCTGAGACATCCAAGCTAGAAATGAAACATACAGTCAGTAGGAGCCTTGCATGGGCTTCTCCCTTGCTGGAGCAAACCAAAATAATAGAGACAGTTTTACATTCCTAGTGCCAGGACCCATCTCAGGTCGACAAAATCTGAGACAAGTCAAGGTTACAGAGGCAGCTGTTTTAATAAATTCATTGGGAAGTCTAAGGCAGCTCTCCAGACCAAGCTGTAAAAGAGATAAGATAGAAATAATCACTCCGTACCACCATAGACAGGCCTTGAAGGTACTGGGGCCCTTTTAATCGGACTTAGCATTTCTTTTTTTTGCCTCTGACCTTCTAGTTGAAACAAAATTAGTTACCAATAGACTTAGGCGAATGCTAGACTGCACTAAGAAAATTTTAACACTTTTGAGTTGGTCTGGTGGAATTATCTCCGGCCTTCTCCCTGTATCCGGCTATAGTAGTCAATTCCCTTCTTTCCTAGTTTGTCTGCTTCTTGTTATTGAGCCTCCAGAAAATGCAGCCGGACCTAGCTTGGTTCCGGGAACAGGAGTGGGAGCCTCGGGGTACTGCAAGGAAAAGGGAAAGAGAGAAGACAAATGCAGGGCGGACAATCCAAGGAATGCCTGATCCATGGGAACTGGACTTGCCCAGGGTCTTTTCTGCCTCTAATAGGTTCCGAAGCAGGTTCTCCACATGTGCCCCTGCTCGATGCTCTCTCCCAGGTTCATTGCTCCTCCTATCCAAAGACTTCTGCCTGCTTGCCTCACTAATGGTGCCTCTTTTAGGTTGTGTCACAGCCTTCCCATTAAAAATTCCCATCATCCTGGTCAGGCACGGTGGTTCATGCCTATAATCCCAGCACTTCGGGAGCCCGAGGTGGGCGGATCACTTGAGGTCCCAGGAGTTCGAGACCAGCCTTGGAAACATGGTGAAACCCCATCTCTACTAAAAAAAATACGAAAAAAAAAAATTAGCAGGGTGTGGTGGCTCACGCCTGTAATCCCAGCTATTCAGGAGGTTGAGGCAGGAGAATCACTTGAACCCAGGAGGCAGAGGCTGCACTTAGCTGAGATTGCAACACTGCACTCCAGTCTGGGTGACTAAGCAAGACTCTATCTCAAAAAAAAAAAAAAAAAAAAAAAAAAAAAACCAACACTATCCAGTGGCATGTCCTAAGAAAAAAATTAAAAAGCTATTTTCAGCCTGTGTAAGTTAAAGGTGGGAGAGGGTGGAGGAGATGCTGACAGCCCCAGTGCCTGGTAGACAGGGGGCAGTTTGCTTTGCTCATTTATATACAGTAGTGATCACTGAATGGCCAACCCATCCTCCAGCTGGGACCAGCCATCAAAGACAGATGAGGCAGCCACTTACCTAGTGTGATCAGAGGGAGACCAAAGACTCTGTTGCACCAACCCCTTGCCACAGTATTTACCGTGCTCTGATCAGGATAGCCCTTCCTTGGGTAAAGACCCCATGTTTCCAGGGGCCACCTTTCAAAGCCCCAGATGTCCTTGTGGAAGGCAGAGGGTTCAATCCAAGACAATCCTTTACACCTGCCAGTTCCAAAAGAGGTCTACACCATGTGTGTCTAAATATTTAAAAGTTATAATCAAGCCAACAAACTGATGAAATATGTTCCATCTTCCTACCCTGATGACAATTTGGAAGGCTGGGTTCAACTTCAGAATTCTCAGACTCTACTTAGACTTCTCTGCCAGAAGTGGTGGCACATGAAGGGCCAGCCAGCCCCTAGCCCCAGCTCATGTCCAGCCTCCCTTCTCCTCCCACCCTGGATCCCTCCCACACCACAGGGGCCTCCCGTATAGGTATGTGGGCACCCCTGCCTGCACTTTCAAGCTCTGTCCAGCTGCCCCTTGGGTACTCTGGGCTTTGGGATGCACACACCACGAACGTAGTCTGCCCTTGAGACCACCGATACTGGGAACAGGCCTGCAGGAGAGCTGGGGCTCTTTGAGTTCTCAGGTTCCCAAACTGTGATCTTGAAGGAGAGCATGGGCTCCAGGCTGGGGAGGAGTCCCCTTGGTCCTAAGGACTCTTCACCCCATGGAGAGGGGCATGGCAGGAGCAGGCCCCTCTAAAGTGCAGGACTCAGGGCAAGGGCCCTCTTGCCAGTTCTAATGAATGAAGCAGAGGACAGAAAGATACCAAGGAAGAGAGAAAGGAGAATGTGTGGACAGCATGGGATGCTCCCTGGGGAGGAGCTCACAGTGAGGAGTCCCTGGGCAGCCAGGGGGCCATCCCAAGATTGGGGAAAGAAAAGCTAGGAAAGCAGGAATGTGAAAGGAGGTGAGTGGAAAGTAAAAAGGCACTGAAAACAAACCTACTTGATAACAAACCTTGCTCTCTTTGGGTATATTTTATTCATGTATGTGTGATGCATTTTTTGTTTGTTTGTTTGTTTTGAGACAGAGTCTCACTCTATCTCCCAGGCTGGAATGCAGTGGTGCGATCTCGGCTCACTGAAACTTCTGCCTCCTAGGTTCAAGTGATTCTCATGCCTCAGCCTCCCAAGTAGCTGGGATTACAGGCGCCTGCCACCACACCTGGCTAATTTTTGTATTTTTAGTAGAGACAGGATTTCACCATGTTGGCTAGACTGGTCTCGAACTCCTAACCTCAGGTGATCTGCCTGCCTCAGCCTCCAAAGTGCTGGGATTACAGGCATGAGCCACGGTGCCCAGCTGATGTATGCATTTTTAATTGAACCATTAATCCTACTCCCCAGTTCATGGCACATCATCATCATCCTTATTATATATTTGGGTGGTAAAAGGTCACTTTTGTTTTATTTATGTATTTATTTCCTTTCATTTTCATTCCCCAATGCCCACCCCACATCCCCATTGGCAACAATTTTGTACACACAGGGGGCCATCCTGACCCCTCTCTCTTCACTCCTGCGTGCAATAGCCCTGTCTGAACCCAGGAACCATTCCTCTACATAGATCTGTTATGTCTCTTCAAAGTGGTCGTGCATCCTCCATCTCCAGGACAGGATATAGCTGGTTCCCTCCTAGGCCTTGCAGGAAGACTAGAATATGTTAAAACTTCTAGAAGGCCTTGTTAAGCCTAGAATGGACTTTTGCATAGATCACCCCACCTTGGACCCTGTAGAAAGGAAGTGCCAAAATCCCATTAGAAGTCATTTTCATCTGTAAATAAGTCCCTAACATGTTTTATTATTATGTTATTTTGAAGCCTATTACATTCCAGTATCATATTTTAACCTCCTAAAAAAGAGTTTGTCATAAATGTCCTACAGTGGATAATGTGCCTGTACTAATTTTTTTCCCCAGAAAACGGTCTAAGTTTCTGGCTACCACATGTATAACAGTAATTATCATTCTTTATCTTTTATATTGCAGTTATCTCCTTCAGTCATTTCCTGATAATAAATCATTTTGTTTTGTCATTTCTATTACCTTGGCATACCAGAAACATGGGTAGATTTTTATTAACATAAAATAGTTGATTGACTCCTAATTATAGCACCCAAAGTGCAGACATTTCAAATCTGGCTGTCATCCAGTCTGTCCCTGGATCTAAGGCAAAAAAAAAAAAAAACTAAAAAATAAAATAAAATAAAGGAACTCTGGTTGTTTCATAGGAGTGTGTGTGCGTGTGTGTGCATGTGTGTGTGTATTAAAAAATAATTTATATATCTAAATTATCCTGAGGCCAATTTAAAATAAACTTTTAGCATCGATCCTAATTTTCCCCTTTAATAACACATTTATATCTTTTTCTTCTTTTTGTATTTAGAGACAAGGTCTCACTTTGTTGCCCAGGTTGGTCTTGAACCCTGAGCTTAAGGGATCCTCCTGCCTCAACTTGCCAAAGTGCTGGAGTTACAGGTGTGAGCCACCGCACCCAGCCAGATTTAAATCTTAATATGAACTAAATGACCCTTTCAGCCAGAACTGGCATCTTCCAGTAATTTCCCAAAATGACAAACACAAAGAGGTGAGGCACGCAACCCGTGTTCTCTAGGCCTTTTAGAAAACATGGAGTTGTTCCTTTGGCCACATATATGCCAATCTGCGAGAAAGGTGATATTGTAGACATAAGGGAATGTGTACTGTTCAAAAAGGAATGTCCCACAAATGTTATCACGGAGAGACTGGAAGAGTCTACAGTGTTCCACAGCATGCTGTTGGCATTGTTGTAAACAAACAAGTTGAGGGCAAGATTCTTGCCAAGAGAATTAATGTGGGTATTTATTGAGCACAGCCACCATAGCATTATTAAGCACAGCCGCCATAGCTTCCTGAAACATGTGACGGAAAATGATCAGAAAAAGAAGGAAGCCAATGAGGAAGGCACTTGGGTTCAACTGAGGTGCCAGCCTGCTTCACCCGGAGAAGTGCACTGTGTGAGAGCCAACAGGAAACAGCCTGAGCTGCTGGACTCTCTTCCCTATGATGAATTCATGGTGTAATCGGTGTAAAAAAAAATTAAAAGACCTCTGGACTGTTAAAAAAAAAAAGGGAAGAAAAAAAGAAAACAACAACAACAAATAAATAAATAAATAAATGCACCCTGACCAAAATTGCTAAACAGTTTTTTCCAATCCCATTTATTTTGGTTTTCTAGAAATGTGAACATATGATAAGTTGTGTGGGAAATTGTACGCGTGTGGTATTAGCAGGGGCAGCTTATTATTAAGATGTCTCTGGTGGTAGTAATGTTTCTATGATATCATAGTTGGAAGTTATTTAATTGAAAAAGGTAAGATATTGTAAATAAGAGTCAAATCCATGGTTCTAAAAACCATGCCTGAAGACCAGCTCTTAGGGAATATGGGCTCTGAGGATCAAGACAGGAGAGACGGCAGCAATTGGTCCAGGGAGATGCTCTCCCATCCTGAGAGTCAGAGTTGCCCCGTTGCCTTTGCAGTCCCCTCCTTGTTAATCTAAAGTGTGGTTCCTAGGAAACTAAGGAGTTGTCACTAAGGGAGAGTTTAGATGTTTTATCAGATTAGAATTTAAATACTTGATCAATGGGTGCTAACATAATTAGGTCCTAACAAAATTGCAGGCAAACTCTAAATGAAGAAGTGCCTTTGTCGCTGCTGCCCTAATTGGGGTTTGGAGGTATCTCAGGACTCAAGCTGGGAGATCTTTCCTATCCAGGGCAGGTGTTAGCTCACGAAGGATTTTTGTGCAAATTAGGGAAGGTCCTCCAGATAGACTGACAGAGCCTGTACCCAAGGTGCCTGGCCAGGAGTGTGGGGCCTGGGCTATAGCCCCCACCATAGCCTCCACAGTACATGTGGCTGTCCTTCTGTGTCAGTGTTCAAACAAGTTCTAGCCTCCCCCTGGACACCCTGTCTCCTTCCAGTGACTACCTTAAACCTCAGTTCCCCTTTCCACCCTTCTGTAAAGTCACCAGTGGTTCCATGTGGCTAAGTCCAAGGAATTGGTTTTGTTCCTCATATTACTGCCCACTTAGGAAACTCTGACCCTGCGGATCACTCTCTCCTTAAAATGCTCTTGCCTCTGCCTCTGTGATGCCACACGCTCCTTGGGTTTCTCCTCCTACTCTCCTTTTTCCTCTTAGTTTGGGGCTTCCTCCTTGCAACCATGTTTACATGTAAGCTTCACTCAAGCCTCAGTCCTGACCTTCCTCTCTTCCTATTCTCGACTCTTTCCATGACCTAAGATATGATTCCCACAGCCAGGGAAAGCCTTATTTCTCTATCTTCACGTCCATCCCAGAGGGGACAGTACTGGATCACCTCCCCTGGCTGTCTCTCCACCATTTACCACTCTTTTCCAAAGACCAGGTAAATGAACCGATGGGGGGATGGAAGTGGGGTTTGGGGAAAGGCTGCATAAGCTCTAGGGAGCCAAACTGGACCACATGGGTGGTCTGGCAATTTCACCAAGGGGCCTCTGCCTCTGCCGAGGGGAGGTCCACAGCGGAGTGGGGAGATTCAGTGCGGGGGAAGGCATTAGGAAGATTAGTGGTGTCTGCAGAGTCCCAGCTGCATTTTCCAATCCAACTTTATCAGCAATAAAGTTGATATTGATCCCTAGCTGTGGACTCATTCTACTTCTCAGTTGGTTCCAACTCAGTGGAAGGTAGATGATGCGTACGTCTACCACCACCCTCAAAACCCGCACAGGGCCCAAAGCCCAGGAAAGCTTAAGGAACGGGCACAGGGATGGAGACTTAAGATACACCCAGTAAGAAGGATGCTTTGGACAGGAGGGGATTCTAGGTCCTTGACTTATTTAGGATACAGCAGTTTAATGAGACTGGTGTCACAGGACCTCAGCAAACTCAGGCCTTTGCTACCTTAGTATACACAGGTTGCGCAGACTTTTGTAACTGATAGATCTAAGCAGGTGCCGCCAACATTAGAGGAATCGTTCAGTCACTTAAAACTTGCAGAGCTTCAGTGACTACATTCTTTAGATATCAGTAGTTGGGATACTTTTTTGTCGTGCCTATCATGCTTCTCAGGCAGGGACAGGCCAAAGGAAGCTAAGCTCCATGTGGGCTACAGCTTCGGTTCTCAAACTCTCACATGCATAAAAGTCACTGAGTAAGCTTATTAAAATACAGTTTCCTGGGCTTCCACTCCATGATTGAGTAGGTCTGGGGTAAAATCTAGGAATTTGCATTTCTAACAAGTTCCTAGGTGATGCTACTGGTCTGAGGACCACTGGGTTAGAGTACACTAGCCTGTGTGGTTCTAGCCTTCCACGCATTCAATCAACTGCTTCAAATTCTCTTCCTATTTATGTTATGTTGACCTGAATCCGATTTTAGGGCCAAGAAAAGAACTGTGGTGGAATTAATATCCTGATTCTGTACACTTACCTCCAGACTCCTAGAATCACCCTCAAAACCCATGGCATAGTTTAAAGTCCTCTGTAGATTTGTTACTTAACCCTGGCCATGGTTTTGATCAGAGACCCAGATTTGGAGGTTCAGCCACAGAGGGTAGTGGCTTTTTATCAATGAACAGATAGAGAAACTGGGGACCTTATTTTACAGGTGGCTGGCCATCTTTTGGGGCATTAATGAAAATATTAGTAAAACCAAAGATTAAGAGGAATAGGTTGGATGGGGTGGCTCACACCTGTAATCCCAG
This sequence comes from Homo sapiens, assembly GCF_000001405.40. Lineage (NCBI taxonomy): Eukaryota > Metazoa > Chordata > Mammalia > Primates > Hominidae > Homo > Homo sapiens. The sequence continues at coordinate 60,855,416 of NC_000002.12, forward strand.
CACTTTGGGAGAACAAGGAGGGGAGACTGCATGCCTCCAGGAGTTTGAGACCAGCCTGGGCAACATAATGAGACCTCATCTCTAAAAAAAATAAATAAATAATTAACCAGGAGTGGCTGTTTATAAATGCCTATAGTCCCAGCTACACAGGAGGCTGAGATGGGAGGATTGCTTGAGCCCGGGATATCAAGGCTGCAGTGAGCCATGACTGTACCACTGCACTTAGTTAGCCTGGGCACAGAGCAAGACCCTGTCTAAAAAAAAAAAAAAAAGAAAAAAAGAAAAAAACTGGCCAGGCGTGGTGGCTCATGCCTATAATCCCAGCACTTTGGAAGGCTGAGGCAGGCAGATCACTCGAGGTCAGGAGTTTGAGACCAGCCTGGCCAACATGGCGAAACCCCGTCTCTACTAAAAATACAAAAATTAGCCAGGTATGGTGGCGCATGCCTGTAATCCCAGCTACTAGGGAAACTGAGGTAGGAGAGTCACTTGAACCCGGGAGATGGAGGTTGGAGTGAGCCAAGATCACGCCCCTACACTCCAGCCTGGGCAACAGAGCAAGACTCCATCTCAAAAAAAAAAAAAGAAACCAAAAAACCAAAAATGAATAGTAAAAAGACCTGTGGCAAGAACACACTGTCTCCAAGAATCAAGGAGGAGCTGAACTGGTTGAGACACGCTGACCTTGAAGTCAGAATGAGAGCAGTTGGAGAGAAAGAGAAGTAATGCAGCTAGGCTGATAATGGGGGAAGGGAGGACAGCAGGGGAAGAAGCCTGGGGTTCAGCCAGAGACACACCTGGGTTGTTTGCAGCCAGTGTCCATGCTGACTGGCTAAAGCTGAGCCTTACCACCATTGCCATGTAGAGGGAAGGATTTCCTTAAGAGAAATGTTTTGATTGTGAAGGCAAGACTAGTCCAATCTAAAAGGCAAAGGGAGATATGCTTGGACCCAACTGCTCTCAAATAAGGTATTATTAATAGAGACTCTTTTCCTTTGGCTACTACTAGGCCGGAAAGGGTGACTCGGGTCCAAAGAACTCCAATAAAAAAGGAGAGATTTCAGAGAAGAGAATGGAATAATCTACACACCTACCCCACCCTCAACCAGGGAGCATAGTTCCAGGAAGCTCTTGAGAGGTCCTCTCTTAAAAGGTCAGATAAGGAGTCAACAGTAAGTTTAACTGGGGAAATCGCCCTTTAAAGACTACAAAAGTTATACCAGGTAGTCGTGCAACTGTGGCAGGATTTGGGGAGGGAGGTCTGGGAAGATGGGCACAGAATGTGTCCAGCATTACCAGTGAGTTTCAAGGTGGTTCAATTAGAATACTACAGGTGGGAATGTAGTCATGGTATGTACCTTGAGGGGACATACCCAGGAAACTTTTGGAGGGGCCCTTTCAGAGAAGGCACAGGAAGATGAAGTGAGCTGCAGTGAACCAGGCAGGACAGTGGTAGATGGAGTCCAGGCCCAGGTTAGATAATTGGTCCAAAAGGACAAAACCACCTGCAAGGAGAAAGAAGGACAAGATATGTTTCAACAGTCATGTTGTTTGCAGATTCAAAACTTCATAATTTCATACTGCTCACTATAGTGTACCCCATGAAACAGAACTTAAGGAGCATATCAGAAGAACAAATGTCCTGACTCAAAAACAAAGGGAAATAAAGATGAAAACACTAATCAGTACAGCAAACAGTGCTGGCTGACATGCGATAAAGAAGGAAATGGTCAACTGAAGAAGCAAGGTAAAATGTGAAAGACTGGGCTGCCCTGTCCCAAAAAGAGAAGTGGAACAACAGAGGCATATAGACGATCACACACATATTCCACTTCTCCGTAAAAGACAGAACATAACGTAATCTGCTGCTGCCTTTGACACAGCTTTAATCCTCAAGGCAGGGAAAGGCAGTGCTCTGTGGACCAGCACATGGCAGAGATATTTGTCCTCACTAGGCCTTAGTGAAAAGCCTCAGAACCACAGACAAACATGTACTAAGAACCTTCTATGTGCCAGGTACTGTTCTAGGCACTGGGAGTACAGCAGTGAACAAAATGAAGACCTCTGCCCCTGGGAACATACATTCCATAGCAGCTTCAGTTGAGGAATCCACTACTAGTGATTCTCCAGATTAAACAAGTGAGAAAACTGCCCCAAGAGGTAGGTATCACAGCCTTATGAAAATCCAGGCAACGGCCGGGCACAGTAGCTCACACCTGTAATCCCAGTACTTTGGGAGGCCAAGGCGGGCAGATCATTTGAGGGCAGGAGTTCAAGACCAACCTGGCCAACGTGGCAAAGCAAAACCCTGTCTCTACTAAAAATACAAAAATCAGCCTGGTGCGGTGGCATGCACCTGTAATCCCAACTACTTGGGAGGCTGAGGCAGGAGAACCGCATGAACCAGGGAGGCGGGAATTCCAGTGAGCCGAGATTGCACTACTGCACTCCAGCCTGGGTGACAGAGCGAGGGCAATCGCTCCTAGGCATTCAAAAGGGGTGATAAATATTTAGGAATTTTGCATGGCACAACCTTAACAGCTTAAAATCTTCCACAGAGAGAGTATTTACACCAAATGAGAAAATATTGCCAATCAGGGCTTATTCATTTATTTATTTGAGAGAGCCAGTTTACCAGCACACCATTCCAATGGCTGCTTACGAGGGGACATGGGGCTGTGTTCCTGGCTCGACGGGGACACAGGGGAAATGGAAATTAAGGGGCTTTAAATCTACAGAATGGGGAAGAAAGGATTCTCCAGTAACTTTTTTTTTTTTTTTTTTTGAGATGGAGTCTCTCTCTGTCGCCCAGGCTGGAGTGCAGTGGCGGGATCTCGGCTCACTGCAAGCTCCGCCTCCTGGGTTCATGCCATTCTCCTGCCTCAGCCTCCCGAGTAGGTGGGACTACAAGCACCCGCCACCATGCCTGGCTAATTTTTTGTATTTTTAGTAGAGACAGGGCTTCACCGTGTTAACCGGGATAGTCTCGATCTCCTGACCCCGTGATCTGCCCGCCTCAGCCTCCCAAAGTGCTGGGATTACAGGCGTGAGCCACCACGCCGGGCCCCAGGATTCTCCAGTAACTTCTAAAGCATCACTGAAAATTTCTAAATTTTGCAAGAGGCCAGGAAGGTTTCAATTTCCAGACGTGCCCTAGGCCATAATTAACTTCCTGATGAAAGACTTCTCCTAACACAGTGTAAAGTTCACCAGTCAAGAACTACGGAAAACCGACATAGATTGAGAGGTATTAAGACAAGGCTGATATCTAAAAGTTTTTTTCTTTTCTGTTTTCTCTACTTCCCACAGATACTGCTGGGCCTCTGCTAGGCTTGTTAGCTGGTGCCAATACTATGTGTGTATTCTGGGATTCTGGGGACTTTATTTTGATTGGTGAAGTAGATGTTCATATGATTTTTGTCTGTTCATCAACTGAACCTCTTTCCCCTCCTTAAAAGTCTTGGTGGGAGGCAGAGTCTATCTCCTTTTATAGAAGCATAAAATGTCACTTACTTTCCCAGCTTCCTTTGCAGTCATGTGGCCAAGATGCAGCCATGTGACCAAGGCTCGGCCAGCGAGATGGACCCACTCTGGACTTTGAACCAGGAGTCAGCAATGCACAGATGAGGCCCAACAGAGAATTCCCCATGATGATGGGGACACCGCTCAGTTGCCACCAATGCCTTCTTCAGACTAGTTCACAGGTCATACTATGCAAAGCCAGGTTTTCCTGTCTTCCCTGTAATTCCCCCAACTACCCAATGGACTATGGATAAATTCCTTCTTTGCTTAAATCAGGCAATGTTGGTTTCTGTGGCTCATAACCTAGAATCAGGACTGATATAACTGGTCTAACTGCTGTAGGGGCCAGCAGATTAGTTCATGTTTTCTAAGTCAGGTGTGGGGCTGGTGCTGGGATAATCTTCTCTGTCCTTTTAACCCGATGGACTCTAAAAGTGGAACACACAAGAGACATTGGCTGCGGTCACTGAGTGAAGGCCCTGGGCTGAGGCTGAACGGTATGAGAGTGCAGGAGATCTTCATGGACTTTAATATCCTTGGTCTTTACCTTATAAGAGAAAGGAAATTTGATTTGGGGGGCATACCTCCTTGGGAATGTATTTAATAACATACTATTAAGAAGGGGAAAAATGCTGGCTAAACTTTGACAAAATGCTCTTTTGTCACTTAAAATGTTTATACTTCATTAACAACCTATTTCAGACTTACTTGGACATAGATTTGTATCATAGGTTGCTCTTGTGCATGCATAAAAAGGAAAATAGAAGCAAAATAACGTAAAGTACTCTTAGAAGCTCTTTATATTAGGAATCCAAATATTCTGAATCATCTTTGCTTTCAAAGTTGAACAAGTTTTTTTTGTTTGTTTTTATTTTTAGACAGAGTTTCACTGTTGTCGCCCAGGCTACAGTGTAATGGCGCAATCTCAGCTCACTGCAACCTCCACCTCCTGGGTTCAAGCGATTCTCCTGCCTTGGCCTCTCTAGTAGCTGAGATTACAGAAGCCTGCCACCACACCTGGCTAATTTTTGTATTTTTAGTAGAGACGGGGTTTCACCATGTTGGTCAGGCTGGTCTCGAACTCCTGACCTCAGGTGATCCACATGCCTCGGCCTCCCAAAGTGCTGGGATTACAGGCATGAGCCACCACGCCCAGCTGAAAGTTGGACAAGTTTTTATTGAATGTCTTTTTCCCCCCTAAGACATAGTTCACACAAGCCAGTAACATACTCTGAATACAGATTTTTCTATATAGGACCTCAATTTTGGATGATATTCCAAAAGGTTTTTTTAAGTTTTTTATTTTGAAATAATTTTGGATGCACAGTAAGTGTAGAGTTCTCATGTGCTCATTATCAAGCTTTTCCCCATGTTCTGAATCACTTTTTGAAAACTAAGATATAATTCACACACCATAAAATACATCCCTTTGAAGTGTATAATTCAGTGTTTTTAGTGCATTCACAAAGTTGTACAACCCACCACTATCTATTCTAGAACATTTCTCTTGATTTCTTTTTAAATTAAAATCCTTCAAGGGAATATTCCAGAACATTTCTATCACTCCCCAAAGAAACCCTGTATCTATTAGCAGTCACTCCCTGTTCCACTCCTCCTGCTCCCCCAGCCCCTGCAACTACTCATCTTTCTTTCTGACTGAATCACTTTTTAATTCAGAATGGCCTGTGTGCATCTCAGTGTCACTCTCTGTGTCACCAAGAGCACTGATGATAGAGCATTTTATAGCAGAGTGCTTCGTTTTGTCTCCAGGATTTTCTTCCAAGTTGCTGGTATCTGTTCTTAAAGTTTTAATACACATGTGCAGACAATGACAACTCCATCGTAACTGCAGCCTGGATGATGAGACTGTAATATGAATAACAATTTCAGAGAGGTTAAAATACGAAAAATTGCCAGGCATGGTGGTGGGTGCCTGCAATCCCAGCTACTCGGGAGGCTTAGGTGGGATAATATCTTGAGCCTAGGAGTTCAAGACCAGCCTGGGCAACATAGCAAGACCTAGTCTCTTAAAAAAAAAAAATGTGGGGGAAGAAAATGAACATGGACATCTTAGACTCAATGCAACACTGTAATAAAAGTAGGTTATTTAGGACATTTCCATTTTATTGGCATTGTATCACTGTCAGACAGCATATTGTCATACATTTCTATTATCATTTGATCTACTTCATATCTTCTGGTGAGCCAATTGGATGCTACAGCTGAGGACATATGAGATTAAGAAATAGGACAGTGATGAGTTTTCACCCCAAGATGCAGTAGGCATTGATAATTTAATTAAAGAATGGTTCTGCTCCCACTTCACAGCCTTTTTGGAACAAAAGCTAACTACCCATGAGTGGTTGAAGAAAAAATTCAAAAGAGCAATGGATTTTATGGAGAGAGAGGTGGAGGTGAGCCTTATAAAATGGGAGCAGGGTAGCAGGTCTCCAAGGCTCACCTCAGGGAATTTCACTGGTAGGAGAGCAGAGTGATGCCTCTTGTCCTCTCTCCAGCCCTCATTACCCATGCTGGTAATTTTCGAATGGCCCACTCTCCACCCTTCTCTGCCCTGCTCTGTGCCTGGGCAGGCTGACTGCTGCAGACTACATTCCCTACTCATGACAGTCCTCTGGCTTCTGGTGGGTTTCATCGATAGGAGGGAGTTATAAGGGGCGAAGAGCGAGTAGACAGGACGATATTTACCTCCCCCCACAGCCCACACTCACACCTGGCCAGTTTTGGCTCTGGCTTCTTTCCTCTGCCACATTCCTGTTGAGCAGCATCTCTGCCTGCCTTGGCAACAGCTCCCACTGAGTTACCGTAACAGCTCCCGCCCCTTGTCCCTACTAGAACTTCCTAGTATCTAGTTCCTGGATGCATCTGCATCCCCTGTTGGTACTTTTAACCTTGCCCACACCTCCGCAAGGTGTGGACATGGTTAAAGGTGGTGTCCCTTTGCTAAACTCTCTTCAGGTTCCACTTTGAATGTACCATCTGTTTCCTGTTGGAACACTTAGTCCTTCCCGAAGTGGGTGACTCACAGACAGCTGAGTGCCTCTCTCTCCTCTCCTCTCCCTTCCTCTCTGGGTTGGTGCCCCTGCACCAGGCACCCAGTCCTCTCTCCTACAAAACACAATCTTACTGGGCCAGGCTCTGTTCTGCAGTAGGGAGGTCTGCAGTTGGGCGCTGTATTAGGCCATTCCTGCGTTCCTATAAAGAAATACTGGAGACTACGTAATGTGTAAGAAATGAGGTTTCATTGGCTCATAGTTCTGCAGGCTGTACAGTGCCGGCATCTGCTTCTAGGGAGGCCTCAGGAAGCTTTTACTCACCATGGAATGGGAAGCAGGAGCAGGCACGTCACATGGAGGAAACAGGAGTGCATGGGGGTGGAGTGGGAGGGAGTGACGGTGCCACACACTTTCAGACCGTATCTCCTGAGAACTCACTCACTATGCGGCAGACAGCACCAAGCCTTGAGGGATCCACCCCCATGACCCAAATACCTCCTACCAGGCCCCCCTTCAACACTGGGGATTACATCTCAACATGAGATTTGAAGGCGACATCCAAACTATATCAGGGTCCAATAGGTGAAATTCAGGGGGAAGATATTAAAAAGCCCAATTTTGTCTATGGATAAAAGATCCATTCTATAATCCAGTTTAACCAATAAAAAAATTGAGACTTTTGATTCCCAAGATCAATATCTAGTTCTCAGCTGCTTCTGCACTCGGAATGTATGGGACATCATTCACTGGTTCCCTTAAATCCCAACAACCACTCTCAAATGTATATCTCCAGTTTCAGACTCATATAGACAGCTGTCTTGTTGTTCCACAGGCTCCTCATTGAACATACTCACAGCAAACTCATCATCTTCCTCTTTCTACCCTCAAACCTGGGGCTCCTCCAGTGTTTCCTGTTTCATTCTATGTTACCACTCTCCATACTGTTGCTCATGCCCAAAACCTGAAAGTCATTCTTGACACCTTCTTTTTCATCCTTCTATATATGAATTTTCAGATACAGTAAATCCTATGAACAGATCATTTATCCAATCCATCCACTTCTCTCCACCATCATAGCTATACCCCAGTACAAGCCATCATCAACTCTTGCCTGGACATAGCATTAACTTACAGTTCTATGAGCTCAGCTCTCTTCTTCCCTGATCTCTCAACCATTCTTCAATCAGTATGCAAGGCCTTTCACGTGTTTTAAAATCAAATCTGAGCATGATATTGTCCTGCTTAGAAGCTTTTAGGGCTCCCAACTGGTCATATGATAAAGTCCATTGGGAAGGAGAGTGAGAGGGAAAAAAAAGCTTTTTTTAAGGATCAAGTCCAAGGGCTCACCATAGCTTAAAAGGCCCTTCAAGATCTTTCCCCTGGCTTGCTTCATGAAGAACTAATTTATCTTCACACACAGCACTCCGGACACACTGGCCTTCTCTATTCCTTTAAACGCCTTGCTCCTCCCCACCTCAGAACATCAAACATTCCATTCCAGTTCCATCTGCCCAGAAAGCTCCATCCATCAGCTCCCACATGCCCAGCCCGGCCCTTTCATTCCTTGCCTGGGCTCCAGCTCCTGCACTTGTCCTGTGTAACACTTGTCACCATTATCGATATGTGGTCACTTTCTATGTGGTCAAGTCCTCTAGACCTGAAGCTCCTTCTGAATTGGAACTGTGTCTACCTTGTTCACTTCTAGGTCTCAGGGCCTAGCACACAGCCTGCCTTGTGGTGGTTGTTTAATACACATCTGTTGAATGAATGAATGATGTTGAGCCCATAGTTTTTTCACTTTGAGCCTCAGTTTCTTCATCTGTTAAGCTAGAGGAAGTGAGGTTTCTTCCAATGTGAACATTTCATGATTTTATGACTGCAAAGCACTTCTTTGAACACCAAAATTGCTCAGTTGAAGATAACATGGTTAAAGAGGAAATTTTTTTTTTTTTTTTTTTTTTTTCAAATTTTAACCATTGAAGTCTCAGTCATAAAGAGGAAATCCATGAGACAACTCTGCTGCTCCCACCTGTCCATGGTCTACTGGTAAATACAACATACGCAACAGTCTCACAGGTCAAAAGGCATCTCTGCTTCCAAGAGTTTATCTCCTCTCCCTCAAGAAAGTTAAATTATAGGTGTGGCCTGATGTTTCTAGCTACCCTTCTGGTGCATGAGACAATCCATAAAACCTCCAAACTTTACCATACTGAGACATCCCAGATTCTGACGGCACAAACAGGGATGGATTTCAAATTTGTGAGCTTTATCATTTTCTTCTTTTGGGGGTGGTGGGTGTTACTAGAATCTTTACACATTATATTGTTTTAAAAAGTTTTAAAGTGGAAACAAACTAAAGAAACAAATATTAGCCCTCTCTAGAATCTCAGATGTAGTTAGTTAAGATGATATCAGGCTGGGAGTGGTGGCTCACACCTGTAATCCCAGCACTTTGGGAGGCCGAGGTGGAGTGATCACCTGAGGTCAGGAGTTTGAGACCAGCCTGGCCAACATGGCAAAACCCCATCTCTACTAAAAAATACAAAAATTAGCTGGGCACAGTGGCAGGCAGCTGTAATCCCAGCTACTTGGGAGGCTGAGGCATGAGAATCGCTTGAACCCAGGAGGCGGAGGTTGCAGTTAGCCAAGATTGCACCATTGCACTCCAGCCTGGGAGACAGAGCAAGACTCCATCTCAAAAAAAAAAAAAAAAAAAAAAAAAAAGATGAGATCATACTGAATTAGTGTATGACTGGTGTCCTTAGAAGAAGAGGAGACAAAACACAGACACAGACGCAGACACAGAGGGAAAAAGACCACATAAAGACAGAGGCAGAGATTTGAGCTGTGCTGCTACAAGCCAGGAACACCTGAGGCTACTAAAAGCTGGAAGAGGAAAGGAAGCATCCTCCTCTAGAGCCTTTGGAGGGGGCATGGCCTTGCCAACACTTTGCTTTAAGGCTTTTGACCTCTAGAACTGTGAGACAATACATTTCTGTTATTTTAAGCCACCTAGTTTGTGATACTTTGTTACAGAAGCCCTAAGAAATGATGTATCAACCTTTAGGAATTTATTCCTCTAGAGCACAGGGTGGCAAACTATATAGCCCATGGGCCAAATCCAGCCCCACTGCCTGATTTTGTATGACCCATGAACTAGGAATTATTTTTTTCAGAATAACATTTGCAGTCAATCTGATGATAGGAAACACTAACTTTAAACATCACTTAAACAAAATATTATCCCCCGAAAAGGAATCTGTCTTCTCATTAGTAGACTTCTATTACAAAAACATTGTACTAAATTATTGTTAAAGTTTTAATTTCATCTATTTAAAATGTGCAGAAGTTTGTTTTCTCTTGTTATATGAGGACCTACATAATATCCACAATTTTGCCTCTTGGCCCACTGATTCGGTTTTTCTGTGTCCCTACCCAAATCTCTTCTTGAACTGTACTTCCCATAATCCCCACCTGTTGTGGAGGGACCCAGTGGGAGGTAATTGAATCATGGGGGCAGTTAGCCCCAGGATGTTCTCATGATAGTGAGTGAGTTCTCACAGATCTGATAGTTTTATAAGGGGCTTTTCCTCCTTTGCTCAGCACTTCTCCTTCCAGACGCCATGTGAAGAAGGATGTGTTTACTTCCCCTTCTGCCATGATTGTAAGTTTCCTGAGGCCTCTCCAGCTATGCTGAACTGTGAGTCAAGTAAGCCTCTTTCCTTTATAAATTACCCAGTCTCAGTTATGTCTTTAGAAGCAGTATGAGAACGGACTAACACACCCACAAATCCTAAAATATTTTCTTTTTTAAAAAATAGAGACAGAGTCTCTGTTGCCCAGGCTGGAGTGCAGTGGTGCTGATTATAGCTTACTATAACCTCCAATTCCTGGGTTCAAGGAATCCTCCCACTTCAGCCTCCCAAGTAGCTAGGACTACAGGCACAGGTTACCATATCCAGCTAATTTTCAAAAATTTTTTTGTAGAGATGGGGTCTTGCTATGTTGCCCAGGCTGCAAAATATTTTCTATGTGGCCTACTAGAGAAAAAGTTTGCTGAACTCTTCTCTAGAGGAATCTCAGTGTCACCTACTCATTTAGCCAGGGAATTTCTAAGCATAGGTAGAAACATTTTTATTCTGATAAAAAGGATCTATTTTTAATCTGTTTTCATCTTCTATAATTTTCCAGTTACTTTTTTTATAACAGCTTTGAGATATAATTCACACACCATGCAATTCATCTGTGCAGTTCATCCATTTAAAGTATACAATTTAATGGATATTAGTAAATTCAATTTTACAACCATCATTACAATTAATTTTAGAACATTTTCAGCACCCCATAAGAAATCCCTTAGTAGTCAGACCCCATGTACCCCTGGCCCCAGGCAATCACTCATCTATTTTCTGTCTATGGATTTGCCTACTCTGGACATTTCATATACATTTTCCATATCACTTTTCTGTATTTGCTTTGACTGATCTTAATTTTTATTTATGTCCTTTTAACACTTTAAAACAAGAATCAATACTGTAAGTGTGAGTCTTAGGAGTCTTTGACACCTCTAACATCCTATCTTTTCCATCATGAAATTTATCCCACAGATAGGGTCCCACTGGCTACATTTCCCTTACAGAAATGTTAAATGATTGAATATCCAAAGGCCAAGAAAGTGGTACCCAGTGCATAGGAGTCCTCAATCTCCCAGCTTGTAGCTTTTTGAGTTGCTGAGTTATGATATATCAGGAATCAGCCCAAATATCTGTCATAGCTTATAGATACTATGAATCTCTGAGATGTGAAGAAAAAGTGGTAAAAAGAGAATTGCTTGCACAAATTGCTCTTGAGAAATATGGCATAGTATTTAAATATTTCATTTTAACTAAAGTGTTCTTTCAGAAGCGAGATTTTTTTTTAAACCACGCTTGGCCTCACCAATAATTATTTGCTTTTATTATTGCTAACAGGTCCTCTGACTGGAAACTACCACTTCATCTTGATGGTTATAGTAATTAGTTATAATGACTTTTAATGAGTCCTTGAGTTCTTTCCTTACTTATTAAAAAGCCATAGCATTTAAATCACCTCATCTACTGTTCTGGTTATCTATTGCTGCATTAACAATCCACCCCAAAGCTTACTGGCTTAAAACAACAACAATCATTTTATTATCTCATGGTTTCTGTGGGTCAGGAATTCAGGAAGAGCTCCACTGAGTGGTTCTGGCTTAATGTCTTACATGCAGTGGCAGGAGATGGAAGAGCAGGCATTGGGAGAGCTTGGGATGTCAGGGCCTCTCCATGTGATCTGTTTACACGAATTAGTTTGTGCTTCCTCGCAGCATGATGGTCTCAGGGTAGTAATGCTTCTTAGATAGTGGCTCAAGGCTCTAATGCAGGGTCCAGAGAACCAGGGAGAATCTGCACCACCTTTTTTGACTGAGTCCGGAAGGTCACAGAGAATCATTTCTGCCATACCCTACTGGTCAACTAGTCACTAATGTTTGGCCCAAATTCAAAGGGAGGGCCACAAAGTTCACCTCATCATGGGGGGGAGATCAAGGAATTTGCAGGTATGTTTTAAAACTGAAACTAGCTGGGCCTGGTGGTGTGCACCTAATGTGGTCCCAGCTGCTTGGTGGGCTAAGGTGGGAGGACTGCTTGAGCCTGGAAGATGGAGGCTGCAGTGAGCGGTGATTGTACCACTGCTCTCCTGCCTGGAGATAGAGCAATACCCTGCCTTGAAAATAAATTAATTAATTTAATTAAATAATGTTTTAAAACTGCTACAAGCTGTGCAGAAACATTCTTTGGTTTACGCAATAATTACTCTGGCAAGAGACATTTCTGTCTTCCTTTTACTTCCTTGTTTTCCTTCTCTTTCTTCTTTAAATGATCCCCTTTAAGTGTTTACAAATTTAAAGATTTCAGCTCTAAATATTTTGTTTGTTTTATATATGTTCTGTATATAGACCAATTCTTGTGCCAGGCCCAAATATTTCCGGCTGCTCTGTTCTGCTCTGCCTACTTCCTGTTTGGTTGACTTTGACTTCCTGTCCTCTGTCAAAGGGCTTCATTAAAGTTATAAACTTCCATTTTGACCTAGGCACTGTGTTCTATTTCTGAATCCGCCAGTGGTCTTGAGCAACAGTACGCGTACGGTAACTGTTAAGTATAATACAGGAAGTGAAAATTAAAGTACTATGTCTTAAGATTGATAGAATTAAATGCTCAGTTTAAGGAAATACATGGTGGAGACCATTTTTCAGGAGCTCAGACCTCAGCCAGACTGAGTCTCTCTTTTAGGGATAGTTGGATCTCTCTTATTTTCGGCTGCAAATAACAGGAAACTCAACTGGTTTACATCATAATGGAATATTTATTATCTCATATAACGAGGAGTCTGAGGTAGGATGGTTCCAATTCAGCAGCTAATCATGTCACCAAAAACTCAGATTCCTTCCAATTCTTTCTACTCTAACATCTTCAGTATGGTGGCTTTATTTTTATTTTTTGAGAAAGGGTCTCACTCTGTTGCCAGGCTGCAATGCAGTGGCATAATCTTGGCTCCCTGAAACCTGCACCTCCCAGGTTCAAGCGATTCTCATGCCTCAGCCTCCCAAGTAGCTGGATTACAGGCGTGCACCACCACGCCTGGCTAATTTTTGTAGTTTTAGTAGAAACGGGGTTTGGCCATGTTGACCAGGCTGGTCTTGAACTCCTGGCCTCAAGTGATCTGCCTGCCTTGGCCTCCCAAAGTGCTGAGATTACAGGCATGAGCCACTGTGCCCAGCCCATGGTGGCTTTATTTTTAACTCATGTCTTAAAATGGCTTCTGTGGTTTACTTATCACATGCAGACACAGCAAAGTCTAGTGAATTCCTGGGTGCTCCTTTTTATGAGTAGGAAAAAAAAAACCCAAAGAACTATTTCAGTTCGTTTGAGCTGCCATAAAAGAATATTGGAGACTGAGTAATTTATAAAGAACAGAAATTCATTTTCTCACAGTTCTGGAGGGTGGGAAGTCCAAGATCAAGGTGCTGACATTTTGCAACGACCTTCTTGGTGTGTCATCACATGGCAGAAGGGTAAGAGTGCAAGAGAGCTCCCCCTTCAACCTTGAGTCCTTTTATAAGGGCCCTAATCCTATCCATGAAGGCACCACCCTTATGACTTAATCATCTCTTAAAGGCCCCACCTCTTAATATTATGACATTGGGAATTAGGCTTCCAACACATGAATGTTGAGGGACACATTCAAACCACAGCAAAAACCTATTCCAGGCTGCACACGGAATCCCAGAATTTTGGGAGGCCAAGGCAGGTGCATCACCTGAGGTCAGGAGTTTGAGACCAGCCTGGCCAACATGGTGAAACCCCATCTCTACTAAAAATACAAAAATTAGCCAGGCGTGATGGCACATGCCTATAGTCCCAGCTACTCAGGAGGCTGAGGTATTGAGAATCACTTAAACCCAGGAGGTGGAGGTTGCAGTGAGCCGAGATTGTGCCACTGCACTCCAGCCTGGACGACAGAGTGAGGCTCTGTATCAAAAAAAAAAAAAAGTAATGTGACCAAGATTGTTTCAAAAGTCTAAGGTAAAAAAAGTATTCAAAATACACCCAGTAATAGGAAAGTATATTATTTATAATATTGATGTATCACCTTTTTTTTTTTTTTTGACATGGAGTCTCGCTCTGTTGCCCAGGCTGGAGGGCAGTGGCACGATCTTGGCTCACTGCAACCTCCGCCTCCCGGGTTCAAGCAATTATCCTGCCTCAGCCTCCCAAGTAGCTAGGATTACAGGTGTGCAACACCACTCCTGGCTAATTTTTTGTATTTTTGGTAGAGACAGGGTTTTACCAGGCTGGCCAGGCTGGTCTCAAACTCCTGACCTCAAGTGATCTCCCCACCTCGGCCTCCCAAAGTGCTGGGATTACAGGCATTAGCCACCACACCCGACTTGATCTATCACTTTTAATTAAGCACTAAGTAAAAATAAAGATGTATACATTTACTATGAAAATGAAAACATTTCAGCTGGGCACGGTGGCTCCCAAAGCCTGTAATCCCAGCACTTTGGGAGGCAGGGGCGGGCGGATCACAAGGTCAGGAGATTGAGACCATCCTGGCCAACACGGTGAAACCTTGTCTCTATTAAAAATACAGAAAAAAAATTAGCTGGGCATGGTGGCGCGTGCCTGTAATCCCAGCTACTTGGGAGGCTGAGGCAGGAGAATCACTTGAACCAGGGAGTCAGAGGTTGCAGCGAGCCGAGATCACGACACAGCACTCCAGCCTGGCGACAGAGTGAGATTTTGTCTTAAAAAAAGAAAGAAAGAAAATGAAAACATTTCATCTGGAATATCCAAAATTAGGTTTAATATATTTTAAATCTCATTAGACTTTTTGATAGATTGCTGTAAATATTATGTGAAAGTTATGCTTGTCTTCAATTTCAGTGGTGTTAGATATCTAAATACAAGCCTGGCTATTTTTGTTTTTTTTTTTTTTTTTGAGACAGAGTCTTGCTCTGTCACCAGGCTGGAGTGCAGTGGCACGATCTTGGCTCACTGCAAGCTCTGCCTCCCAGATCCACGCCATTCTCCTGCCTCAGCCTCCCAAGTAGCTGGGACTACAGGCGCCCGCCACCACACCTGGCTAACATTTTGTATTTTTAGTAGAGACAGGGTTTCACCTTGTTAGCCAGGATGGTCTCAATCTCCTGACCTCGTGATCCACCCGCCTTGGCCTCCCACAGTGCTGGGATTACAGGCGTGAGCCACCACGCCCAGCCCAAGCCTGGTTTTTTTATGCGATAACTTAGAAAGCCCAACCTCCTGCTCACAATTTCCTACTTTTCCAATTTTTCAACTCCCTGGTTATATAAAATCTGTTCTTTAAGCTGATTAGGACCTACAAGGCTTGGAACCATTCCCAGTTTCCTAGGATATCTATTCTCTAGACAATTTCCTTCCTTATAGTGCTCAGTATAAAATCCAGGTCGGGCCCGATGGCTCACGCCTATAATCTCAGCACGGTGGGAGGCCAAGGCAGGAGGACTGCTTGAACCCAGGAGTTTGAGACCAGCCTGGGCAACATAGGGAGACCCCATCTCTACAAAAATAATTTTAAAATTAGCCAGGTGTGGTGGCTTGTCCCTGTAATCCCAGCTACTCATGACGCTGAAGCAGGAGAATCACTTGAGCCCAGGAATTTGAAGCTACAGTGAGCCGTGACTGTGCCACTGCAGGGTGACAGCTGGTCTCTAAAAGAAAAAAAAAAAAATCTATGGCAAATGTAATATAATGTCAGGTGAAAAAAAAAATCCAGGCTACCAAAGTTTATGTATAAATGATACATAGTGATATAAAATATATAAAAGTTACATGAGGATATACTCCAAATCACTACTCTTGGTTATTTTTTGCATAGGGGTTGGTCATTTTACTTGACTTTCATTTTCTCTGCCTTAATTTTTTTACCATGATCAAGTAATAGCAGAAGAAATAAACCAAAGCCTGCATATGAAAAAGCTCTAGAAGACAACACATACACACATACTCACACATGCACGTAGGTGATGTCTGTATTAGTGAGGCAGAATTATAAGTGAGTTTTCTTCTTTTCTCCAATCTTTATTTAATTTTGTTTATTTGTTTTGTTTTATAGAGACAGGGTCTCACCATGTTGCCCAGGCTGGTCTTGAACTCCTAGCCTCAACTGATCCTGCCACCATGGTCTCCCAAACTGCTGGGATTACAGGTGTGAGCCACCATGCCCAGCCTTTCTTTAATGTTTTATATGTGTCTTTTTTTAGGTTGTAATTTAAAAATAAACATATTTTAGCAAAAAATTAAAGACTTTGAATGTTATTAAAGAATTTAGGTCCGGGAGTAGTGGTTCACGCCTATAATCCCAGCACTTTGGCAGGCTGAGGTGGGAGGGCTGCTTGAGCCCAGGAGTTTGAGACCAGCTCTGGGCAACAATAGTGAGATTCCATCTCAATCTAAAAATAAATAAGTAAAATATACATATGAACTTAGTAACTGGTTGGCCCAGCTTGCTTGCTTTCATGACAGTAATCCATGATTTTGATACCCGTCTTAATATAATCACTATCATACCTCTCTGCAGGCATAGTTATCACTTTGGGTAGGAGTTGAGCCTTGTGCCTCTTTTTGTTTTTCTTGATGGTATCTAACGCCCAGTGGTGATACATTGTCACTCATATCAATACTGGTGTGATTCAATGTGTAATAATTTATATTTTATTCGACATTTAATGAGCATCTACAATGCTAAAGGCACTGTACTAGCCACTCTAGGGAATAAAAGATGAACAAGACACAGTCAATGCCTTTAATTAAAGAAGTAAATGCACTGATTTTTACTTTTCCTACACAGGTATTGAATTGAGAATTTTGGGGAAAAGAACATGAAGAGTCTTAAAAGATATGGAACCTGTGAACGCTAAACCTTCATATATTTGCATTTTTATTAGTAAGATTATGGCTGCCAGTTATATTGTTTTATATCTTAGGTCATATTTTGAAATGTGATGTGACATAGTGAAAAAGAAACAAAGAGTCTGGAGGTCTGGTTTCAAGTTTCAACTCAGCAATTAACTACCTAATGAACACGGGCAAGGTACTTAAACTTCCTGTGCCTCATTTTCCTCATGTGTAAAACGAGGGAGATGAACTAAATGATCTACAGGGTTCCTTCCAACCTTAAAATTGAACTAACTCTCTCCTGTTGAGACATAAAAGAGGCACCATATGACTTGAAGGTGATGATGACTTCATTACTTGTTCTGAAAAATGTTAATTCTAAATTGGAACAAGTAATCACTGGATCTCATGGTTGTGACACATCAGACATTACTACAGTTAGAGAAACCCAAGTTAGCACACTGTGTCATACTTCTAGGCAGTGCTATATACGCAAAACTAGCATACCACAGTATAGGGCCTACACAATATAAACAAAAAGATTAAAAAGAGATTTTTTTTTTTTTTGAGATGTAGTCTTGCTTTGTCGCCCAGGCTGGAGTGCGGTGGCACGAGATCGGCTCACTGCAACCTCTACCTCCCAGCTTCAAGCGATTCTCCTGCCTCAGCCTCCTGAGTAGCTGGGATTACAGGCGTGCACCACCATGCCCAGCTAATTTTTTGTATTTTTAGTAGAGATGGGTTTTCACCATGATGGCCAAGCTGGTTTCAAACTCCTGACCTCAAGTGATATGCCCGCCTCGGCCTCCCAAAGTGCTAGGATTACAGGCGTGAGCCACTGCGCCCTGCCGATTTTTTTTTTTTTTTTTAAATAGAGACAGGGTCTCGCTATGTTGCCCAGGCTGGTTTTGAAATCCTGGGCTCAAGCAATCCTCCTGCCTCAGCCTCCCAAAATGTTGAGATTACAGGTGTGAGCCGCTGTGCCCAGCCAAGAAAATTTTTAACAATGGATATTTTACGAATGCTTTTTGGAGTTTTTATGTACTAAGATTTCATTTCTCTGGGTGTTCATTAATCTTATGTTTCAGTTCCTTAAATGAAAATAGGTGAGTGGGGCAGGTTTCCTCAGAGGTATAGTTTTTACTTTAGGGACTATCCCTTTCTCCTAAAGTGTGCTTTAAAGACGGCAGCACATGAACTTGTCTTAGATAGGAGGGACAGCAGGCAAAAGTGATGACAGGATCTGGGTCTGCTGCCACACACCAAACTATTTATGAATTTTTTTTAAGAGACAGGGTCTTGCTCTGTCACCCAGACTGGAGTGCAGTGGTGTGTTCATAGCTCACTGCAGCCTCAAACTCCTGGGTTCAAGTGATCCTCCCACCTCAGTCTCTCAAGTAGCTAATATTACAGGTGCATGCCCCCAAACCTGGCTAATTTTTTTTTGTTTTTTTTTGTACAGATGGGGGTCTCACTATGCTGCCCAGGTTGGTCTCCAACTCCTGGTCTCCAAAGTGCTGGAATTACATGGGTGAGCCACCACACCTGGCTCTCATTCTTTATGGGTTTTTTGTTTTTTTTTTTTTTGCCCTTAAGTTTTGTTTTTTACAACCTTATAAATCACATAATTGAGTTTCAGAGATCTCAAACAATACTAATGCAGTAAGTAAACAGGAGAGCAGGAGTGGGGTTTGGCCAACAGTACTGGTAAAATTCACTCATAGTGGTTGAACCCAGCTGTTGCAGCTATTTGTCCTTAATAGGAAGGACACCTCCTCACTACAGAGAGTTGGGCAGTGATTTGCAGTATGCTAACTGGGACTAGGGCATACTCTCGATAAGGTTTAATTTTTTGTAAGAGAACCATGTGGCTTAAATTGATGTAAAGCATCTACATAAACTACATAACGGAAGACAGGTAACTCAGATAATGGGGGTATCAAAGACGAAATTTGGCCATTTATCTAGAATTATCTGAGGGAGAACCCCAATGAATCCAACAGATACAATCACTCTGGTTATTAGAGTAGTGTAAGAATCACAGTCATACGTGCTGACTTATTCAGAGGGCAAAGTACCAGTGTCTGCAACTTATTTTGAAATACATTTTTAAAAACCAGATAGATGAATGGATAGACAGAGGGATGGAAAAATAAACAGACAGGTGATAAGGCAAGTGCAGCAAAATGTTAATGGTGGAATCTAGTTAGTGGGTATACATATGTTCCCGGAAAAAAAATCTTTCAGTTTGGCTGTATATTTGAATTTTTTTTTTTTTTTTTTTTGAGACGGGTCTTTCTCTGTTGCCCAGGCTGGAATGCAGTGCCAGGATCATGGCTCACTATAGCCTTGACCTTCTGGGCTTAGCTGGAACCACAGGTATGTGTCACCACACCTGGCTAATTAAAAAAAAAAAAATCTTTTGTAGAGATGGTGTCTCATTTTGTTGTCCAGGCTGGTCTTGAACTCCTGGATCAAGCGATCCTCCCACCTTGGCATCCCAAAGTGCTAGGATTACAGGCATGAGCCACCATGCCTGGCCCCAAACATTTTTATGATAAAACAGGAAAAAAACCTGCCAACATTTCTGAGGGCTTTCCCTGTGTCAGGCACTTTGTATTAGTGATCTCAATTAGCCCTCACAAGAAGCCTGTGAGGTAGGTACCATATTACTACCCCTATTTTACAGATAAGCAAACAGGCACAGAGAGGCTAAGGGACTTGCCCAGAGTCTCACAGCTAACAATCTAGGACAAGCTAAGATTCAAATCCAGGCCTGTGTGTTTGCAAAGCCAGGGCCTTTAGCTGTGAAACACAGAGAATTCCGCAGATGTTTTTCAGAGCCTCCATTAAATATTACTGAGTATTATAAAACTTCTAGAACATAGGAAAATATTTTCATAACCTCAGTCCAAGAAGAGTTCTCTAACATTCACAAAAAACACTATCAAAGAAAATAAATCAGACTTAATTAACACTAAGTTAAAAAGCTTCACTAAGATAATGAAAAGGCAAGCCACAGACTAGGAGAGGATACTTGCAATGCATATATTTTATAACAATTCTGTGGCATCCATAGAGGTGCTCTGCTCAGATCTCCATTCTAGAGAGGATCTGCCTCAGCTTTCAAGCCAAAGCCACATATTTCCTTGGAGCCACCTACCCAATTATTAAGTACAGAGGTAGTATAAGGGCTAACTATCTCTGTGCACAGTGTTTGTGTTAGAGCTCCCCATTGGATTTACTGAGACTTCCTCAAAGATGCACTCCCATCTCATTTTCTTTCTACCAAATTTACCTTCCTTCCCCCTTTCTTTTCACCAGTGTCAGACCTGCATCTTAAGATTTTCCCTGCCTATAACTTTTTTCTTTCCCCTTTATCTTTCATAGATGTTACCCCCAATAAATCTCTTGCACTGTTAATTTCATATTGGTACTTGCTTCCCAAAGGACCCAACTGGTATACTCATATCCAGAATACATAAAGAATGTCTACAAATCAATAAGAAAAAGATAGATAATCCAATTTTTTTTTTTTTTTGAGATGTTTTCTCGCTCTGTCCCCCGGCTGGAGTGTAGTGGTGTGATCTTGGCTCACTGCAATCTCTGCCTCCCAGGTTCAAGCGATTCTCCTGCCTCAGCCTTCTGAGCAGCTGGGATTACATGTGCGTGCCATCATGCCCAGCTAATTTTTGTATTTTTAGTAGAGACGGGGTTTCACCATGTTGGTCAGACTGGTCTCGAACTACTGACCTCGTGATCTGCCCACCTCGCCCTCCCAAAGTGCTGGGATTACAAGCGTGAGCCACCGCGTCTGGCCCCATTTTCTTTTCTAATGTGCAAAAGACTCAAACAGGTACTCTGCAAAGGAGGAGAGCCAAATGACTAGTACATTTGTAAAAAGGTGTTCAGTATCTTGGCCAGGCACAGTGGCTCACGCCTGTAATCCCAGCACTTTGTTAGGCAGAGCGGGGTGGATCACGAGGTCAGGAGTTGGAGACCAGCCTAGCCAATATGGTGAAACTCCGTCTCTTCTAAAAAAAAAAAAAAAATACAACCGGGCGCAGTGGCTCACGCCTGTAAGCCCAGCACTTTGGGAGGCCAAGGCAGGCGGATCACCTGAGGTCGGGAGTTTGAGACTAGTCTGACCAACACGGAGAAACCCCGTCTCTATTAACAATACAAAAATAAAATAAAATAAGACAAAACAAAAATACACAAATTAGCCGTGCACAGTGGGCTTGCCTGTAGTCCTAGTTACTTGGGAGGCTGAGGCAGAAGAATCGCTTGAACCTGAGAGGTGAAGGTTCCAGTGAGCCGAGATTGCGCCACTGTACTCCAGCCTGGGCGATAAAGCAAGACTCCGTCTCAAAAAAAAAAAAAAAAGAAAGAAAGGAAAGGAGTTCAGCATCTCTAGTTATCAGGGAAATGTATATAAAAACCACAAGAAGGTACTGCTACACCTCCATCAGACTGGCTAAAATTAAAAGGACAATACCAAGTGTTGGTGAAACAAATGGAATTATCTTAAGTTTTGTTGTTGTTGTTGTTGTTGTTTTTTAGAAGGAGTTTCACTCTTGTTGCCCAGGCTGGAGTGGAGTGCAGTGGTGCAATCTCAGCTCACTGGAACCTCCGCCTCCCGGGTTCAAGCGATTCTCCTGCCTCACCCTCCCAAGTAGCTGGGATTACAGGCATGCGCCACCATGCCGGGCTAATTTTGTATCTTTAGTAGAGACAGGATTTCTCCATGTTGGTCAGGCTGGTCTCGAACTCCCGACCTCCGGTGATCCACCTGCCTCGGCCTCCCAAAGTGCTGGGATTACAGGCGTGAGCCACCGTGTCCGTCCGGCCTCTTAAGTTTTTTTGTGGGAGTATAATTTGGTACAACAACCCTGGAAAACTGGCAGTGTCTACTAAAACTAACATGTATTTACCATATGATCCAGCAGTACTACTCTTGGGTGTATATCAACAGAAATAAGTGCTTATAACCACCAAAAGATGGACAACTATGTGGACACAACTCAAATATTTATCAACAGTAGACTGGATAAATAAAATGTGCTATATTCATACAATGGATTTCTCCCCAATAATGAAAAAGAATGTACTACTGTCACACAGTACGGACATGACACATACAATTGTTAAGTGAGAAAGTCATACTTAAAAGAGTATACACTGTATGAATCCATTCATATCAAGTTCAAAAACAGATACAACTAATTATTGTCAAGGAGGTCAGAATATCGGGTGCCTTTTGGGGGTGGATATTGACTAGAAGCAGCTCCGAGGCAGCCTTCTGAGTGGCTGGCTAGAAGCGTTCTGTATCTTAATCCGGGTAGTGGGTTACAAAGACTCTCCTTGATGACACTCTGAAGAGGCTTCTCTGAGCCCTGTTCTCCACTAGGCTTCAGCCTTGGCCTGTAACTACTGCAGATACTGAGCACACATTATTTTATCCATGCCCCACACTAACAGACCTAAACAAATACTAGCATGCCCCTAGGATGATGACTTCGGTCACCTTTAGTTACTGCCTGGGAAAGCTCAAGAATGCCAAAATAATATATGTTTGTTCCAGTTCTATGAACCTATGGTGACCACAACGTTTGATTTTATTCTGAAACTGTTGTTAACTGTATCCATTCAATTTAATGATGGGTGTCTTGTTCTTTCAACAACAAAAAAATATCTTATGGAGCAATTTCACTTTTGACCCCTCACTCTTACTTTTTCATATTCTGCGATCACAGACTCAGAACACATCCATTTGCTAATCAGATTTGTTTCTTTCCTGGAGGATTGTGACTTTTTAACTGCTGCATCATTAAAAAATTTTTTTTCATATGTTTAAGGTAAGTTCTTTAGCATCAACAGTTCTAAAGGTTCTAAAGGTTCTCTGCCCTTTCAGATCAGTGCCCACTGTTTTATAACATATATTTGTAACATCCCCTTTAGTAGGTTGAAGTGAAATTCATAATCTACCTTACATGAATATTTTCAAATAAATAAAAATTATGTTCTAACAGCAATATCAAGAATTAAAAAGAAAGCAATTTCTAGGAAAATAATATCGACTACAGTATGTAAATGCTTGGGCATAACTACATCAAAAGACATAATGGGGCCAGATGCAGTGGCTCATGCCTATAATCCCGGCACTTTGGGAGGCTGAGGCGGGAAGATCATTTGAGCCCAGGAGTTCGAGACCAGCCTGGGCAACATAGCAAGACCCCGTCTCTTAAAAAAAAAAGACATAATGGGTTGGGTGTGGTAGCACGGGCATGTAGTCCCAGCTGTTTGGGAGGATGAGGTAGGAGGATAGCTTGAGCCCAGGAGGTGGAGGCTGCAGTGAGCTGTGTTCATGCCAGTGCATTCCAGCCTTGGTGACAGAGCAAGACCCTGTCTCCAAAAAAAAAAAAAAGACATAATGAAGTTGCCAGATGTTTGTACTTGTACCTAGAATCAGTGTGAATGCAAGTGCTGCAAATGCAGCCTGATACTACTGTGGTTTTTTGTTTGTTTGTTTTCTGAGACACAGTCTTGCTCTGTCATCCAGGCTAGAATGCAATGGTGTGATCTCGGCTCACTGCAACCTCCACCTCCCCAGTTCTAGCGATTCTCGTGCCTCAGCCTCTCAAGTAGCTGGGATTACAGGAGCACACCACTACGCCCAGCTAATTTTTGTATTTTTAGTAGCGACAGGGTTTCACCATGTTGCCCAGGCTGGTGTTGAACTCCTGACCTCAGGTAATCCACCCGCCTCGGCCTCCCAAAGTTCTGGGATTACAGGTGTGAGCCACCACAGCTGGCATACTGTGTTGTATTGATGAGCTGTCAGAGTTACAATTTTCCAACTTTTAAAACATTTTTTAATAAAAGTCTGCCCTCAATTTATACAATATTTGCATTCCTGGGAAATTCAGTATATATTAAAAACCATACAAAAATATTTTATATCTATATATGAAAGGGAGTTGTGTTCTAACCATATATTATTAAAATAGGCATTTCAACTACATGAAAGTGAATGTTTGATGAGACGTTTGAAGGTCATGAGGATGAGGGACAATTCTTGACTGTGCTCTTTCCTATCTCAAGGACCTGCTGCCTGCTGTTCCCCCAGCTGGAATGTTCTTTCCCTGAATCTCCCTGTGAATGGCCTTTTTTTTTTTTTTTTTTTTTTTCTGAGACGGAGTCTCGCTCTGTCGCCCAGGCTGGAGTGCAAGTGGCATGATCTCGGCTCACCGCAACCTCCGCCTCCCAGGTTCAAGCAATTCTCTACCTCAGCCTCCTGAGTAGCTGGGGTTACAGGCGCCCGCCACCACGCCTGGCTAATTTTTGTATTTTTAGTAGAGACGGGGTTTCACCATCTTGGCCAGACTGGTCTTGAACTCCCAACCTCGTGATCCACTTGCCTCAGCCTCCCAAAGTGCTGGGATTACAGGCATGAGCCACTGCGCCTGGCCGGCTCTTTCTTAAACTGAGGACTCAGCTCAAATGTCACCTCCTCAGAACTTTCCTCTCCCCCAGTCACTTTTCATTTTGAAATTCCTTCAGAGAACTGAAAATGTTTTCCGTCTCTTTGAAATGTATGTACATATTTTAAAAAGCTAAATAAGCCTCTTGCTAGTTTTGCGTCCTCAGAAGGTCTTTCTTGCGGGCCTCGGAGCCATCTCTTGGAAATGTGAACATCAAGGATGGTGCTCCATGTTTCTGTCTCTAGGAGGGTTTAAGCCTTGGCTCTTGGTTCCAAGATAACTTCCCATTATTTTCCTTTGGATAAAGACAATTAATAGGTATGTAATGGATTGTACGTGCCTGACCATATGAAAAGGTGAGATTTCCTTTTTTTTGGTCTTTGCACTCTCTTCAGTGGATTGCCTGTGATGTGCATCATGGTACGTTTTAGTACATATCCAATAATAAAACTGTTTCATTCTTTTGTTGTACATTGCGCATTTCGTGGAAAGAACAGTTTGGGGTTGGCAGGATATTTTAAATTATTTGCCCATATGGGTCCCCCAGTTTTGGGCACTTGTATGGCAGGCTGATATTCCCCATTACCTCTCCGTACTAATTTTAACTAGTAAGGGACAGGGGCAAGGGCATGGAGCTTTGGAGTCAGACAACCCTGGCTTTAAACTGTGCCTTTTATCAGCATTCTGAAGTACTGTATGTTGAAGTAACTTCTCTGAACCCCGAATACTTCATCTATAAAGTTAGGAATAATAAATACGTCATAGATTAAGTATGGACATTATCTGATGCATAGCAGGTACTATTCAAATGAAGGAAACGAAGTTATCCTAGGTCCTTTAATGCACTAAATGTGTGCTCCATTTCCGCCTTTCTTGGCATCTGTGTGAAATCTCAGGATATAGTGTCCACTAAACTTCAGTGCACTGCCTAATGAGACAACGAACTCCAAGTGCGGACCTTTTGAGTTTAAACGGGTTTCAGTAGGTAAAATACGTAAAGTTCACAGTACCCTCGCAATTTAGATGGAGGAAAAAAAATCAGTCGGGGGGGGGGTCCCCGTATGCAAATACAGGAATTACAGAAGAAGACAGGACCCCCGCCGCAGCACCACTTCCCCCTACAGGGCGCAACGTCCCGCCGCTGGCGCGGGGGTGGAGATTTGCATGTGCGAAGTCGGGAAGAGGGGGAACCACCTCTCGAAAACCCCGGCCGTCGCCCTCCCAGGCCGGGAGAGTCGGCCCCGCGCGCCCCCAAAAGCTCCCCAGCGGCCGGCCCTCTCTACGTCATCCGCACCCTCCCGCCCGCTCCTGAACTTTAAACCACACTCGGAAGAACAACCTGGAGGAGGGGGATTTCTCAGGAGCCAGCGGCCTTCTCACGCTGCTAGCCGTCACCTCCCGGCTCCCGCCGTTCCCTGCGCTCCCGAAGCCCACCCCAAGCTCCCGCTCCCTCGACCCCCTCCCAAGCCAGCCGCCGCAGCAGCGCCGGGGGCGTATGCGTGGGGGCCGGCGGGGAGCGTGCGCGGGGACAGGCAGGGGCGGGGCGCTGGGGGCGGTCGCGCGCGCGGCGGCCGCGAGGTCGCCCCGCCCACGCCTCCGGGTGAGGGTTGCTGCGTCGGGCCTACGTCAGCCGCGGGAAATTCCCCTCCCGCCAGGCTGCTCGCCTCTCGGCTGGGCCAGCACTCGGCTCTCCCCGCTCCGCCCCCTGCCCCTGGCTCCCGTACGGTGGACGGCGACGCTGGGTGACCCGGGGTGCAAGAATTCAGGGGTTGGGAAGGTGTGAGCCGCAAACCCAGCGGAGGGCGGGAAGAAGGAGGAGGCCTCTAGGGTGGTCGGGGGACTGGGGGCCCCGCCGGCAGAGGTCCCTCGGCCTCCTGACTGACTGACTGCGGCCGCCTCCGGCCAGGACGCTGGGAGCTGCCTGCGGGAAGGTGCGGGGAGCGGAGCCATGGCCTCCGGTGAGTGTTCATGGGGCGCGGGCCTGGGCCGGGGGAAAGGAGCTCTTCTGAAGGGGGTCCTGCCGCAGTGAGTTTAGGGAGCTCAGTTTTTGCTGGGGCGCGTTCTGTCTTTAAAATCTCATATGGTAAAATTGTCAGCTTTTAAAAAAGTTACCTGCTTCAGGGTTTGCGTGCAGAATCCAAGCCACGCTCTGTAATTCGATCCTGTTGTCATAGCAGGAACCTTAGAAATTCCCAACGACTTGATTTTAGGATTAGGGAAGTCATAAGCGAACCAAAGGAGGACGAAGAGTTCTCATTAAAAATGTATATGTATTGAAGATGGTGGTTTTATGTTTTAGAACAGGAATGAGGAACCTTCAGACCTCGGGCAAGCTCTCTCCCCCTTTTTAGTTTAATTTCATCAAATGCAAAGAGGTGATCCCCCTTGTACTGACAGTTGTACAAAATGTGTCACGGCTTTAAAAATCATCCGTGGTATTTTAACACGAATTAGAAAATCCGTGGTATTTTAAGTGTTAATGTTGCTTCGACCAAGTGTAGGCCGGGCGCGGTGGCTCATGCCTGTATTCCCAGCACTTTGGGAGGCCGAGGCGGGTGGATAACCAGAGGTCAGGAGTTTGAGACCAGCCTGGCAAACATGGTGAAACCCCGTCTCTACTAAAAATACAAAAATCAGCGGGGCGTGGTGGCGCGCGCCTGTAATCCCAGCTACTCGGGAAGCTGAGGCAGGAGAATCGCTTGAACCTGGGAGGTGGAGGTTGCAGTGAGCCGAGATCGCGCCCCTGCACTCCAGCCTGGGCGACAGAGGGAGACCCTGTCTCTATTTAAAAAAAAAAAAAATGTAGTTTTTACTGTGAGATAAAGCTCAAGGTTCCTAATCTGACGAATAGAGACGTTGAATCCCCCTTCCTCCTCGCTGGAAATAAGGGGAAAGAGGAGTTTTAGAATATCCGAGCTTTAAAATAATGAGTAGGAATGAATACAACTTTATCACTTATGTGACTATATATTTTCCCTTAATAAATGCTCGATCTCTCCCTTTGGGGGGGAATAAGTTTGTAAGAAACATTGCAGAGCAAGAAAGTCTCCTATATACACAGATGTGGTTGGGGCTGCCTGGAGCTTAAGGTTGAGGGGGACGGGAGAGCCGGGGCGGGGGGATAAATCAAGTAGCCTGGGGTCGAGTTGGTCTTTTACCAGGATTTTGGCAAGGTGAGTGGGGGACACTTTCCAGACAGAGGAAGCAGCGTGAGCAAAGGCAGGGAGGGCTAAATGCATGTTAAATGCTGTACTAAGAGAATGAAGAGGGGGCCCCGTTTATGAACTTGACTCTTATCCCCAAACTGCCTGGTCCAGTGACCCTCAGAAGTAGGCTGATGTCTAGTAGAGATGAGGAAGTAGGAAGCTTAAAGAACCTTTTTAAAAGGTTGAGCAGAACAATGCCATAGCTATTGCTGTAGGCAGAAAAGGAAATTGGGGTGTTTCACATGACATTTGATTTCAGTTTGTTTGTGGTTGTGAGAATACTAAGTGTAGTTTAAAATATTTCAACTTTCCCTTTTCCCACTTAAGTGACACCAGACTTTCAGATAATCGTGTAAATTTATGAATTCAAAGCATGTGTAGATTAGAAGTGCTAAGATGACTTCAAATATTTTGTTAATGTATTGGTTATCAGAAAGATTTTGTTTGGAAGTAATGGAGAATGCCTAGCATTATAAGTAAGTTCAGGCTCTTGGCGATTTAATCAAACTTTATTGATATATTGCATGAATTTAATACTTCTAATTTTTTCAGTTGAGAGAGGAAACAACCATTTCTATATAGAGTATTGTAAGACCCACAGGATTTTAAAATTTGATACAATTTAAATTTGTTCATTGACACTGTATTTTGTGCTGTTGTGAGGAGGAAGGATTCCCTAAAAGTAAGGAGGAAATGTTTAAAGAAATGGAAAGTTTTAAAGGTTTAGAAGTTGAAGGGTGATTAACTTTTTTTTTTTTTTTTTTGGTCTTTTCTAAGAGTTGCATTAAAATGGGACTATTTAAAATGTAACAAGTTATTTAAATTGTAATTCAGTTGTTAGAAAACTGCCAGGCCTGGAATAAAAAAAAAAAAATGTTTACAGGAATCTGTGTACTTTTCCTTAATCTGTTATAAAGACCTTAGAGAAAGAAAAAGATTCACTAATAAAATTCTAAATTCCTATTCTGTTTTGAAACAGTAATTTAACCGGAAGAGTGACCAAAAAAAAAAAAAAAAAGAAATTGCTTAGTTTTTCATTGTCTAGTTTAGATTCTGTTTGTAGTAAGGTAGTATTAAAACCTCAGAAAGTAACTTTTATTCATTACGAAGTATTTAAGAGCATTTCTTCATTTCTTACCAGATGTCATATGTAAATAGGTATATGTAGTTGAATATGTGATAGCTATAATGTAAAAGTAACATAAATCATAATCTTATAAGCAAAATTATGTAAGTTAGAATGTAGTTTAAAATCATGTATATAATATGATTCTAAATTTTGTTTAGATAAGTTAGCAGATTAATTAGGATTTCACAGCTTGTATTAAGCTGCCTTTCGTTGCTTTTTAAAAAAATTACACCTTGATCACAGTCTTTTGACATAATTAATAATAGATATAGTGAAGAAAAATGTTCCCAAACCCATCTAAGGTATGCATAGTAGGCAGTTGTTGCTTTTGTATATTTATTCTATTTAATATAAGTAAAATTAGATATTTTATGTCTGAATTTAAACCTTCTCATTGTTCCAGTAAAAAGAGCAAAATGTCTTTGTGTGGCATATAGCTCTGTTAACTAATAATTAGTGCTGTCTTTGGTAAAATGTTTTAAAATTTAGATAATTTATTTTTCTTCACATTTTTCTTAGTATGGTTCTTCTGTGTCACACAATAGGAAGGAAGTACAGAAATGAATTGTTTTTGTAAACCTCACTTCTTACCAACTATTTGTAGTGTGAATTTCAAGAGAATTGTTGTTTTTCTCGATTAAAGGGGAGAAATGGAAGTAAGTGTGAGGCAACTTAATCTTTAATAACAGAGCTGGAAGTTAGGAATGGATAGCTACAGTAAATGACTTCTTTTTTTAAGTAAAATGCCACACATGAGCATGAATGTTTCAGAAATGCAACACATGAAAAAATAGAAATAACAATGGAGTTAAATAATTAAGGTGACGTATGATAGGCACAGATAAAGGGAATGAGTTAATGTAATGACTAGGGAGGAGCCAGACAATGAATCATAATTAGGAACATCTAGGTTATGCATAGTATCTTTCTCAAATACAATTTAAGGGACTCAGAATTTCATTTTGTTCCAACTTTCTCTCATATGGGTTCTCTGAAAATGATTTTGTTTGTAGGCACATGACCCAAATATTGCATGGGATAAAATTGTTTTTCTGAAATTCATATTTATCTGGGCCTCCTCTGTTTTTATTTTTAAAACAGAGGTGATTTGGTCTTGCCATTTGTTTTTAACTTTAATACCTGTATAATCTAGGACAGCTTTTAAAATTTATTTATTTTACCCTGGCACGTGCAAGAGTTTTTTCAAGACTTACCTTTTTTCCCCCTTGGTAACAGAATCCCTATTGCCAGAATCTTTTACAGTTTTTACCTTGTAGTGCATAAATCAGTTGAATACTCATCTGAAAATTTCCTTTCTTTGATTCTTAAGGCCCAGTTGAAAGTCAGCCTGATGTATTGGAGTAATAAAGTCAGCCTGATATATTGGCATAGCCTTTGGCTGATGAGAGACCTAGTTTGAGGAAAAAAATAATAGATCTTATTTTCTTTTTCTCCAAATTGAGTAGAGGTGATATTTGGAAAAATATATATTGTTAGCTCCATTGGCTCCTTTAGGTCTCAGGCAAAGTCTGTCACCGAGGACCTTTATGAGAGACATGCAGTCTAGTCAGCTATTCTCAACTGTGGTGTTGACACACTGGTGTGACAATCATTTGTGTGATGTGTTGCAAGAGTTAAAATATTTGTGTTGTAAATTATTTACTTTTTAAATAAATGAAAGCATTTGAAGGTTATCTCTATATTGTCATTTTTTCTTGCTTGCATTTGAATAAGGTTCTTTTTTAAGTGGGAGATAAACACAAGTTCAAGTTACAAGTAGCCAGAATTGCTTTGCCTAATTTACTCACGTCCCAGTCCATATTTGTACCTGAATTTTTAGATTACTTCTCTCAATATGTGCATTGTTGCTTCCACTTCATGTTTTAAGACAATTATTCTTAATCAGGAGTGTGTTAGAATTTCTTGGAAGGCTTTTTCAGCAACGTGTATCTGGGCTTTAAAAACTATGAAGATTTCTTTATCTTCTAAACATCTCAAGTGGGGTAAGGACATGTATGTTTTGAAAAAACTACCTAGGTGATTCTGATGTACATCCCCAGTATGAACTCTGTTCTAGGGATTTCTTTGGATCTAAATACTCATTTGGCTATACCAGGATGCATTATCTTCTTAAATTAAGTTGCATTTATTTTAGATTGCAGATTATGTGCTGTATCAGTTATTACCTCCAGTTGCTTTTATGCTTGTTTTTTAAATTTGGCACTGCCATATTAGCATACCATTCATAATTCATTTTTATTATAACTTCATATAATTTTCAACTTTAGTTTTATCATGTGTAAGATGGGATAATAATTTCTATTATTTTTCAAATGGAGATTAAAGTTAAGAGGATCAAATGAGAAATGTATATAAAGGGGTCTTAAAATAATGTTATAATTACAATAATTAGCTTTTTTTTCTGTATACTTGATGCTGGTTGCTAATTCTAGCAATAAAGTGTTTGTTAATAATGTGTCTATTTCCGATAATTTATGATCCATTTAAACATTTCAATGTAATTTTTTTATTTTAAAAGCTCATGCTTTATTAGATAGGCACTATGTTTTAAAATAGCACTCTTTCTTGCCTAAGCGCAAATAAAAACATAGATATATCTTACAAACATTTTGGCTGTATTTTAGAAGTTATTCTGATGTATATTAGCCTTTTAAAATACTATTCAGAATATAGGGGTCAGTCCCAGCTTTGCATAGTGTTGCTTAAAGAAAAATACAGTAATCAATTTGTTTAGAGTCAATTTTGGAGACGTTTTGGTGCTTTTCAAAACTGTGGCGATTTGAGGTTATCTTAGTTAAGAGTACTTATTTTCCCTACAATTTCCTGATTTATGTTTTACCCTCTTGCACTCCATAGATGACTACATTTCAACACATTTTATATTCAGGAAGAATGGCATTGTGCAAAGCACAGTACTGAGGAAGGAGATAACTGGTGCATTGTACTGATGCATTATATAAATGATTTATAGCTGGGAAGTTTTTTAAAAATCATAAACACAGATAAATCAAAATAGGAATGAGTATGAGGAAATACTGAGGTGTAGCAATCCTGGTACCTATAAAGCACTATTTTTTTTTCCTTAGTAGTGGAATCTAATTAAAAAATCTGACTAATCACTTATATGATTATTTAACGTTTGAATAACTTGTATAAACAAAAGACCTTAAGATTTTTTAGTCATTCATTCAATAGATGTTTAATGAATATCTCTGTACAAGGCACTGATGAGTTAAACACAATTTCTGCCTTCAAGTAGCTTGAAGAAATAAAACAAGTAGCTTTATCTCAAGAAGAAATAAGACGGTAAGTTTTCCCTAAATTACAGTTATTTGGAATAATTGCTATACACAGAATACTATGGTAGTTTAAAGGAGGGGAGATTATTTCCAGCTGGGGGAATGTAGAGTATTACAGTATACTGTGTTACTTGGTTGTAATACTCTACATTCCCCCAGCTTGTTAATTTTTACCAATTAAGAGCTTCTGCAGTAGGAAAAATAAATTCCAAGGACTTTAAATACTCAATATTATATGATAACTGATATTTATGTAATTTTTACTATTTAAAAATATTTAATCTTTTCAACAACTACTTTTCTGTTCTTTTTGTAAACAATCTAAAGAAGTGTCATGTAACCAATGAAGTTTTGGGTTTTTTTGTTGTTGTTTTTGTGTTTTGTTTGTTTTTTTTTTTGAGACGGAGTCTCACTCTGTCACCCAGGCTAGAGTGCAGTGGTACAATCTTGGCTCACTGCAGCCTCCACCTCCTGGGTTCAAGCAATTCTCTTGCCTCAGTCTCCCAAGTAGCTGGGATTACAGGTGCCTGCCACCACATCCCGCTAATTTTTTGTATTTTTAGTAGAGATGGGGTTTCACCATGTTTTCCAGGCTGGTCTGGAACTCCTGACCTCAAGTGATCCACCCACTTTGGCCTCCCAAAGTGCTGGGATTACAGGTATGAGCCACCATGCCCAGCCTCAGTGAAATATTTGAATGCTCACTATGAACCTAGCAGTTTTATTCACACTCTCTCTTCCCAAAGTTAAACACTTATCATTAACGATGTCATTTTATATCAGTTTCCCACCAAGACACCTTTAAATAAGTAGTGGGCAGGGATTTATTTGGCCTTTACTTCAGCCACATAAATTATTTAAAATGTGACTTAAAAAGTAATGTTGATTTTAACAGTTTTTAAGAGGAAAATATACTTTCTTAAATACTCCTACAAGGATATATAAGGGTATGAAATATTTGAAATTGCAATGTGAATTTGAAATCTTTAAAATATGCAAGGATAAAATCGTGAAATACTCATCTGCATATCTTATGTTTTTGAGTAAAACTGAAATAAGGATTATGAACTTGTTTAGGTTAAAGTCAGTTTTCTCTGGCTCTTCATCTTCTGAATAAACAAATAGGTAGTAGATTCAAACACAGGGAGTTTACACCATACAGAATAAAATTGAAAGTTACAGTAATACTTTATTCAGTAACCCAAAGTAGAAGCCATGGAATCATCAATGATTCTTTAATTTCTGAGCTATCAGTGATTCTTTAATTTCTCTTAACCCTACTGTTCAGGCACCAGGTGCTGTCAATTTTATCTTTTAAATAATCCTTCATTCATCTTATCACTGCCATATATCAGAGATACCCTCATCATTGCCCACATTATTATAGTGGTCTCTAAACTGATGACATTGCTTTCTTTTTTCTATCTGTTCACTGTGACTAAAACTTTTACTCTAAAATGCAAATCTGATCATGTGATTTGCCTGCATCAAAATATTCATTGATTTCATCACACATAAAATGAAATCCACATTGCCAAGTGTGCTCTGACTTTTAGTTCTCTTTTTAAGAGAGAAAGTGTGTTCCATTTACATTGGTGATTCTTAAATAAACCCTCCTCTGTGGACACACTGTTCCCTTTTCCCTAGAATACCTACCTTTTTCCTCTTCATTTCCTCCGCTCTTTTGCTTCATTAACCGCTCTTTTTCCACTGACACAGTTGGGCATTCCTGACTCTTTCGCTCTTATTTCCGCAGAATTTTGTTAGTGCTTTCCTTCCTTCTGTAGTCTAATAATATATGTTGTTTGCCTTGCTCTTCTATAAGGTCCTTTAGAGTGACAGTTGGGATACCACCATAGTATCACTAAATCATTGTTTTCAAGAAAGCATCTGAAATAATAGACACCATTTTTTTTTATTTTTTATTTTTTTACACTTTAAGTTTTAGGGTACATGTACACATCGTGCGGCTTTGTTACATATGTATACATGTGCCATGTTGGTGTGCTGCACCCATTAACTTGTCATTTAACATTAGGTATATCTCCTAATGCTTTCCCTCCCCCCTTCCCCCACCCCACAACAGGCCCTGGTGTGTGATGTTCCCCTTCCTGTGTCCATGTGTTCTCATTGATCAATTCCCACCCATGAGTGAGAACATGCGGTGTTTGGTTTTTTTGTCCTCACGATAGTTTCCAGCTTCATCTATGTCCCTACAAAGGACATGAGCTTATCCTTTTTTATGGCTGCATAGTATTCCATGGTGTATATGTGCCACATTTTCTTAATCCAGTCTATCATTGTTGGACATTTGGGTTGGTTCCAAGTCTTTGCTATTGTGAAGAGTGCCGCAATAAACATACTTGTGCATGTGTCTTTATAGCAGCATGATTTATAATCTTTTGGGTATATACCCAGTAATGGGATGGCTGGGTAAAATGGTATTTCTAGTTCTAGATCCCTGAGGAATCGCCACACTGACTTCCACAATGGTTGAACTAGCTTACAGTCCCACCAACTGTGTAAAAGTGTTCCTATTTCTTCACATCCTCTCCAGCACCTGTTGTTTCCTGACTTTTTAATGATCGCCATTCTAACTGGTGTAAGATGGTATCTCATTGTGGTTTTGATTTGCATTTCTCTGATGGCCAGTGATGATGAGCATTTTTTCACGTAGACAACATTTATTGAATGTGTATGTATATATGACACTTCGTAAGAATTTAGCACATATAATCTGTCATCTTCACAACAACCCAATGAGGTAGGTGCTATTATGATTATTCCTATTTTACAGAGGAGGAAACTAAGAGATTTTTAATTTTAATCACATTTCCTTGGTCTTACTGTTAAGAAGTAGCTGGGGTAGGATTCTAAAGGCCTCTTCTCCATACTGTTCTGATAAGGCCCACTGTGTTACCATTTCTCAGGATTGCTTGCGTTCTAACAGGATAAGCCTTAGTCAGCACTAAAGTGATTAAGGGACACATTATTATTATTTTTTAATGGAAAACATCTTCACACCCCTATTAACTCCCCTACTTGCAAGTACAGTTGAGTGTCTATTTACCTTTTCCCCCACAATTTGGATAATAAAAGTAAAGTTGCATACATTTTAAATAGCTTTATTGACATATAATTTATGTACAACAAACTGTACTTTTAAAGTATGCAATTTGACAAGTTTTGACATATGTATACAACCCTGGAATCATCATCACAAGATAATGTCCCCCCTGCCTTTCCTATCCACCATATATCCCTGTTCTTAGGCAACCAGTGATCTGCTATCGTTCATTGTATATTACTTTACATATCCTAGGGTTTCATATAAATGGAATCATACAGTATGTGCTCTTCTGGTCTAACTTCTTTCACTCAGCATAATCATTTTGAGAGTCGTCCATGTTATTATATGTAGCAGCAGTTCATTCTGCAGATGCATATTTTGAATTTTAGTTATTATAGAAAGTGAATACTTTTTTTTCTCTATTATGTCTTTAGAAAAGGTTTGCATGGGACTGATTGCACATTCTTTGAGCCTAAAGTCCCTCCTGGGGCTTGTTTTGATATACTGTGTGTAAGTCCTTTAATATTTGAATGGAGATATAAAAAACTTACATATGCTTCTGCAAGGATTTAAATGCATTTTCATTTTCAGTGAATGGTCTTTTCATTCAGTATTATGAATATGATGTAAAATCAAGCAGTTAAATATATTTAACTCACTTTAGGAGTGTGATATTTTACTTCTGAATACTGCCTTCTTTACCCTTCTTGGGGAATCTTGGGGGAAACCCTTCTGCTAGGTCTCACGTGGGAGGCAGATATCTCTGAAGTGGTTATCTCAGAACTTCATATTGACGTTAGCTATAGATATTAAGCTATAAAGTGCTAACCAGTCAATATGGTTTGAATGACTTGTTTTGACACTACATAGGGACTCAATTTGAATGGGAAAAAAAGGTGCCTCTCCCAGCCAATCTCCAAGATAACATTTCGGTCTTGTTATTTAATGTTAGGAGGAAAAAAATCTTTGTTTTAGTCTGCTGTTATAAAAAAAACAGAATGTTAAAATCCATTATTAATTGCTATATTAATCTCACTGACCTCCTCCTTTTTAAAAACTTTTCAGGTGCGTATAACCCGTATATAGAGATAATTGAACAACCCAGGCAGAGGGGAATGCGTTTTAGATACAAATGTGAAGGGCGATCAGCAGGCAGCATTCCAGGGGAGCACAGCACAGACAACAACCGAACATACCCTTCTATCCAGGTAATAGACCCTTCTTCTGTGTCTATCTCACTATTAGTTGCTTCATATACTAGCTATAGCAATTATTTTAAAGGGCCAGTTTCTTCACAGTCATCTCCACAGGTTTATCTTTTTCTTTTTTCCTTTTTTTTTTTAAACGGATCTGTCAAAAAGACATCTATTAGATAGATGTCTAAGGACATTTCTTAAATATAAAATGGAGTCTTCCCCACTGCAGATAGTTCTATGGTGCTTGTGTATTAACCTAAGTAGAGCGACTCAATGTTGAGAGTACACTGGCAACTTTTGGATCATGTTCTTTTTCATGGAACACAGAGATAATAAGGAAAACCCATTCTCTGCAGAGGTGAGTGATATTATTCTGTAGATTAAACATGGATTTGAGAACTCAATCATAATTCTTCTTGGCTAGTCTTAGGGCTAGAACATTTTTTTCTCCTTTTTCTTAACTTTATTGCTTGTCTCTGATTCTCTGGGTCATTGACTGATTTGAAATACCACTTTATAAATGCAGTTTTTTCACATTAGCATAAATTTTAAAAAGCTTTTGACCAAAAATGACTTTGGTAAACATACTAATAGTTATAAGATGTACTAAATTTATTTATTTATTTATTTTTGAGACGGAGTTTCACACTTGTCGCCCAGGCTGGAGTGCAATGTCGTGATCTCAGCTCACTGCAACCTCCGCCTCCTGGGTTCAAGTGATTCTCCTGCCTCAGCCTACCGAGTAGCTGGGATTACAGACGCCCACCACCACGCCCAGCTGATTTTTGTATTTTTTAGTAGAGACGGGGTTTCACCATGTTGGCCAGGCTGGTCTCCAACTCTTGACATCAGGTGATCCACCCATCTCGGCCTCCCAAAGCGCTGGGATTATAGGCGTGAGCCACTGCGTCCAGCCAAGATGTACTAAATTTATTTATTTTTTTATTTTTTATTTTTTTGAGACGGAGTCTCACTCTGTTGCCCAGGCTGGAGGGCAGTGGCGTGATCTCAGCTCACTGCAAGCTCCACCTCCCAGGTTCAAGCAGTTCTCCCGTCTCAGCCTCCCGAGTAGCTGGGACTACAGGCGCCCCCTACCACGCCCAGCTAATTTTTGTATTTTTAGTAGAGACAGGGTTTCACCATGTTAGCCAGGATGGTCTCAATCTCCTGACCTCGTGATCCGACTGCCTTGGTCTCCCAAAGTGCTGAGATTATAGGTGTGAGCCAACATGCCCAGCCCAATGTACTAAATTTCTATTTTCTATTTGTAAACTATTTTTCTTTGACTTTCAATGAAGGGTTTATCCTTTAAATGCCAATTAAAAACTTTAATGGCAAAGTAGATTTTGAAAAGTGTTGCTTTTTGTTTTTGTTTTTGAAAAGTGTTACTTTTATCAACAGATCTTAATTCACTGTTTTATAACTAGATTATTTACAAAATCTATTCTGTTGATGAACTTAAAGGGAATTGCTGAATTATAGAATAAACCAATGGCAAAATTATATATATTGAATTCCAGATTTCTATTTTTATCACATTTTTGGCAGTAATATGGATTTGGGTTATCTAAGTCTTTTAAATGTTAAAATGGATGAGATGCTAATAAAAAGGAAATAAGGAAATACTATTTGTCCAGTTTTTTGAGTCATTTTTAAACTTTTCTTCATAATTCATCTTATCCTATGCATCTCTATTTCTAAGATATGTATTTTTACCATTCCAGTAGGTCCTAAACACTTTACAGCTTGAGTTTTGTATTTGCCTACTTATAGTCTTGAGCAATTACCTTCTCTTTCATACAGAAAGAAATGTAATACTTCTTGGTTACTTTCAAATTCTATTTAAATTCAAAATTATGGATTTTAGTGCCCTCTACCTTGTAAGCTACCCATTCTTACTTTACCTTGCTCCTTTGTGGTATGCTGGTTTTTATAGTCCCTGCTTTGTTCTTGCAACTTTACTAGCTTTCAAACTAAGCATTAATTCCTGTCCTCCTTCCTCTTCCATGTTAAACTCTCCTTTTTACTCTGTGTTCTAGCTATACTTTCTATGTGAAATTTGATGTTGTTAAACTCAATTTGATTTATTGCCTATTCTAGAGTAAACACTTGGGGTATGCTTACTGAACAAATATTTTTGTGAAGTGAAATGTCATATATTAAGTAAAATGATCATATTTATGTGCTATCCTTTCCAATACGGCTTAAATATATTTTCAAGGAATGTTTATGGTATGACAGTACGTTAAAGAGCTGGGCATTTAGTGACTTAACATCTGTTTTCTCATGTTCTATGGATAAAATTTGGGTAGAGTTTTACTTGTTTTGAAAGGAAAATAAGCCCAGTCAAATGATATGACCAATTGAAATTAGGGCAGAAAATATGTCAAGAAACTGAGAGGTAAGTTTTTCTGTACTGGTATTCTCTGGAAAGTTTCATCTAAACTGCAGTTGTTCGTCAGCTGGATTTTATTTATCTAGTGCCAATTACATTATAATTAATGTAAATTGAATTCTCATTTAGTAGATCAGTTTATAATGCAGTCTATTTGGATCATGTATTTAATTTCCCCCTTTTTTCAGATTATGAACTATTATGGAAAAGGAAAAGTGAGAATTACATTAGTAACAAAGAATGACCCATATAAACCTCATCCTCATGATTTAGTTGGAAAAGACTGCAGAGACGGCTACTATGAAGCAGAATTTGGACAAGAACGCAGACCTTTGTTGTAAGTACACAGTTACAGACATCTTCAGAAATAAGATAAGACATAGGATGTTCTGTTTCTTCTCCATGACAATCTGTTACTTTTTAGCAGAATAATTTTCTCATTCTACTTCTATTTACTGTATTTTACACTTACATTTTTACTATTTGCATTAGAACTACCCTTTCATTCTTTATTAGTAGACACATCTTATGATAGTTAGCAGGAAGACATTTTTATTGTTATTAAAAGTAAACGTAAACTTCTTGTATACTGTGATTTCCTTTCTTGGGGTGGACAGTTTTTGAAATAATTATTCACTCTGTCTTTTTTTTTTTTTTTTTTTTTTGAGATGGAGTTTTACCCTTGTTGCCTAGGCTAAAGTGCAATGGCGCAATCTCGGCTCACTGCAACCTCCACCTCCTGGGTTCAAGCGATTCTTCTGCCTCAGCCTCCCGAGTAGCTGGGATTACAGGCATGCACCACCACGCCTGGCTAATTTTTTTGTATTTTTAGTAGAGATGGGGTTTCTCCATGTTGGTCAGGCTGGTCTGGAACTCCCGACCTCAGGTGATCTGCCTGCCTCGGCCTCCCAAAGTGCTGGGATTACAGGTGTGAGACACCGTGCCTAGCCTCTGTCTTTTCATTTATAGTTAACTTATTATTATTATTATTTTGAGACAAGGTCTCGCTCTGTTACCCAGGCTGGAGTGCAGTGGCATGATCTCGGCCCATTGCAACCTTCACCTCCAGACTCAAGTGATCTTCAGCCTCAGCCTCCTGAGTAGCTGGGACTGCAGGCATGTACCACCATGCCCGGCTAATTTTTGTATTTTTTGTAGAGATGGGGTTTTGCTTGTTGCCGAGGGTGGTCTTGAACTCCTGGACTCAGGCAGTCTGTCCACCTTGGCCTCCCAAAGTGCTTGGGATTACAGGCGTGAGCTGCTGTGCCACGCCCATTTACAGTTAACATAAAAATGCCTGGATGTGAGAAAAATCAACTGGAAAACTCTAGAGTTATTATTTAGAAAGTGGCAGGTTATAGAATTAACATACAACAATAGTTCTAAGATAAAAATAGTCATGTAATACTTCATGATAGTGAGGCTACCAGAAGATGGGCCCATTCATCATGTTAGAATGTAAATTAATAAAGACGTCTGGTAGGCAATTTAACTACATGGCAAAAGCCTGAAAAATATTAATGCCTCTTGAGCCAGCTGTTCCACTTCTAGGAGTTTAGCCTCAGAAAATAATTAAGTGTGTTCAGACATTATGCTCTAATGCTGTTCATTGCAGTTCTCTTTGTAATGGCAAAAAGCTAGAAGCAATCCAAATAGTAAGCAAAGGGGATTAATTAAATAAACTGATACATTCATGCAATGTACTCCTGTACAGCCTTAAAAATCATATTGCCAATATGTCTATTGGTATGTAAATATAGTCACAATATATTAGATAAATAGGTTTTCTGTTTTTTGTTTTTTTTTTTCTTTTTGAGACAGTCTTGCTTTGTTGCCCAGGCTGCAGTGAAGTGGTGTGATTTCGGCTCACTGCAACCTCCACCTCCCTGGTTCAAGTGATTCTCCTGCCTCAGCCTCCCATGTTAGCTGATATTACAGGCATGTGCCACCATGCCCAGCTAATTTTTTGGTATTTAAACCATTAGAGACAGGGTTTCACCATGTTGGCTGGGCTGGTCTCGAATTCCTGACCTCAGGTGATCCACGTGCCTCAGCCTCCCAAAGTGCTGGGATTACAAGCGTGAGCCACGGCACCTGGCCAGATAAATAGGTTTTAAAACAATATGTAAAGAATAATTTTATTTTTGTTTAAGATAAATTTATACATATACATGATGTGTATATGTTAATACTAAGGTATTAATAGTAGTTGTCTGGGTGGGTAAGATTGTAGGGTTTTATGTTTTTCTTTTAACTTATATTTTATAATTCATTTTTGTAATGAACATGTATTGGCTTTTGGGGAAAAATGAACTAATGGCAACAGAAAAGAGATTAATAGTCTCCACATATATTAGTAATAACCATTTAGAAAAAAATACTTTAAATGCTCCTCTTACAATAATAACACAAAAGAAAATATCTAGTATTATACACACTTGGCAAATATTTGTCTATATTACTTGACCTCCCAACAACATTTTACACTGTGATCACTCCTTACTTGAAACATTTTTATTCCTTGCTTTCTGTGAAAACAAACTTCCATTTTACTTCCTGCTTTTCTGGCTGTTCTTTCTTAGTTACAGGCAGTTAAATTTTTGGACCACCTCACTTATTGTCCTAATAATGCTCTTTATGGCTGTTCCAACTCTCTCCCCAATTCAGGATCCCATTAAGGATTACACACTATAGGTAACATTATATTTAACATGAATAACATGAATAATATTTTCATGTTAACATGAAACATTTTGGGCAAGAAATCTATAGAAGTGATGCAGTATAACTCTAAAAATATCCCTTCAGTTTTTTACATTATTGGCGATATTATCTTGGCATTCTATTATAAAGAAGAACTTTCCCTTCCTCTCTTTCTCCATTTAAAAAGTATCACTGTAAACTCATGCATTCTTGTATTTAATATATTATAGTTATTCTGTTATTCTTTTGATTTTCAAATTGACCCAGATTTGACTAATGCAAGCCTCTTCAAACTGTCTCCTGTGTTTTTTTGATATGCCGTCATCTTTCTTTGAGCACTTTTTTACTTTCTGACAAAATGAAATGTTCAAGACTTGTGCTTTTCTTTTTTCTTTTTTTTTTTCCTTTTTTTTTGAGACAGAGCCTTGCTCTGTTGCCCAGGCTGGAGTGCGGTGGTGCGATCTCACCTCACTGCAACCTTCCCCTCCCAAGTTCATGCAATTTTTGTGCCTTGGCCTCCCAAGTAGCTGGAATTACAGGCGTGCACTACCACACCCAGGTAATTTTTGTATTTTTAGTAGATACGGGGTTTCATCATGTTGGCCAGGCTTGTCTCAAACTCGTGACCTCAGGTGATCCTCCTGCCTCAGCCTCCCGAAATGCTGAGATTACAGGCATGAGCCACCGTGCCTGGCCAACTTGTGCTTTGCTTGCCCCAGCCCTGAAGTCATCAGCTTTTTCCAGAGATTCTTGGTTCCTTCTGGTGGGGAATGGTAGTAAGTCTGATTGCCTTCTCAACATATTCCCTTAAATGTCTCAAAAGTACCTTAAGTAGCGGGGCACAGTGGCCCATGCCTGTAGTTACAGCTACTCAGGAGGCCAAAGCAGGAGGATTGCTTGAGCCCAGGAGTTTGAGTCCAGCCTGGGCAACAGAGCGAGATTGTATCTCTTTAAAAAAAAAAAAAAAAAAGCACTTCAAATAGAATATTCCCCAAACGTGATTTTACTGTGATCATATCTCTTTCCCCTCATAACTGGTCTTCTTCCAATGTGCCGTATGTTAGTGATTGCGATAAAAGACCTATAGGTGTCATCTCTGACATTCCTCATCCAGGTGTACACATTGAATCTACTAACAGTTACCTTCTCAACTGGTTTTGAATCTATCCACTTCACTCAGTGAAATTCATCACCGTCATACTACCACTATAGCCTAAACTGGGGCTGCTGGAATAACCTCCTGACTGGTCTTGCATTAACCATTTTGTACCTTTTCCAAACCCTCTATCTTTCCTCGCTTTAGCCAGTGTGATCTTTTAAAATACAAATGAAATTGTCTTTCCCTTGCTTAAAACATTTTAATGGGTTTATTTGGCTCTTGGAATAAAGACAGCATTCCTTCTATATAGCCTATAAGGCCCACATGACCCACCTTTATTTCTAGCCTTCTATTAAACTCTGCTTTCCTTAATTTTTATACTCCACTCACAATGCCTTCCTTTAGTTTCCTCTGTTTCCACTGCTCTTTTCTAGGGGTCTTTGTGTGGCCTGTTCCTTTTGCCTGGAAGTGTTTTTCTTCTGTTCCAGCATAGGCTCCCATAACATCATGTATACCTCCTTCATAAAACTTGTTATGATTGCAGTTTAGCATTTGTGTATGTGTGATTATTTAATGTATATCCACTTGACCAGAGACTACCAGACTTTTTCTGTAAAGTACTAGATAGTAAATGTTTGGGGTTTTGCAAGCTGTATGGTCTCTGTTGCTCAGCTCTGCTGTTGTAGCATGAAAGCAGCCATAGATAATATGTAAACATCAGTTTGGCTGTGTTCCAATAAAACTTTATTTGCAAAGACAGACAAGATGTTGGATTTGGTCCATGAGTTACAGTTTGCCAATCTTTCCACTAGACTGTAAGCTTCTTGAGGAAAGGGATTGTATATCCCCATTACTTTGCAGAGTTTTTGGTATATAGTACGAACCCCAAAGCTTGTTGAATGTCTGTGAATGAATGAATGAATAATTGATTCAAACAATCTCTTGATCCTTCATTTCAGAATTTCAAAAATTACCACCACCCCTAATATTCCGTGAATAGCAGTCAAATATGAGATTATTCAGATGAAACAAAATGAAGTAATATAAATGTATTAATATGAAGAATTCTATAAAATCTTTTACCAAAGAAAAAGAATCAAACCAAGAATCTTTCAAAGAAGTGGAAATACTTTTGAGGAAGAGGATTATAGTTGCAAGATTTCAAGAAAGGATTAAGAATTCAAGATTTAGCTGACCAAGCATAGTGGCTCATGCCTATAATCCGAGCACTTTGGGAGGCTGAGGCAGGTGGACTGCTTGAGTCCAGGAGCTTAAGACCAGCCTGGGCAACCTGGTGAAACCCTGGCTCTACAAAAATACAAAAATTAGCCAGGTAGGGTGTCATGTACCTGTAGTCCAGCTACTCAGGAGGCTGAGGTGGGAGGATCACCCGAGCCTGGGAGGCAGAGGTTGCAGTGAGCCGGTATGGTGCCACTGCATTCCAGCCTGGGTGGCAGAGTGAGATCATCTCAAAAAAAAATGTTTTTTAAGATTTATTTTTGTAGTTATTGGAGGCAGAGGAAGGAAATGTGAAAGATATTTTAGATGCTAGCAAAATTGTAGATGTGAAGAACATGAGCATAAGACAGCATGAGTATGGAGACAGGCAGACAAAGTAGCCTCCGGTTGCAAGTGC
Source organism: Homo sapiens (assembly GCF_000001405.40). Classification (NCBI taxonomy): domain Eukaryota; kingdom Metazoa; phylum Chordata; class Mammalia; order Primates; family Hominidae; genus Homo; species Homo sapiens. Next base: position 60,899,647 of record NC_000002.12, read on the forward strand.
CATGTGAAGTTTGAACAATAGTAATGTTATTATAATTGAGTTTTGCTTCCTTATTCACGCCCACCCAATTTTACTGATGTCATGGTTTTTCCATGTGGGAACAAGTATGACTGGTGGTGGTGGGGGAGTTCCCCCCACCATCGTCTATGCTACACATATGCAAATTAGTAGTATTTGTAGCTATTGGGAAGTTTTTCATAAATGACATTTTGAAACTTGTTAAATATTGTTAGCATTAAACTTCTTTCTAATACAAAAACATTTTAGTAATTTTTTATGATGAATGGCTATAACTTTATATAATGTGGCACAAAACATATTCTACTGCTAATAACAGTGAATTCAGGGCTCAAAAAGCAAATCTCTGTGGAGCTAGGCAAGCAGCATAAATGAGTGGTGTGGATCAAGTGTAGGAGGACTAACAGGCACTGTAGCAAACTAAAGAGCCCTGAATAAATGGGGCTTAGTCCCTAGCCTGTTGTTTCTGTGCCAACCTAGTATTGCCAGGTCTTTAAAATGTACAAGAGAAGCCGGAAATCCAGATGTTCATATGCAATTACCTGATTTCTAAATGTAGATAACCTGTGCAGATTTTTAAAAATATAGGCAACACTTTTGTGAGCCTAGCAAAACATACCTGTGGGCTTCAACCTGTGAACATCTCTTTACAGCTTTTGCTTTACATTATCAAACAGACTTTATTGATTTGATTCTGAATTTGTTTGGGAGGCAAATTTTACCATTTAATATTGCTTTACTGTTAATCTATATTTTGGTATGTTTGACATAGGCATATTAGTAATTGTAAAACACTGTATGTTAAAATGATATAGTATATATTATTTTTCTTTTAACAGTTCTTAGAAGTACAACCCCACTTCTTTTTTTTTTTTTGAGGCAGAGTTTTGCTTTTGTTGCCCAGGCTGGAGTGCAATGGCGTGATCTCGGCTTACCGCAACCTCTGCCTCCCAGGCTCAAGTGATTCTCCTGCCTCAGCCTCCCGAGTAGCTGAGATTACAAGCATGTGCCACTATGCCTGGCTAATTTTGTATTTTTAGTAGAGACGGGGTTTCTCCATGTTGATCAGGCTGGTCTGGAACTCCTGACCTCAGGTGATCCACCTGCCTTGGCCTCCCAAAGTGCTGGGATTACAGGCACAAGCCACGCGCCCAGCCATATAATCCCACTTCTTACTCTCTCATCTTTATCAGAGCAATTGGAAGCACGTTCATGCTTTGGTATGTACAACTGACAGCATGATAACTTCAGTATTGCTATATGTTTGATTTTTGCAATATTCCTTGTGTTTATAATGCAGTTTTGAATATTGTTTTTTTCCTGCTAGTTTCCAAAATTTGGGTATTCGATGTGTGAAGAAAAAAGAAGTAAAAGAAGCTATTATTACAAGAATAAAGGCAGGAATCAATCCATTCAATGGTAAGTATGTTTGATAAAATCATTTCTATTTATTTGGGTGTTGATTTCTGTTTCTTTTTTCTTTCTCTTTTTTTTTTTTTTTTTTTTTTTGAGACGGAGTTTTGCTCTTGTCGCCAGGCTGGAGTGCAATGGCGCGATCTCAGCTCACTGCAACCTCCGCCTCCCAGGTTCAAGCAATTCTCCTGCCTCAGCCTCAGCCTCCGGAGTAGCTGGGATTATAGGCGCCCACCATCACACCCAGCTAATTTTTGTATTTTAAGTAGAGACGGGGTTTCACCATGTTAGCCAGGCTGGTCTCGAACTCCTGACATCAGGTGATCTACCCGCTTTGGCATCCCAAAGTGCTGGGATTACAGGCGTGAGCCATTGTGCCCAGCTATTTATATCTTCAACCTGTGTTTTAAGTTCTGTGTTTACTTTTCTACTTGTTGACATGTACCTGTATCTGAGGAATGACGTATACTATTTAAAATAGTTTCTTCACAGTTGTTGAAAAAAATCTTATGCACAGAGAGGTTTTTGGTATTGTTGGAGAGTGTCACTGTTTTATATAATAAAACTTCAAAATGTTGTGATCCTTTTGAACATGGCCTTCCTTATGCCACTTCCAGCAGACAACATACACTCCCCCCTTTTGAGTGTTAAATAGGCACTGTGTTTATAAGGTATTGGAGTGCATTTAGCTCAAGGGTAACACTTAATCCCAATGTGGAAGAAGAAGCATAGAAATAATAGAAATCACACAAAGTATTTTCATAGCATATTTGTGTATATGACTAGATATTTACTGTTCAGTGAATTTTATTGGGGATAGCATTTATTAAGTATTTATACTTATGGTACTATCTGCCTCATGCTGTAAGTATAAATGCTTAATACTCCCTGGCTAACTGTTACTTGTAAGCACTCTGTATTGTTTGAATAGATAAGTACTACCACACTAGATGCTGGCATCCTATACTTAGAGTAGCCTCCATTCTGAAGTCTTTGCAGCTACTTAAATATGCAGAAGTCAGGAATTAAATGACTGTAATATTTTCAAAGAATATATTTCTTGGTCATATTTGAGACATCCTTATACTGTTGGTTTGTATTTTTCCTGGATGTATAAAAATAATTTAAGAGATATGTTGATAATTTAAGGAATATATTCACAGGTAATTACTGTTTTATGAACCATAAGATCTGCATCTCTTTAGGTTTTATTTTTCACACTATTTAGTATAAAGCGGAAAGTAAAAGTCACCTTCTTCCCTTCCAGTCTTACCAGGGGAGACTGCTATTAAGTTTGATGTATATTTTTCTAGAATTTTCTTTATACATGTGTAGTTATATGTAGACATATATATTTTATAAAAAAGGAATCATGCTATATATCCTATTCTACTCCTTCATTTTTTTCCACTCAGGAATATACCTTAAACTTTCCATGTCAATACTTACAAATCTGTTTTTTTTTTTAACAGAATATTTTATTGTTTGGGTAGAACATAATTTGTTTATTTAGTCATCTTTTTTTTTTTTTTTTTTGAGGTAGTCTTGCTCTGTCGCCCAGGATGGAGTGCAGTGATGTGATCACAGATCACTGCGGCGTTGACATCCTGGGCTCAAGCGGTCATCCCACCTCAGCCTCCCAAGTTGTTGGTGCACCACCATGCCCATGCCCAGCTAGTTTTTGTATTTTTTGTAGAGACAGGGTCTCGCCATGTTGCCCAGGCTGGTCTCAAAACTCCTGAGCTCAGCAATCCACTTGCCTCGGCCTTCTAAAGTGCTGGGATTACAGGCATGAGCCACTGCACCCGGTCTATTTAGTCTTCTATTAATGAACATGTATGTTGTTTTCATTTTGTTTTAAAAGCTCCACTGAATATACACTGTGAGCTCTTGTGTGATTATTTCCCTAGGATAAATTTTTGGAAGTGGAAAATTTCTGGGTCAAGAGTATGCTCATTTAAAATTGTGATTCATTGCCAAATTAATAGGCCAGACTTTTAAAGAGGCAGGTAAGTCTAGATGCAATATAAAACAAGGAAATTATAAGTGATAGCTATCATTTATTAAGCACTTCTTGTATGTCAGGGAGTAAACGTTAGTGCTTTATGCACACTACTTTATTTAATCGTTGGAACAATTCTGCTTTATGGAAGAGAATGCCAAGACTTTTGTTATTTAACTGTCCCAAATCATGCTGCAAATATAAGTGGCAGACCTGGAATTCATATGCAGGTTCCTTGACTCCAGTGGTAAAGGCATTAAAAAGGAAGATGCTGTCTGTGGAATTTCTTTTTCTTAGTTTTGGCAGCTCAGAATCAGGCTTGTTTTTTGAGATGCCCGGGCTGGAGTGCAGTGATGTGATCACAGCTCACTGCAGCCTTGACCTCCCAGGCTCAGGTGATTCTCCCACCTCAGCCTCCTAAGTAGCTGGGATTACAGGTGTGCATCACCATGCCCAGCTAATTTTTTTTTTTGAGACAGAGTCTCACTCTGTCACCCAGGCTGGAGTGCAGTGTCACAATCTCGACTTGCTGCAACCCTCACCTCCTGGGTTCAAGCGATTCTCGTGCCTCAGCCTCTCGAGTAGTTGGAATTGTAGATGTATACTACGCCTGGCTAATTTTTGTATTTTTATTAGACACAGGGTTTCACCATGTCAGCCAGCCTGGTGTTGAACTCCCAACCTCAAGTGATCCTCCTGCCTCAGCCTCCCAAAGTGTTGGGATTACAGGTGTTAGCCACCACGCCTGGCCAGAGTTTCTGTATTTTTTGTAGAGATGGGTTTTGCCATATTCTCCAGGCTGATTTCAAACTCCTGGGGTCCAGTGATCCGCCTGCCTTGGCCTCCCAAAGTGCTGGGATTACAGGTGTGAGCCACTGGGCCCGACTCAGGCATGATATTAATAGTGAATTCTCATAATGGCAATTAAAATAGTTGTTGGTAGATAGTAAGTGCTTTATATATTTTATTTCATTTAATCCTTATAACAGCCTACGAAATAGGTACTATTAATAACTCAATTTTAAAAATAAGAAAATGGAAGCATAGAAAAGTGAACTCAGGCTTGTAATCCCAGCACTTTGGGAGGCCGAGGTGGGGGGATCACGAGATCAGGAGTTCGAGACCAGCCTGACCAACATGGTGAAACCTTGTCTCTACTAAAAACACAAAAAATTGGCTGGACGTGGTGGCACGCGCCTGTAGTCCCAGCTACTTGGGAGGCTGAAGCAGGAGATTCGCTTGAACCCAGGAGGTGGAGGTTGCAGTAAGCCAAGATTGCTCCACTGCACTCCAGCCTGGGCGACAGAACGAGACTCTGTCTCAATTAAAAAAAAAAAAAAAATTAGCCGGGCGTGGTGGCGCACACCTGTGATCCCAGCTACTCAGGAGGCTAAGGCAGGAGAATCGCTTGAACCCAGGAGGCGGAGGTTGTGGTGAGCCGAGATCACGCCATTGGACTCCAACCTGGGCAACAAGAGTGAAACTCCATCTCAAAAAAAATAATTAAAAAAAAAAAAAATCAAGTAGGCCAGGCACGGTGTCTTATGCCTGTAATCCCAGCACTTTGGGAGGCCAAGGTGGAGAGGATTGCTTGAGCCCAGGAGTTTGAGATCAGCCTGGGCAACATGGTAAAACCCCATCTCTACAAAAATTTTTTTTAATTAACCAGATGCAGGGGTGCACAACTGTGGTCTTAGCTACTCAGGAGGCCGAGGTAGGAAAATTGCTTCAGCCTGGGAGGTCAAGGCTGCAGTGAACGGTGTTCTCACTATTGCACTTCAGCCTGAGCGACGGAACAAGACCCCGTCTCTAAGTAAAGAAAAGGAAAGTAATTTGTTCAAGGTTATATAGCTGATGAGTGGTAGAGCTAGGATTTGAACATAGGGAGCCCCTGACTCTAAGGTCATGGTTTTAACAACTCTACCATGCCGCCTGGATGAATATTGATTTGGGGAAGGAACAATCCTGCCAGTTAATCCTTCCCACTATTTATGTTTCCTGTTGTTGTTTACTTGTTTTTTCTTTGTTTGTTTGTGATGGAGTCTCCCTCTGTCGCCCAGGCTGGAGTGCAGTGGCACGATCTCGGCTCACTGCAAGCTCCGCCTCCCGGGTTCACACCATTCTCCTGCCTCAGCCTCCCGAGTAGCTGGGACTATAGGCACCCGCCACCGCACCCGGCTAATTTTTTGTATTTTTAGTAGAGATGGGGTTTCATCGTGTTAGCCAGGATGGTCTCAATCTCCTGACCTTGTGATCCGCCCGCCTCAGCCTCCCAAAGTGCTGGGATTACAGGCATGAGCCACCACACCCAGCCTGTTTGCAAATTCATTCCTTCCCGAGCCTTTCAGCAGTGGTTCTCAATTTGAATGTGCATAGGAATATCTTAGTACTGTTAAAAATGTAGATTTCAGGCCACACTTCCACTAATTTGATAGGGCTGGTATGGGTCCTGGGAATCTACATTTTAAAAAATATTTTTAAAATAATAACTTATCCGAGTCACATGGCACCAAAGTGTGTTAGCAGCCAAAAGTATCTGTTCGGGTCTGCAGCAGCCCCAATTCTTGCCTCCTCAGGAGACAGAAGGAGAGACCGAGACAAGTTTTAGAGCAGGAGTGAAAGTTTATTAAAAAGCCTTAGAGCAGGAAGGAAAGGAAGAAAAATACACTTGGAAGAGGGCCAAGCAGGTGACTTGAAAGACAGGTGTGCTGGGAATCTGCATTTTAACAAACATCTAGATCAGTATTTCTTAACTCTTTCACCATGACCCACAGTAAGAAATAGATTTTGTTTTTGAGTTCAATATATATACATACACCACACCCTTAGGACAGCGATACCCTATGTATTAGTCCGTTTTCACTCTGCTGATAAAGACACACCTGAGACTGTGAAGAAAAAGAAGTTTAATTGGACTTACAGTTCCACATGGCTGGGGAGGCCTCAGAATCATGGCGGAGGTGAAAGGCACTTCTTAGATGGTGGCAGCAAGAGAAAATGAGGAAAATGCAAAAGCGGAAATCCCTGATAAAACCATCATATCTTGTGAGACTTATTCACTACCACGAGAGCAGTATGGGGGAAACCACCCCCATGATTCAAATTATCTCCCACTGGGTCCCTCCCACAACACATGAGAATTATGGGAGTACAATTCAAGATGAGATTTGGGTGGAGACACAGAGCCAAACCATATCGCCCCACTACATGCAGTGTACTCAATTCTATTCTGTACCTTTCCTTTCCCTTCTTTTTCTTTCTCTCTTGCATTGTTAGTGCTTACCCAGCCCACTAAATTAATTTTACAATCAGTGGTTCCCAAGCTACAATTTGAAAATCTCTATCTGAGATGATTCTGATGCAAGTGATCCACAGAGTATACTCTGAGAAACTTTGATCTGATCTACATGCTGAGTTCAGCTTCTCAAATATGGCCTTTAAAGCCCTTCATAATCTGGAAGCCTTCCTTTCCATTCTAGCTTTCATTCTGTACCTCAGCTTCCTACCCCTCCTTCCTCTACCACTGAGTGCACACATGCACTTACTTGTTTTTGCCGTTCTGAACTATCTGCACTGTTAGAAGAGCCATGTTCTTTCTTACCTCTGTGCTTTTATACATGCAGTTCCTTTGCATGAAATACCCTGATCTGCCTGGTGAATTTTTCTTACTCACCCTCCAAGTTTAAGGATCACATCGTCTTTAAAGCCTTCCCTGACCTTCTCTCTGTTTTCCCAAAGTACCTGTGTGTGTGTGTATATATATATGTGTGTGTATGTATGTGTGTGTGTGTGCGTGTGTGTATGTGTGTGTGTGTATATATATATATATATATATTTTTTTTTTTTTTTTCTTTTCCGAGACAGAGTTTCGCTCTTGTTGCCCAGGCTGGAGTGCAATGGTGCAATCTTGGCTTACCGCAACCTCCACCTCCCAGGTTCAAGCAATTCTCCTGCCTCAGCCTTCTGAGTAGCTGGGACTACAGGCACGCGCCACCATGCCCAGCTAATTTTTTTTGTATTTTTAGTAGAGATGGGGTTTCACCATGGCCAGGCTGGTCTTGAACTCCTGACCTCAGGTGATCCGCCCACCTTGGCCTCCCAGAGTACTGGGATTACAGGCGTGAGCCACCGCACCCAGCCAGTACCTGTACATATTTCTAATATGGTTTGCTATAACTTTGATTACATGTTTTTCCTACACTAAATCATGAAATTCTGGAGGATGAGGACTGTCTTCCTTGTATCTCTGGCACATGAAAGAAGCTTAATTAAAATGTGTTAAAAGGGCCAGGCACGGTGGCTCATGCCTGTAATCCCAGCCCTTGGGGAGGCCAAGATGGGTGGATCACTTGAGTCTAGTTCGAGACCAGCCTGGGCAATGTGGTGAAACCCCATCTCTACAAAAAATTGGCTGGGCATGGGTGCGTGCTGCAAGTCCCAGCCTGCTCCAGAGGCTGAGGTAGGAGGATCACTTGAGCCTATCAGGCTGGGTTGCAGTGAGCCCAGATTGTGCCACTGCACTTCAGCCTGGGTGACAGTGAGACCCCGTATCAAAAAAACAAACAAACTAAAACGGTTGAAAGAATAAATGGACGAACATGTCATATTTGTACTTTTCTTTTTTTTTTTTTTACGGAGTCTCGCTCTGTTGCCCAGGCTGGAGTGCAGTGGTGTGATCTCGGCTCACTGCAAGCTCTGTCTCCCAGGTTCACACCATTCTCCTGCCTCAGCCTCCCGAGTAGCTAGGACTACAGGTGCCCGCCACCATGCCCAGCTAATTTTTTTGTATTTTTTAGTAGAGACAGGGTTCCACCGTGTTAGCCAGGATGGCCTCGGTCTCCTGATCTCGTGTTCCGTCCACCTCGGCCTCCCAAAGTGCTGGGATTACAGGCTTGAGCCACCACGCCCCGCCTTATTTGTACTTTTCTACCAAAAATATCACAGTTGTTTTCCTTACCTGAGATGCCCTGAAAGCCTTCTCAGTTCTCTTAAGTCTGAGATAACATCTTCCTAATTATACGGTATACTCAGCAATTAATCATTGAAAGTTTTGTGTTATCTGTTAGATCATTTGATTCTTCAGGAATTTTCTTAAAATATTAATTTCATGCTACTTGTGGACAGGGTCTGTGATGGAATCTTGTTTCCATTTCACTTTGGCACCTAAACAATGTATTTGTTTTACTGTTATCTCTATCTTCTCAGCTAAGTGCCTTGAGCTATTGAGTTTCCTACCTGCACACAATAGATTCCCCAACTAGTGTGTTTTAAGGCCGGCCTTTATCTTTCTTGCCATTTGTTCTTTAAAACTAAGAAACAGTCTCTAGCAAACGGGGCATAAAGCAGTCTAATACTGTCAAATTTGAGGCTTCAAGTAAAGGATTATTCAAATTGTCTAATTGCCAAAGTCTAAATTGGGTGAGGAATTTAATTAGGGACTCCAATATCAGATTTTAACAGTGTTTACTTAGCTAGAACAAGAGTGGCAGTTAGACTTTGTAGAGGACTCTTAACTGCAAAAGCTGAAAAAAATTTGTAATTATATATCATTTTCTAGTTATGTACTTTGGTAATGAAATGTTAGGATTTCTAGTATGCGGCAGTTAAACTCCATAGAATATCTAAACTGTATATTAAATTTTGTGCAATAAAATTGATTTTGACAATAAAGAATTTGCAATTAAGTTTTATTAGGTAGTTTACTGTTTTCCCATGTAGAGAATCTTGAGTTGTTATGAGAGTAAAAGGCTGCTATACAGTTGAGTTTGGGAAAACTACATTACTTAGTAGTCTGAAAGGGAATACAGTTTAATAAGTAGTCTAACATAGATTCTTATCTCTAAAGTCTGGTCTAATACAAGAAAAAGCCTTTCCTTACAACTGAAAACTTAAAGTTTGAAAAAATGGCTCATGTGTACTTCATTGTCCTTTCTTTATTGCAGTCAGAGTTTTCGAAGCCTTTTTTTCATTACCCTAGGCAGAACTTGTGTACTTTCTTGCTTTCAGTATTCCTTGAGCATATTTCCATTATAAAGTTTTTCATGTTGTATTATATAATTTTAGTTTATGTATCTATTTCTCATCCAGATACTCATCTCACTAAGGTCAGGCATTGTCTTTTCAAATTTGTATCTAACACTTTACTATGGTAGCACATAATAGATACTCAATAAGTATGTTGAAAGGTTGAGTAAATTAATGATATACTTCTAGTATACTTCTAGCACCTTTACTGTTTGCCTGGCACATGAACACTTAAATGTCAACTTTTATTATTATACATAGGGGATACTTTATATACTTTTTAAGTAACAAAAATGTAAATTAATTATAACTAAATTTTATATTTTTCCTTAAGTGAGACTTAGTTCATTTTTTTTTTTTCTATTATTTGTAGAGACAGGGTCTCCGTATGTTGCCCAGGCTGGTCTTGAACTCCTGGGCTTAAGTGATCCTCCTGCCTCGGTTTCCAAAAGTGCTGAGATTACAGGCATGAGCCACCATGCCCGACTGAGACATAGTTCTTAAAATTGTTATTCCAGGCTGGGCGCAGTGGCTCACGCCTGTAATCCCAGCACTTTGGGAGGCCGAGATGGGCGGATCACGAGGTCAAGAGATACAGACCATCCTGGCCAACATAATGAAACCCTATCTCTACTAAAAATACAAAAATTAGCTGGGCATGGTGGCGTGCACCTCTAGTCCTAGCTACTTGGGAGGCTGAGGCAGGAGGAGAATCAGTTGAACCAGGAGGCGGGGGTTGCAGTCAGCTGAGATGGCGCCACTGCACTCCAGCCTGGCGACAGAGCAAGACTCCATCTCAAAAAAAATAAAATTATTATTCCATATGCTGTGTATTTTTGCCTTGTTATTTATTTTTATTTCAGTAGTGTTTGACAGTATTAGAATTTTAGAAATGTTACACTTCTAGAGCTAGTAGACATAATTGATTTTTAAAATTTAATTCCTGCTTATGAAAAATATAGCATGATAATATCTTCTTGGTTAAGAATGAAATTCTCATTACACACCTACTGATTTTAGGGTTAAAGGAGTGATATTTCTTTCTAAAGGTAGATTAAACATTTAACATAAAAAGGAAGGGGCTGGGCACGGTGGCTCACACCTGTAATCCCAGCACTTTGGGAGGCTGAGGTGCGCAGATCACGAGTTCAGGAGATCAAGACCATCCTGGCTAACAGGGTGAAACTCCGTCTCTACTAAAAATACAAAAAATTAGCCGGGCATGGTGGCGGGCGCCTGTAGTCCCAGCTACTCGGGAGGCTGAGACGGGAGAATGGCGTGAACCCGGGAGGCGGAGCTTGCAGGGAGCCAAGCTCACATCACTGCACTCCAGCCTGGGTGACAGAGTGAGACTCCATCTCAAAAAAAAAACAAAAAACAAAAAAAAAAAAAACATAAAAAGGAAGGAGAACAGGAGAACAGTTATTACCTTATATTTTGACTAACTACAAAGTGAAATTTTAAACTAGTTTAAGAGGAATTTGAGAGAAGTCGATTGGTCTCATGCTTCCTTCCGTTAGTTTCTGCAAATGTTAAAACTGAGTATCAGGCCAGGCACGGCCACTCACACCTGTAATCCCAACACTGGGGGCCCAAGGTGGGTGGATCACTTGAGGTCAGGAGTTCCAGACCACCTTGGCCAACATGGTGAAACCCCGTCTCTACTAAAAATACAAAACTTAGCCAGGCATGGTGGTGCATGCCTGTAATCCTAGCTGCTTGGGAGGCTGAGGCGTTAGAATCTCTTGAACCCTGGAGGCAGAGGCTGCAGTGAGCCAAGATCACAACACTGCACTCTAACCTGGGCGACAGAGTGAGACTCTGTCTCAAACAAAACAAACAAAACTGAGTATCAATTTTGACATTACAGAATAAAACACTGCATTTTGTATTATAGAATGATATGTATCTATTAAAATGCCTACAGCAAGCATTATCCTAAATAAGAGAAATATCAGAAACATTCGCTTTGAAGTTAAGAATGAGAAACCAAGGCACACTTTTACCACTTGTATTCAACATCGTAGTGAAGGTCATAGCCAGAGCAGTGAGCATTGTAGCCAGTGTACAGTAAGACCCCCCAAAAAGTAGAGGCATAGGATTGAAAAATGAGGAAATAAAACTATAATTATTTGAAATTATTATAGTGATAACCCAAAAGATATATAAATGGATTATTTAGATAAGTTTAAAAGAGTGAGCTTTGTGCATTGGCAGTATAGCCAAGTGAGGTTTATCTTAGGAGTGGTTATTGTTAATTGAAAACTTTTTCCTAATATCCTGCTGTCATGACTTGCAGTATAGTCAGCATTGGCAATTTTTGACAGTCTTTTTGGAGACTGAATAAAAAATAAAGTTTAAAAGGGTTAGTGGATGTAAAATTAATATATAAAGGTCAGTCATATTTCCATATCTCAGCAGCAAATAACTGGAAAACATCATTAAAACAAATATTGTCAGGAGATATGAAGTATGTAGAAACAAATCAAAGAAATGATAAGATTTCTTTAGGGAAAATTATAAAATTTTATTATGAGATCTTAGAGAATACTTAAATAAATGGAGAGGTATTCCGTGTTCTCTAATAGTAATATTGTAAAAATGTCATTTTCCCAGGCCGGGCGTGGTAGCTCACACCTGTAATCCCAGCACTTTGGGAGGCCGAGGCGGGCGGATCACAAGGTCAAGAGGTTGAGACCATCCTGGCCAAGATGATGAAACCCCATCTCTACTTAAAATACAAAATTAGCTGGGCGTGGTGGCACAGGCCTGTAGTCCCAGCTACTCGGGAGGCTGAGGCAGGAGAATCACTTGAACCCGGGAGGCGGAGGTTGCAGTGAGCTGAGATCGTGCCACTGCACTCCAGCCTGGGCAAAGAGCAAGACTGTCTCAAAAAAAAAAAAAAAAAAAAAAAAAGTCATTTTCCCCCAATTGATAAGTAGATTCAATGCAACTCCATATTAAATGTGATAATTCTAAACAGGAACAGAATATAGAAAAAGAACAATGAGGAGAAATTGACCTCATCAGATAGAAGTATTAATACTAATTAAGGCAGTGTCATATTGGGATAAGAATAGATAGATTGACTCATTGGAGTAGAATTGAGAGCCCAGAAGAGACTCCAATCACCTGTGACCCTGAACTGGAATAATTGGGTAAATCATTATCTTAACTTGTTTTTATTAATCTTTCTTAAATGTATGTATAGCTCAGATTTATTTCAATATTTAATATTGCAAGCGTTTTGGTCTTATAAATTTAGTGATGTTTTTGTGACCCATAGTCTGCCGTAGAAACTTAACTCTTATTAATATTGATTAGCCTATGGTAAAATTGGTTTTATTATGGTGTTGTTTCGCTTGAAGTTGCAATTTCCAAGAACCTATAGACATCATCCTAGAAGACATTAAGTGAAGACTTACTGTGTATATAAGCAGATTTGAAATTAAAAATATAAAAGATCTTCTGAAGTTGCAACAGTGCTCAGAAGTATTATAAAATAGAAATAAATCATTTCCAAAAGAGAGATTTCATTTTTGCCCAAAATCTTTCTTCTAAGCTATAAAAGACAAAACTGTTCAATACACAGTTTTGTCAATTTAAATCTACATATTCACCCAATTTTTATAAGATAAAATAAAAATGTATAATTATTGAAAAAAGAATTGAGAGCCCAGAAACAGAGCTAAGGAAATATGCGACTTTAGTGTATGACAGAGGTGGCATGTCATATCAAGAGGAAAGGAGGAAATGTTTGAGAAATGAAGCTTGAAAAAAAAATAGTTATTTAATTAAGTCGGATTCCCTACCTCACATCATATACAAATATCAGCTGAAGATGGATTAAAGGCTTTAAAAGTGAATCAACATTTTAAAAACTTTTGGTAGACTATGTTGGTAAACATTTTAATCCTTGAGGTATAAAAAGACAAGACACAAAGTGTTTTCTATAAAACTTTTGATAAATTTGATTATATTCTTAATTTCAATTTATTATATTTTTCAGTTCTAGAATTTGATTCCTTTTTTTCAGTTTCAAGTTCTCCAGTAAACTCTCAATCTTAATTCCTTGAATATATTAAGTATAGTTACTTTAAATTATATGTCTGAAAACTTCATTATTTGGATCCTTTGTGGTATGTTTTTATTGCCTGTTGCTTTCTTTTAAAAAAAAATTTTTTATTTTGCCTCCTCATATGTGTGGTTATTTAAGATAAAATACCAGTCATTTTCTGTGAAAAAGAGTAAAGATTTTAGGCCTACAATATTATCTCCCTGCAGAAAATTTTCTTCTGGCTAGTGGCCGGGTACACTAGCAATCCCAGGTCACCTAAAATCAGTGAATGATTTAGGTTATTTGAAGTTGGGCTTTCATCCCTGAAATCTGATATGTTTCCAGTTCACCCTTACTCCTAGGGTATAGCTCTTTCAGACCTCAAATCCCCCAAAGCCTTGGGTATTTATCAGATCCCACATCCTTGGCAAACTCTCAACTCCTTTATTTTTTCCCTATAGTTTATTGAGAGTTCATCTCAATCTTCTTAACCATCTCTTAGAAAATTGTCAGGCTATATTCAGATAAAAGTGGCCTCTCATTCTGAACTGTGGGTTTTCTTCTCTCATATCTTGGTCGCATGGTTTTTCATGACCTTGTTAGCTCTCTAATGTCATTAGAGAAATTTTGTTTCATATTTTGTCCACTTTATTCTCATGGTTGAATTGGTCCAGTTTACAGATTATCATCTATCATTACCAAAGTAGAACTTCTTTTTATTAACGTTTACTTTATGCTTTCTTCAGTAACTTGTAAAAGTATCTAAATGTTTGGTTGTTCAATAGGACTTTAAGTAATTCTTCAGTCATTTATGTTAATTGAGAAAATGTATAATAAATATCACTACTAGGTTCAACACCTAGTGGAGATACATCAGACATCCCTTCTGACTTCATTTGAAACTTTGTCTAATAGGATAGAAGAGGCATACATAAATGATTATCATGTAAGATTTTAAAACTTTTAAGGGCATAAGAAAGGTATAGGTCAAGTCTTGCACTGATTTAGAGAGGAGAAATATTCCCTCCATTGCAGAGGATGAAGTTAGGCTTTATAGAAAAGAAGCTTTGAGCTGGGGTTTCAGCCTTACACTGAATCTTGCATTGGGTAAAAACGGGTATCTGTCATGATTCTTGCCTGTCAGTAGTTTTTAACCATGTTGTGCAGAGATGAAAGTAATTCTGATGCAGTAGTAATTGTATTTCCACACATTGAGAAGATTCAAAGCAAAATCTCATAAACAGTGATTTTTTTTGAGAAGTAAGTAGAATTTCTTCCCTGTAGTAGAACTATTATGTGACTAAATGTTTTTGAACTTTGGCTTATTGACCAGTTTGTTTATTTTTCTTTTATGTGCCATTTAAAAATATTTAAAATAAACTTTTATTGAGATACAATAAAATCTACCCGAATATGTCCTGCTACATAACCACAATCAAGCTATGGAACATTTCCATCACCCCCTAAAATTTCCCTGGTCCCCTTCTCGCTCAGTTCCCTACCCTGCCTCTGCCTCAGGCAATTACTAATCTGCCTTCTGTCACTGGAGATTAATCTTTTCTAAAACTGCATGTAAATGGAAGCATACAGTATACTTTTGTATCTGGTTTCTTTTGCTCAACATGGTTTTGAGATACATTCATTTGGGAGTGTATACCCATAGCTTGTTTTTTTGTTTTTTTTTTTTTTTTGAGATGGAGTCTTGCTCTGTCGCCCAGGCTGGAGTGCAGTGGCACAATTTCGGCTCACTGCAAGCTCTGCCTCTCGGGTTCACCATTCTCCTGCCTCAGCCTCCCAAGTAGCTGGGATTATAGGCGCCCGCCACCACGCCTGGCTAATTTTTTGTATTTTTAGTAGAGGCGGGGTTTCACCGTGTTAGCCAGGATGGTCTCGATCTCCCAACCTCATGATCCACCCACCTCGGCCTCCCAAAGTGCTGGGATTACAGGTGTGAGCCACCACGCCTGGCCAGTTTGTTCTCTTTTATTGCTGAGTTTATTCCATTGTAGGTCTATACCACACTTTGTTTATCCATTCACAGAGTTCACATAGGTTTGTTTTTAAACTTACCAGGAACATCTAGCTACAAATTTATCTTTTTTGCATATTGATTACTCATCTTTGCAATTGAGAGACACTAATATCTTGAATGCTACATTTATAATGCTGTAAAAATGGATTTTGAAGAGGTAGCTCTCATATTGCCTACACAATAGTGCCAGTAGAGTATGCTGCTGTAACACAAGTGTTGGTATCATAACATTTTGACCTTTCAGTTGTACAGAGTACAGATGTGTTTTTATGCACTGTTTCAAAGATTAAGCATAAGAATGCTAATACTGGGATACTTATAAATGTTGTGATAGCTAAGTAGACTCTCAATGTCATTAAATAAAAACAGTACAAAATACATTATCAGTTTTATTAGTTATTGCCTGTAAAATAAGGAATTTGGGCTTAACTATGTTTCTAAATTTAGTGTTTCAAAATTTAATACTTTGCAAAGTAAAATTGTTATGTAAATAATGTGCATGTCTTGCTTTTTAAAAATATGACTTATTGCTATAGCTTATGGCATTTGAAAAGGCAATATTTTCTTTTGGAACTGGATTTCTGGTTCAAATACTAATTTAACAAACTATTATACTATATTCTATCATGAGCTTTTCTAGTTTTATAGAACTGTAAAATTTTTAATTAAAACATTTTTTAAGTTTGCACGTAAAATTTCTTATGGAAACTAGCTATCTTAACATTTTTTTGTTTCTTGGTATTTCATCCTTAAAATGTTGATCCACATTTAGTAGATACTCTTGTGTATGTCATTTTTATGTACAACACATGTACAATTTTCTAATAGATTTCAATTTTTAAAAGCATAGGCTCTAAATTTAATGACTTGAGTTCACATTTCCACCCTGTCACTGTGAAACTTTGGGCAAGTAATTCATCTCTTTACAGTCAGTTCCAGGCCAGGCTCAGTGGCTCACGCCCATAATCCCAACACTTTGGGAGGCCAAGGTGGGTGGATCACTTGAGCCTGGGAGTTTGAGACCACCCTGGGCAACATAGTGAAACCCCATCTCTACAAAAAAATAGAAAAATTAGCTGGGCGTGGTGGCATGTGCCTGTAGTCCCAGCTACTCAGGAGGCTGAGATGGGAAGATCACTTGAGCCTGGGAGGCGGAGGTTGAGGTGAACCAAAATCGCATCACTGCACTCCAGCCTGGGCAACAGAGTGAGACCCCCATGTCAAAAAAACGAACTAAACTCAGTTCCTCGTTTGTAAAATGGGGATGAAAGTAATTCTTGTACAGATTTAGGAGATAATTTACAGAGTCCTTAACACAACAACTGGACCAAATACATACTTGTTGAATGAATGGGTAAATGCCATTCTTTGTTGTGTACAAACCTGCAACTATTTTTTAAAACTTTGATTTGTTATTAATGTCAACTTGGGATTTTGCTTTAAATCCCAGGTGAGGGGATAGTTACTTCCTGAACATGGCTATAATTTATCAAATACTGTTAGATAGTGATTACTTGATAAGAATGATAAAAGGCATTCTTGAGATTGTATACTGTTCTATTTTTATTCATACATATTTGGATGCTATTCAAGGTTATTGGCTATAATGGGCAGGGAGGAGGACCTAGCAAGTCTTTAGGTCTATGTGACTATTACATTTAAAAAATTTTTTTTTTCTATTCAGTCCCTGAAAAACAGCTGAATGATATTGAAGATTGTGACCTCAATGTGGTGAGACTGTGTTTTCAAGTTTTTCTCCCTGATGAACATGGTAATTTGACGACTGCTCTTCCTCCTGTTGTCTCGAACCCAATTTATGACAACCGTAAGTACTTCATTTTCTTATATTTGTAGTCTTAACTTGTTTTTTGTAATAGTTTAATTCTTAAAATTATTTTGGTAATTAGGAAAACAATATATTCATGATAGGAAAACTTCCAGACATTAGAGAAATATATAACAGAAAGGAAATCTTCTCTAATCTCATCCTCCAGAGATAATCACTATCCTTAGGTGCATATTTTACCAGTTTCTTCTTCCTGTATATACACAGATACATTGTCATCATCATCATTTTTGACACAGTACAATTTTGGCAACTTAAAATCATAAGTGATGATTGTTTTAAAAACTAACTTTCTTCTTACCATATATCTTGGACATTTTCCTTTTAATCACCTTATTCTTTTCAGTAGCAGCATATTTTATTATGTAGTTATATCATAATTTTATTAATTACCCTCTTACAAGGCATTTGGTTTGTTTCTTTTCTCATTTTTTCTTTTTGGCCTAGCAAACTGTACTGCAATACATATTCTTGTATATTTTTTTTTATTGGTTTTTTTTTTTTTTTTGGAGACAGGGTCTCACTCTGTCACCCAGGCTGGAGTGCAGTGGTGCAGTCATGGCTCACTGCATGGCAAATGCTGGCTCAAAGGATATGGATATATCTCATTTTGAAAGATTATGAAACTTTCCCCCAAAATACTGTGTGTGTGTGTGTGTGTGTGTGTGTGTGTGTGTACGTGTGTGTGTGTGTACATAGACTTAGATATACGTCCACCAATGGTGTATGATATACCTGTTTTATGTGTAGAAGGATAGAGAGACTTAGGGCTATAAAGGAAGCATGAAAGTTGTATTGCCATAGGGAGATGTATTGCCATAGGGAAAATTGTATTGCCATGGGGATGTGGTCATGATTTATGAAGATTAATCTGGTGACAGTGGGTAGGATTGATTGGCGGAATCAGAATTTAGAAGCAGGGAGATGTAATTAGAGAATATGTCATTACCTAGAAATGAAGCCACAAAGTCTAAAGTAAAGCAGTTAGAAAGGAAGTGGACAGATAAATAGATGATTAATGTATTTAGTGTCATTTATCTATACACTAAAACTTTTATTCTGTGAATGCTTTTCCTCAAATTCTTCCCTGCAAAAAGAAATAAAATATTACTAAGGTAGCAACTCATTTTTTTGAAAATCCTTTATATTTAGGTGCTCCAAATACTGCAGAATTAAGGATTTGTCGTGTAAACAAGAATTGTGGAAGTGTCAGAGGAGGAGATGAAATATTTCTACTTTGTGACAAAGTTCAGAAAGGTATTTATTTATTTCATTGAATTTAGAATAAATTTTAGATTAATAGATGCAGTTACTTTGTTTTCCCATTTTTTTTTTTTTGGTTTCTTATTGACTAGATGACATAGAAGTTCGTTTTGTGTTGAACGATTGGGAAGCAAAAGGCATCTTTTCACAAGCTGATGTACACCGTCAAGTAGCCATTGTTTTCAAAACTCCACCATATTGCAAAGCTATCACAGAACCCGTAACAGTAAAAATGCAGTTGCGGAGACCTTCTGACCAGGAAGTTAGTGAATCTATGGATTTTAGATATCTGCCAGATGAAAAAGGTATGACATTTTGCTGGTAATAATTTATATATTTCTTGAAGTGGTCCTGCTAATAACATCTTCTTGTAATATTCATTTGAGTACAGTTATGTATATTCATAATTTATGTTTCTTTTCCTGGAAGCTTTCTGTTGGTTTTTTCTTTATGCTCTTTGCATCTCTTTATTTGTTGGGTTGTTTTTTGTTTTGTTTTGTTTTGTTTTTGAGACAGAGTCTCACTGTCACCCAGGCTAGAGTGCAGTGGCGCAATCTTAGCTCACTGTAACCTCCTCCTCCCGGGTTCAAGCGATTCTTCTGCCTCAGCCTCCTGAGTAGCTGGGACTATAGGCACGTGCCACCACGCTGGGCTACTACTTTTGTATTTTTAGTAGAGACAGGGTTTCACCATGTTGGCTAGGCTGGTCTCTGCATCTCTTTCTTCAAGAAGAGGTTTGATTAGTATGGAATAATTTCAAAGTATCTAAACTGCTTACTAAAATTTCTATTTTATTTTTGAAGGTCTGTTTTAGTCTTTGTGCACTTACCACTCAGAGAGTAGTCTCTATATTGGTTTCTTATCAAACCTTATTGCATTAGTTGACATTATTGACTTGTGTGATAAGAAAACAAGATGAATATTTTAAACAGCTTGTTTTGGGTTTTTTTTGAGACAGGGTCTCACTCTGTCACTCAAGCTGGAGTACAGTGGCATGATCGTGGCTCACCAGAGCCTCAGCCTCCTGGGCTCAGGTGATCATCCCACCTCAGCCTCGTGAGTACCTGGGACTATAGGTGCGCACCACCACACTTGGCTAATTTTTGTGGGGTTTTTTTGTTTTTTTGTTTTTTTGTTTTTGAGATGGAGTCTTGCTCTGTCTTGCCCAGGCTGGAGTACAGTGGCGCAATCCTGGCTCACTGCAGCTTCTGCCTCCTGGGTTCAAGCAATTCTCCTGTCTCAGCCTCCCAGGTAGCTGGGACTACAGGCATGCGCCACCACACCCGACTCATTTTGTATTTTTAGTAGAGATGGGGTTTCACCATGTTGGCCAGGCTGGTCTCAAACTCCTGACCTCAGGTGATTCACCCACCTCAGCCTCCCAAAGTGCTGGGATTGCAGGTATGAGCCACTGCGCCTGGCCAATTTTTCTGTTTTTTTATGGAGACAGGGTTTTGTCATGTTGCTTAGGTTGGCCTCAAACTCCTGCGCTCAAGTGATCCACCTGCCTCAGCCTCCCAAAGTGCTGAGATTACTTTAAACAATTTTTTACTAAGAGAAAAATATCCTTTTCTACTGATACTACTGATTTGGGACATATTCTATAATACTTATTAAATCCAACTTACATACATATTTATTGAAAACATTTTCTATATGTGAATAAAATATTTGTTTATTAAAGGAGAGGATACAATCCTATAATTTTTTATCTGCTTTCCTGGTTTCTTTCTAATCAGATACTTACGGCAATAAAGCAAAGAAACAAAAGACAACTCTGCTTTTCCAGAAACTGTGCCAGGATCACGGTAAGAATAGTTTGGATCGATTCATATTTAAATAGGTTTTGTTTTATTTACTTTATTCAGTTTTTCAAATTTTATTATTTTTGTTTTGTTTTGTTGTTTGTTTGTTTTTTGAGATAGCATCTCTCTCTGTCACCCAGGCTGGAGTGCAGTAGGGCAATCTCAACTCACTGCAACCTCTGCCCCCCAGGTTCAACAATTCTCCTGCCTCAGCCTCCCGGGTAGCTGAGATTACAGGCATGTGCCACCACACCCGGCTAATTTTTGTATTTTTAGTAGAAACAGGGTTTCGCCATGTTGACCAGGATGGTCTTGAACTCCTGACATCAGGTGATCCACCCACCTTGGCCTCCCAAAGTGCTGGGATTACAGGTGGGAGCCACCACGCCCGGCCAGTTTTTCAGATTTTAACTGATAATGTTATTTTTCAAATGACATTTAATAATGGAAAAACTTTATCCTAACAGTTAATTTTCCTGAGAGACCAAGACCTGGTCTCCTCGGTTCAATTGGAGAAGGAAGATACTTCAAAAAAGGTATTTTATTTCCTATAGCATATTTCTTGTGATCAGAAAGACCAGTACTTTGCACAATATATTGGAATTCTATTTTTAGGAATGAATAACTGCTTCTTTGAAAATTTTCTCTCCAGATTTTTCATGCTTTCAGTATAGAATGAATTAAGCATGGCTTCTGAAGGTTGTGTTAGAAACTGATTATGTTTTTGGGATTTATTGTTCAAGAAATTACATGTTGTTCATATGGTAGCAATTTTATTAATTACATTGCGTTATGAAAAAATGTTACTGATTTGGTTAGTTACCTGTTTTTATAAATAACATTTTACTGGAACACGGCCATGAATATTTGATTAAATATTATCTCTAAACTGCTTTTTTTTTTTAACACTATGGCAACAGGGTTGAATAGTTCCAACAGAGGCTGTATATAGCTCACAAAGCCTAAAATATTTACAATCTGACTTTTTACAGAAAAAAAAATTGCCAATCCCTAGTTTAGGTAATTCAACCGAGGGCTAATTAGAAGAAGTCTTTTTTCCCCCACGTACATTCTTAAATCATTGCTTTTTCCTGGTTTAGTTTGTAAAGCATTTGTATAATATGTAAATAGATACAGAATTAATTTTTTCTGTAATTTTTTTCTGACTGTGAATTTTATAGTCTCTTAGGGTTCTGTTGTAATATATCTTAAAAGTTATGTGTATTTTCTTATCCCTAATGAGTGTTGTCTCCATCCTTCCATTTTCTCCTAAAAGTGAAGAGTAAGAGATGATTTTGGCTATTTGGAATCCCATTAATTGTAATTCTAATATTTATCTTTTAGTTTTCAAAAATACCTTTATAGAGCCTCAGAAACTAGATTTTCATATTTAATTGAAGTGAAATTACATATGCCAAAGTAACTTGCCAAAATCATTTTACCTGTATTTGTAAAATGGTATATACGTTACAGAATTTCATTTTGGATTCGTGTAATAATTTTAGTGCTTTTTACATTTTTTTATTTGAAATGTTACATTGGTTTCCTTGACATTTTTCTTTATATATATTTGTGTGCTTATGCAATTTTAATTTAGAAATGCTTTTTATAATTTTGTTCATTTTAATTTCGTAAAATAAATTTTTCCTCCCACAGAACCAAACTTGTTTTCTCATGATGCAGTTGTGAGAGAAATGCCTACAGGGGTTTCAAGTCAAGCAGAATCCTACTATCCCTCACCTGGGCCCATCTCAAGTGGATTGTCACATCATGCCTCAATGGCACCTCTGCCTTCTTCAAGCTGGTCATCAGTGGCCCACCCCACCCCACGCTCAGGCAATACAAACCCACTGAGTAGTTTTTCAACAAGGACACTTCCTTCTAATTCGCAAGGTATCCCACCATTCCTGAGAATACCTGTTGGGAATGATTTAAATGCTTCTAATGCTTGCATTTACAACAATGCCGATGACATAGTCGGAATGGAAGCGTCATCCATGCCATCAGCAGATTTATATGGTATTTCTGATCCCAACATGCTGTCTAATTGTTCTGTGAATATGATGACAACCAGCAGTGACAGCATGGGAGAGACTGATAATCCAAGACTTCTGAGCATGAATCTTGAAAACCCCTCATGTAATTCAGTGTTAGACCCAAGAGACTTGAGACAGCTCCATCAGATGTCCTCTTCCAGTATGTCAGCAGGCGCCAATTCCAATACTACTGTTTTTGTTTCACAATCAGATGCATTTGAGGGATCTGACTTCAGTTGTGCAGATAACAGCATGATAAATGAGTCGGGACCATCAAACAGTACTAATCCAAACAGTCATGGTTTTGTTCAAGATAGTCAGTATTCAGGTATTGGCAGTATGCAAAATGAGCAATTGAGTGACTCCTTTCCATATGAATTTTTTCAAGTATAACTTGCAAGATTTAAATCCTTTTAAATCTTGATACCACCTATATAGATGCAGCATTTTGTATTTGTCTAACTGGGGATATAATACTATATTTATACTGTATATATAATACTGACTGAGAATATAATACTGTATTTGAGAATATAAAAAACTTTTTTCAGGGAAGAAGCATACAACTTTGGACATAGCGAATACAAAATTGGAAGCTGTCATAAAAAGACAACTCAGAGGCCAGGCGCAGGGGCTCACACCTGTAATCCTAGCACTTTGGGAGGCCAAGGCGGGTGGATCACTTGAGACCAGGAATTCGAGACCAGCCTGGCCAACATGGTGAAACCCCGTCTCTACTAAAAATACAAAAATTAGCTGAGCATGGTGGTACGTGCCTGTACTGTCAGCTACTTGGGAGGCTGAGGCACAATAATTGTTTGAACCCAGGAAGCAGAGGTTGCAGTGAGCTGAGATCACACCACCGCACTCCAGCCTGGGTGACAGAGTGAGACTCTGTCTCAAAAAAAAAAAAACAAAAAAAACACACTTTTTTATATTTCTTTTTATAATGTTTTAATGTATTCTTAAATTTCAAGCAAATTTAAGATAAAACTTGTAATGGCTATGCCATTGAAAAACTTAATTTTTTATTTTTGAGGCCCATGGGCCAAGGTAACCCCTAAGGGGTTTTCTTAGGCTTCTTGGAGCTTAGATTTGTATGTATATCAAAATGTCTTTAAAATGTTAAGTTGGGCAGAAGGCAGTTGAAGTGAGCTTTCAAGGTATGGGAGGTTTTCTACATTTTATACTATTTCAATCTATGCCTTTAAAGTTGCTTATGATTTTAGCTGTACACTCATTTTTTAAGGGGAAGAAGTTTCCTTGGACCATTCGCCTTTCTTAGATGTCCTCACTCCCTGTGATCTCATAAAACTGCCTATTTGACATCTCTATCTAGAAATCTAATTAAAGCTCACACTCAGCATATCCAAAACTGAATTCTTGGTCTTCCCTCCCAAACTTGCTTCTCCTTCAGTCTTCTCCAACTCAGTAAATGGCAATGCCATACTTCTGGTTGCTCAGGCCAAAAACCCTGAAGTCATCCTTGATTCTTCTTTTAGCACCCATATCCAATCCATTAGCAAATCTGGTAGACCCTACCTTCACAATATATCTAAAGCTGACCACCTCTTTTGACCTCTACTATTAACGCCCTATTCCAAGCCACCATCATCTCTTCCCTGGATTGAAGCTGTCATCTACAAAAATTCTTCTTATATCCTTGCATTCCTACAGTCTGTTCCCCATAAAGTAGCCAGAATGATTATTTTTAAAACAAGTCAACTCATACCATTCATCTGCTCAAAACCATTCATTGGCTTCTCATCTCACTCAGAGCAGTCAAAGTCCTTAAAAGTTGCAGGCCTAGACTCCCTGTCCTACCTCAGGTACCACCATATCCCACCTCCTCATGCAGCTCCAGGCACCTTGGCCTCAGTGCTCCTCAAAGCATCAAGTATGCACTTGCCTTGGACAGTCTGTACTTGGTATTCCCTCTGCCTTGAATGTTGTTCTCCCAGAAAAATGCATAGTTCACTCTTACATCCTTCAGGTGTCACTCCACTGTTACCTGAGCAGGTCGTCCTTGAATATATACATCAGCATTCCCTTTCCCCCCTGCTTTATGTATGTCCATAGCACTCACCACGATCTGACTTTACTAAGTATTTATTCATTTACTGTTTGTTTTCCCATACCGAAATATAAACTTTCTAAGGACAGAAATTTTTGTGCTTTATTGTTGAATCTCCAATTTGTAGAAAAATGCCTACCTTATATTAAACACTCAGTAAATGTTTATTGAACATTAAAAGTATTACTAATAGAACTTTGGTTTTTGAAAGAAATAATAACTTTAATTATAAGACGTATATGATTTTTGCAGTTTTACTTAGTGTGACATTGGGTTTATGAGAATCGTGTACATTCAAGTCCAGGAATAATAATGGTCATCCAAATTGTTTGAAAGGAAAATAATCCCAGTGGCAAAATGATGGTAGAATTTGGGTAATCTTTTTTTTCCTTTTATGAAAAGAGATTTTATTGAAGGTAAAACATTAGAGGTTCATTGAGAATCTCTAAATCCATGTTTTGACATTGTCAAGCTCATTGCAACTTCCAGATTGAGTAACACTTATAACACATTTCCTTTTCAAAGTGCAAGATTTTTAAAAGAGACTTGTCACATATTCATTTGGCTGGTTTCAAATGGTGAGCTGAATGCTGGGTAATCTCTACTAGCTCCTTAATCAGATTTAAAATTCTCAGTGTTTCCTAGTTGTTTCTGCATACTTTATGTGAGTTGTTATAGCTGTAACATTACACTTTATTTGCTGTTTGTGTTTCGTGACTTTTGGTAATTCTGGCATTTAGAAACCTTTCACTTTGCTTCAAAACGTAGTTATATTTTGGAGTTTTCATTTGATATATAATTATTTATTTTGCCCTTTTATTTCCCAAAGACATTGTAAGGGTTAATTAGATCATTATATTTTATTATTACAGATTAAAGTTGGGCAGTAATCTTAATTATGATGGAATTATCATTATGCTAAGTAATTAACTTTACCTAGTTTGTTTTACAACTAGAACCTGCCCTAAATGTTGAATATCTTCCTAGCAAGAAACAGTCTGTCATTTTACTTACACGATGTCTAACCAAACCATAACTTTACATAAACTAGTCGTTTCGGTCAAATAGAAAAATGTGTGAATGCCATAAAAACAAAAATTCTCAGTTAAATGATACTGGGAAATAGGGAAGACAGCAAAGTGAGACTTGGGCTCAGGATGGTTCAGGAAGAAAAAAAAAGAAAGACCCCTGAGTACCATTAATATTCCTCAGAAATTATTATTTCAAAAGGAAATATTTCTGTATTATAAATTTTTCATGAGCAGCCATTATGAAATCTCACAAGAATCATAGAATTCAATAAAAAAGGTAGAAAGTAATTTTTTTACTTAAAAATATAAATTAAAATAAATTTTTAAAATCATAAGCACATAAATAGAACTTACCAGGGAGAAAGAAAAACCTGAAGGCACAATTTCTTTTCTGTTCAAAATGTGAACCCAGGATGTCTCTAGATGATGATGGATGATAGGTGGGGAGATTTTTTTTTTTTTTAATACAGAATCTCATAGTTTTGGATTAATTAGCACCAATCAGTTTAAACACTGACTGTTAGAATAGCTGCATGGGTTTTTTTCTTTAAACTAATTAAGCGTTGGCTACTTAGTATAAGTAAGTATAAGCCGAATTAAGGTTCTGCTACATCTGTGTTTAGAATATTTTTTTAAAACTAAATAAGTGTTGGCTAGTTTTGCGGTGTAAGCAGAATTAAGGTTCTGCTACCTCTGTGTGTAGAATATTCCCAATGGATTTTTCATTTTTCAGGTGCTATTTTTTGACCCTGTATAGACTTTAATTTAAAATGAATTTGGTAACGTTTCTCCTCTGTCTCTACATATATTCATGCTTTCACCTGCTCTTTTAACACCTGCTTTTAGTATCTGAGGCACTTTTTCTGAACTCTACTTGTGCACTGGATCCCTCCTCCTTTCTCTGCCAGGCTGTGTTTACTTTATCCTTACATCACCACTTAGTGATTCCTTTCTTTGTATAAACATGGTAAATGTCTTCATTAGCCTAAAAGGAAAGACCAAATAAAACCTTTCCTACCACTTGGATGCATTTGCATCCTGACTTCTGAAATGCCTCCAGCCTCCATTTTCTCCCTTCCCAGTTATTCCTTAGCCCAGCCATCTCTGTCTTTAGCTCCTACAATTTTCTTAGGATATTCTGGGAAAGATGAGCGGAGACTGCCCGCCTTGTCAAATCTAGTGTCTTTTTTTCAGTCCTCACACTGCTTGACCTATGTATAACCTCCTATACTTCCCTCTTTGCATACTCCTCTGGGTTTTCTGTGGTAGTCAAGATTCCTCCCTGAGATTTATTTCCCATGAGTCTTGACCCCTCCCCTCAGTTGGTGCTATTTCCCCCTACCCGCCCTCCGATGATCTTATCAGAGCCCACAGGTTCAGTTTTCTTTCATGCTACCTGAATGTCCTGATAAACTGGCTCGCTCTCTTCTTTACCTTCCATAATGGCATTACCATTTACCACGCCACCCAAGATACTTACTAGGAACCTCAAAGTATTGTATTCTTTTTCTCCATCACACTCATACTTAATCATCAAGTCCTTTTGAGCTTGTCTCCTCTTGAATATGTCCCTTCTTAATTCCTGCTGCCTTCTTAGTAAAGGCCTTCATTCTTTTTTCCCTAGTAATAATCTTTTCCATATGTTCCAGTTAAAATACCATGTTCTCCCTATTCCTTATTACATAGCTAGCATTCCTTGAAAAAAAACAATTCTCTCAGGCCTCCATACCTTTAGCATGTTACCCACTCTGCCTCTGCTCTTCTGGAACTAGAACACTCATCCTTGAAGGCTGGGCTTCTGTATGAAGGTTGGTCCTGCCTCCTTACTTGAGGTGAAGCTTTGTACATGCCTGTATTACGGACATCCTCTTATTTAAGTGTTTGTCTCTTTCGTCATTGGGACTCCAGCACCCAGCATAGTCCCTAGTATACTAGTTGGTGCTGAATAAATAGTAGCTATTATTAGAAAAGGAAGGGTGAAATTGACATGGGAGTTAGTAAAATGTATATGGAAATGATTTTTAAAGGGAAAGGTAATGATTTTCTGGCAGGAAAAGCAGCAATGACAAGATTACTTAAGTCTTGTGAAATAACACTTCTCTTCCTTGACCTGCTGCTTCCCTTTTTTACCACACACACACGCACACATACCACAGCCCTTTGAGACTGAAAGCAGCTCTATTGAGAATAGTAGTGTCAACTGTATTATGTAGAAATTCTAAAGTTTTTGGGATTATTTCATAGCCCTGACCTTGCTACTTCTCTCCACTTTATGTGGCAGGTTTAATCTCAGGTCTCCCTCATACACTTCTCAGCCTCAGCACCTAACCCTCACACAACACTCCAGTATTGATGCAGTCAATCTTGTATAACATTTTTTGAATGTCCAATGTGCAAAGCACGATGTTGGAAATTATACAGAGGTGAATAAGACAAAAACTCTTGCTCTCAAAGATGTCAGTCTTTTTCTTTGCAAGGATAACACATGTAGAGTAAAATGCATAAAGGGGACTAATTTTAAATGTACAGCTTAATTAATTTTTATGTATGTTAACACCCATGTCACCACCATGTTTAGGACATTTCCAGCACCCCTGAAATTTCCTTCATGCCCCTTCCCAGTCTGTACCTACACCTCTAAATCTATTTTCAATCTTAATGGCCTTTTAAATAACTGGGCTTCTCACAACCATAGTGAACAGAAACAGCTGGGTTGTCAACGTCTAACCTAATACTTCAGGAAAACTCATGATGGTTTCCATGTTAAGAGAGACATGGAGCAGGGCACTGGCATGGTGGATGGATCACGCCTGTAATCCCAGCACTTTGGGAGGCCGAGGTAGGGGGATTGCTTGAGCCCAGGAGTTCAAGACTAGCCTGGGTAATATAAGGAAAACCTGTCTCTGCAAAAAAAAAAAAAAAAAGAGGATACAACCAAATGGAAGAACATTCCATGCTCATGGGTAGGAAGAATCAATATCGTGAAAATGGCCATACTGCCCAAGGTAATTTACAGATTCAGTGCCATCCCCATCAAGCTACCAATGCCTTTCTTCACAGAATTGGAAAAAACTACTTTAAAGTTCATATGGAACCAAAAAAGAGCCCATATCGCCAAGTCAATCCTAAGCCAAAAGAACAAAGCTGGAGGCATCACACTACCTGACTTCAAACTATACTACAAGGCTACAGTAACCAAAACAGCATGGTACTGGTACCAAAACAGAGATATAGATCACTGGAACAGAACAGAGCCCTCAGAAATAACGCCGCATATCTACAACTATCTGATCTTTGACAAACCTGAGAAAAACAAGCAATGGGGAAAGGATTCCCTATTTAATAAATGGTGCTGGGAAAACTGGCTAGCCATATGTAGAAAGCTGAAACTGGATCCCTTCCTTACACCTTATACAAAAATCAATTCAAGATGGATTAAAGACTTAAACGTTAGACCTAAAACCATAAAAACCCTAGAAGAAAACCTAGGCATTACCATTCAGGACATAGGCATGGGCAAGGACTTCATGTCTAAAACACCAAAAGCAATGGCAACAAAAGCCAAAATTGACAAATGGGATCTAATTAAACTAAAGAGCTGCTGCACAGCAAAAGAAACTACCATCAGAGTGAACAGGCAACCTACAAAATGGGAGAAAATTTTCGCAACCTACTTATCTGACAAAGGGCTAATATCCAGAATCTACAATGAACTCAAACAAATTTACAAGAAAAAAACAACCCCATCAAAAAGTGGGCGAAGGACATGAACAGACACTTCTCAAAAGAAGACATTTATGCAGCCAAAAAACACATGAAAAAATGCTCATCATGACTGGCCATCAGAGAAATGCAAATCAAAACCACAATGAGATACCATCTCACACCAGTTAGAATGGCAATCATTAAAAAGTCAGGAGACAACAGGTGCTGGAGAGGATGTGGAGAAATAGGAACACTTTTACACTGTTGGTGGGACTGTAAACTAGTTCAACCATTGTGGAAGTCAGTGTGGCGATTCCTCAGGGATGTAGAACTGGAAATACCGTTTGACCCAGCCATCCCATTACTGGGTATATACCCAAAGGACTATAAATCATGCTGCTATAAAGACACATGCACACGTATGTTTATTGCGGCATTATTCACAATAGCAAAGACTTGGAACCAACCCAAATGTCCAACAATGATAGACTGGATTAAGAAAATGTGGCACATATACACCATGGAATACTATGCAGCCATAAAAAATGATGAATTCATGTCCTTTGTAGGGACATGGATGAAATTGGAAAACATCATTCTCAGTAAACTATCGCAAGAACAAGAAACCAAACACCACATATTCTCACTCATAGGTGGGAATTGAACAATGAGAACACATGGACACAGGAAGGGGAATATCACACTGGGGACTGTTGTGGGGTGGGGGGAGGGGGGAGGGATAGCATTGGGAGATATACCTAATGCTAGATGACGAGTTAGTGGGTGCAGTGCACCAGCATGGCACATGTATACATATGTAAGTAACCTGCACAATGTGCACATGTACCCTAAAGCTTAAAGTATAATAAAAAATAAATAAATAAATAAATAAGAAAAAGAAAGCCAGGCATGGTGACATGTGCCTGTGGTCCCAGCTATTAGGGAGGCTGAGGTGGGAGGATCCCTTGAACCCAGGAGGTTGAGTCTGTAGTGAGCAGTGATTACGCCACTGCACTCCAGCCTGGGCAAGACCCTGTCTCAAAAAAAAAAAAGACTTAGAATTGGTGATCCAGGCCGCCTAATGGCATCAAATAATTTGTTATATCTTTAATTTATTGAAGGATCACCACATGCTTTTAAATAGCATGGAGAAATGGAAAGAATAGGGACTTTTTACTCAGGTAATACCCAGCCTGCTACCTAACAGGTTGTGTTGTACTAAATAAAATGGTACATAAGAAGAAACACTGTAAATTATATAGTGCGAATCAAATATTGTTAATAAACCAATATCTGTATATCCTATGTCCCGGATTAATCTTTAATTTAGATACTCCTTCTAGTTATCTAATACACAGCAGAGTGAGAAAAATCATTATGGATTAGGTTCTTTAGTAAGAAACCTGAGATGGACTTCTCATTAGCATTAACTAGTTATTGCCCAGCTTTGGAGAGCCTTCTTTTGGCTTATCATTTATTATAAGCCCAGAAATAGGTGACTAATCAGAGATAAATGTATGGGTTGTCTGTATCTAGTTTTATGCCTTTTTTTTGCCTAAGACGTAGTCAAATTAATATTTTAACTAATACATCTTAGCAGAGTTTAGTTAAGCACAAAGTTAACAGTGGGTAGGATTGAATCTTGAAAGTAATCATGTCTGTAATGTTTTTCATGCATGCAAAAAGCACAGACAAAACCACTCATGCCCTATTAATAAACAAAATACAGATCAAAGTTTTCAAAAGTAATCACTCTATTTATTCTAAATGTCTGTGGCTTTAGGAAAATACCACCAGCTAGTACTTACCTATTTAAAGATGTAGAATTTATTATCCTCTAATATTCTTATCAGTTGTTTCCACAACTTTAGTTTACTATTGGACTTTCAAAAATTTAAAGAATTACAAGTAAAATTCATTAAACACTTGTGTGTGAATAGTAATACACAGTAATTAGTACAGCATGTTGCTTCTTCAACAAATTGAGTTTTCAGGGAAATCAGCAAGTAAATGAAATATAAATTTTTGGTAAAAGTATCAAACATTCATCTTGCCCATTTTTCCTCTTAAACTTTATTATCTAATCAAACATAGTTTTCCATAAGATGTAATAAAATATAGATAAGGTTGGAATATTTGAGGATCCATTTGTGGAACTGAATTTAATGAGACTTCATTGGTGATACACTCAATTTTTACTGGGTAATTAGCTAATAATGTTGGTCACTGTCTCACAGTTCAAGTAGCTTTAAGATGATGTGGCAAGGAAAACACAAAGCTTTTGGGTAACCAGCGTTCTTAAATGTATGGTTTTTGACCAGGTGAACCCTTTAGAAGTGATTTCTGTTTTAAAAGTATGTACTTAAAATACCTTTGGCTGTGATGAATGTAGATCCCAGCAGAATACCAAAATCCTATTTTTTTTGACTGAGTATTTGTAGATGCTTAATGACTGAAATGAATTTGGAGGCACTGATGAAAGTGATTTTTTTAAAGTTCTCAGGTACTGTTCAATTATTTAATGTTAAGTTTAGTATCAAGATACAGTTGTTTTTAAAATGCCAAAATGCTGTTTATTATACAGAATATTTTATTACATTTGCAATATCTTTGTATATAGTGATTTTTTTCTTGATAATAAATGGAAAAATTCTAAAACACTTGCTGAAATTTTGTTGCTATTTAACTTTTAAAATATCAGATTTTCTTCATATTTATAGCATCTTCCTAACAGGAAAAGGTAGTTTTAGTTGCTTAGAAACATTAGACATTTTTATGGAATGCTGTTGCTGAATATGGTTGCATTTGTAACTGTCCTTTGAAATAATTTTGTAGAGTACTGAAGTGCCTTTTTACAAGATTTTTTTCCTTTTTCCTTTTCTGGCTTAACCAACAAAAATCTGTTTTCAGAGTCCTGGAGGCTGAAAGTCCGAGATCAGGGGTACTAGGACGGTTTCTGCTGAGGCTCTCCTCCTGGCTTGCAGAGGGCTGCCTTCCCATCATCCTCACATGGTAGAGAGAGAGAAGGATGGAGATCTAGGGTGTCTCTTCTCTTTTTTGAGACAGAGTCTCACTCTGTCATCAAGGCTGGAGTGCAGTGGCACAATCACATCTCACTGCAACTTCTGCCTCCTGGGCTCAAGAGATCCTCCCGCCTCAGCCTCCCAAGTAGCTGGGACTACAGGCGCATGCCACCATGCCTGGCCAATTTTTGTATTTTTTGTCAGAGTTTCATCATGTTACCCAGGCTGGTCTCAAACTCTTGGGCTCAAGTGATTCACCCGCCTTGGCCTCCCAAAGTGCTGGGATTACAAGCGTGAGTCACCATAGCTGGCCTGGCCTCCTCTTTTCTTAAATCCTTTTTTTTTTAATTGACAAAACTGTATATATTAATATTTATCTTGTTCAACATGATGTTTTGAAATATGCATACGTTGTGGAATGGCTAAACTGAGCTAATGAACATGTATTACTTCACTTAGTTATTTTGTAAGAACACTTAAGATCTACTCTTAGCAACTTTGAAGAATATATTTGTTATTAACTATAGTCACCATGTTGTACAGTAGATCTCTTAAACTTATTCCTATCAAGCTGAAATTTTAAATCCTTTGACCAACATCTCCCCAACTCCGCAACCCCTATCCCACTCTCACCTCCGCAGTTCTAGTAACAACCATTCTACCCTACTTCTATGAGTTCAACTATTTTAGATTCCACATATAGGTGAGATCATGCAGTAGTTGTCTTTCTGTGCCTGACTTATTTCACTTAACATAATGTTCTTCAGGTTCATCCACGTTGTTTCAAATGACAGAATTTCCTTTCTTATGGGTGAATAATATTTCATTGTACATATACACCACATTTTCTTCATTTATCTATTGATTGATTGATGCATAGGTTGATGCCATATCTTGGCTATTATGAATAATGCTGCAGAGACCATGGGAGTCAGATATCTCTTCAACATACTGATTTTATTTCCTTGGGATACATATACCTAAATAGTAGGATTGCTGGATCATGTGGTAGTTCTATTTTAAATTTTGTTTTCTGTTTATATTCCCACCAACAGTGTGCCAGAAGTTCTCTTTACTCCGTATCCTTGCCAACACTTGTTGTCTTTCATCTTTTTTGGTAATAGCCATTCTAATAGTTTTGAGGCGGTGCCTCACTGTGGTTTTAAATTTGCATTTTCCTGGTAAGTGATGGTAAGCATTTGCATGTCTTAAACCTGTTGGCCATTTGTATGTCTTCTTTTGAGAAATGTCTACTCAGGTCCTTTCCCCATCTTTTAATCAGGCTGTTTTCTTGGTATTGAGTTGTTGGAGTTCGTTGTATATTTTGGATATTAACCCCTCATTAGATGTATGGCTTATAAATATTTTATTCCATTCCATAAGTTGTCTCTTCACTCTGTTGATAGTTTCCTTTGCAGTGCAGAAGCTTTTGTTTGATATAGTCCCATTTGATTTGTCTTTTTTTTGTTGTTGTTACCTGTGCTTTTAGGGTCATATTCAAATAATTGCCCAGACCAGTGTCATGGAGCTTTTTCTCTACGTTTTCTTCTAATAGTTTACAGTTTTGGGTCTTAGATTTAGGTCACTGTCAGTTGAGTTTTTAATATGGTGTGAGATAAGGGTCTAACTTCATTATTCTGTATGTGGATATCCAGTTGTCCCAGCACAATTTATTAAAGGGACTGTCTTTTCCCATTAAGTTTCTTCACACGTTTGTAAAAAATCAGCTGGCTGTAAATATATGGATTTATTCCTGGGCTCTCTTTCCTATTCTTTTGGTTTAAGTGTCTGTTTTTATGCCAGTACAAAAATGTTTTGATTACTATGGCTTTGTAGTAATTTTGAAATCAGGTATTGTGATATCTCTAGCTTTGTTCTTTTTGCTCAAGATTGCTTTGGCTATTCAGGGTCTTTAGTGGTTCCATATGAATTTTAGGATTGTTTTTTCGATTTCTGTGGAAAATATCATTGGAATTTTGACAGGGATTGCACTGAATCTTTAGATCACTTTGGTTAGTATGGACATTTTAGCAATATTAAGTCTTCCAATCTATGAATGTGGGATATTTTTGCATTTATTTGTGACTTTAATTTCTTATGTCAATGTTTTACAGTTTTCAGTGTAGAGATATTTTACCTTCTTGGTTAAATTTATTCCTAAGTATTTTATATTTTGTGACACTACTGCTTGTTGTATATTGATATGCCTGCAACTTTACTGAATTTGTTTATTAGTTCTAACAGTCTTTTTGGTGGATTCTTTCAGCTTTTCTATATATAAAATCATCACTTGCAAACAGGGACAGTCTCCTTCCTTTCCAATTTGGATGCCTTTTACTTCTTTCTCTTGCCTAATCGCTCTGGCTAGGACTTCCAGTTCCAGTACTATGTTAAACAGAAATGAAAGTGGAAGTCCTTGGATTATTCCTGATCTTAGAGGAAAAGCTTTCAGTTTTTCACTGTTGAGTATGGTGTTAGCTGTGGGTTTGTCACATATGGCCTTTACTTTTGAAGTACACTCCTTCTACTCCTAATTCATTGAGAGCTTTTATCATGAAAGGATGTTAAATTTTGTCAAATACTTGATCGTGTGGTTTTTGTCCTTCATTCTGTTAATGTGGTGTATTATATTTATAGATTGGCATATGTTGAACCATCTGTGAATCCCTGACATAAATCTCACTTGGTCATGGTGATTAATCTTTTCAGAGTGCTGTTGAATTTGTTTATTAGTATTTTGTTGAAAATTTTTGCATCTTGACCAGGCACCGTGGCTCACGCTTGTAATCCCAGCACTTCAGGAGGTCAAGGCCTGAGGATGGTTTGACCCAGGAGTTCGAGACCAGCCTGGGCAACATAATGGGACCCTGCCTATATAAATATGTATATTTTTTTAATTAGCTGGGCATGATGGTGTGCACCTGAAGTCCCAGGGGTGGAAGGATCACCTGAGTCTGAAAGGTCAAGGTGCAGTGAGCCATGATTGTACCACTGCACTCCATCCTGGGTAACAGAGGGAGACCCTGTCTCAAAAAAAAAAAAAGAAAAAAGAATTTTTGCATCTATGGTCATCAGAAATATTGGCCTGTAGCTTTCTTTTTGCTTTTTCTTTTCTTTCTTTTTTTTTTTTTTCCATATCTGCCACAGTCTAATTGACAAGTTTTCTTCTTTAATAGTGTCTTTGTCTGGCTTTGGTGTCAGGGTAATGCTGGCCTTGTAAAATGAGTTTGGAAGCATTCCTTCCTCTTCAATTTTTTGGAAGTGTTTGAGAAGGGCTGGTACTAGTTTTTCTTCTTTTTTTGAGATGGGGGTCTTGCCCTGTTGCCCAGGCTGGAGTGCAGTGGCACTATCACGGCTCACTGCAGCCTTCACCGCCTGGGCTGAATTAATTCTGCCACCTTAGCCTCCCGAGTAGTTTGGACTGCCGACATGCATCACCACACCCAGCTAATTTTTTATTTTTTGTAGAGACAGGTTATCCCTATGTTGCCCAGGCTGGTCTCGAACTCCTGCACTTAAGCAATCCTCCCACCTAAACCTCCCAAAGTGCTGGGATTACAGATGTGAGCCACCGTGTCTGGCCGTAGTTCTTTAAATGTTCGATAGCATTCAGCAGTGAAGCCGTCTGGTTCTGGTCTTTTCTTTGATGAGGGAATTTTTTTTTTTTTTTTTTTTTGAGACTGAGTCTCGCTCTCTCACCAGGCTGGAGTGCAGTGGCGCGATCTCTGCTCACTGCAACCTCTGTCTTCTGGGTTCAAGTGATTCTCTTGCCTCAGCCTCCCAAGTAGCTGGGACTACAGGCACGTGCCACAATGCCCAGCTAATTTTTGTATTTTTAGTAGAGACGGGGTTTCAACATGTTGGACAGGATGGTTTTGATCTCTTGACCTCGTGATCTGCCTGCCTCGGCCTCCCAATGTGCTGGGATTACTGATGTGATCTCCTTTTTTTTTCAAGGCTTAACATGTAATTTAACAAGTTGATGCTGCATTGCTGCTCCATTTCTCAGAAAAACTTCAAATTTAAAGTATCAGCAACAAATCAAACATAGTACATCAATTAAATATGCACAGCATAACTACTATCTAAGATAGGCAAGGCTAAGAGCTACTCTCAGACCTTCAGCATACAGCAACTCTGTTTCCAAGATTGTACTAGGCCTATCAAGAAAAGTTGTGAACAGCAACATCATAGACACAAAACGGCCATTCCTGGTTGTCCTTATCCAAGAAAAAGATTGAGGCAAGTTAACACAAGATTTTTAAAAAAGATACACTGAAATGAAAGTCTCTAAGAGAAAATGTCTTCCTTAGGACAAGAAGGGATAATATATCGGATATAAAAGAACTATACGTACATTGTTTGTGACCTCTGTGGACATTTGCCTGAATTCTCACCTGGGAGTGAATGGAGCAGTGGGGCGAAGGTCATTGGAGGAGGTTGTGTTTTGTGGTGTATGTGGCAGTGTCTCTGGGGTTGGGGAGTGTATGGATAAGAAAGCAAATGAAACAGGATGGAGAAAAAAAGAACGATCAAGATTAATGGGTCTCTAACTGGATTCATTTCACTGTAGTTCCCCCAGGTCTTCAACAGTCACATTTGAGACCTCAGTAATGCACCACAGAGAACTCATCAGTTAAACAATATACCACACAGAACTGGTTTGTTAAATACCACTCCTCCCTTGCCCTCTTCCTCCAAAATACTCCCTACAGTAGTATAGGTAGGGTAGACCTAACTATTGGGAGGAATCTCTTAACATTTTTCTAGGGTAGAATTCTGGCTAGTCCAAAAAGGGCCCTTTTAAAGGTTTTGAGAAACTAGACACTGCAGCTTTATTAGTATCAGCAACGTGTGTTTGGAGTAAATTCAGCTCCAGGAGTTGCACAATTCAATGCAGGAGGAGTTCCGCCAATTGCCCCAATTCCTTCCGTTGCAGCAGCTTGGCCAAAGCATTCCGTTGTTGGTGGGGTCAATCTAGCATCATAGGTTCAGGTTCTGGAGGAGCTGGGCTGCCAGCTGGCACAGAAGCAGGGGGCATGGTGCCTCCGTTATGCCTATAGCACCTCCCACAGCCATCTGGCCCATCTGTATCTCCTGCTGTCTCATATCAGAGAAGGTTCCAGTGAATCTTTCCTGCCATTACCAGTGCATTGCTTCCTCCTAGTGCCTGCACTCCTCTCGCATGGGCTCCAGTTGCCGTCGTTTTTGCATCTCTTGGTTGTTCAGCTTTTCCATCCTCCACAGCTCTTCTTGACACCTCATCAAATCCTGCCTCATTAGCATGACCTGGCATTGATGAAGGCGAGCAACCTCCATCTCCATCTCCAGCTTCTCATGAGCCTCCTTGATATTGCAGTCCACTTCGTCCTGCTGCTGCTTCTCCATCTCAATGAGTACCCTCTAGTGCATGGCATACTTATATTCAAAAGCCATGCTGTGCACACTGGGGTGGCTGTTCTCACTCCTTGTGAAATTGCTGGTTCTTTACAACCAGCTTCTCTGGAAGTCCTTCTTTGTCACCTAATTAGCCTATGGGCTACACAGTAACAGGATGAGGAAACGTGGTTAACAGGAAGAAGCCCTCACTGCATCTGTCCTGAGCTTTCTGAGCAACTTGCTGTCCTGAGAACTCAACAATGCCTTTCCCTAAGGGCCTTCCTTGATCATCCACAATGACTACAGCCCTCTCCACCTGGCCAAAGAAAAGTCTTCTTCCAAAAGTTTGTTAGAAGGTTTCAGACTGTAAGGGATGCACTATGGCAGGCAGGGTGCGCACAGCTGCATACTGTCCAGACCCACTTTGGCAATCTCCACTAGGGTTCGTGCTTCCAAGTGCATAAAGCCAAAGCCTTCATCCTTATGAAGACCTCACCTGCCTTCCCATATTTCTTTTTTGTTGTCGTTTTTAATTTTTTCATTTTTCCTTTTTGTTAATTTATTTAAACTCTCTTTCTGTGAAATTGCCTTCCCATATTTCTCACAGTTTCCTCATTTCCTCCTCAGTGATGTCAGAAGGAACACTGCCCACAAAGAAATATTTGGCCTCGTTTGGTGAAGGGCTTCTTTCCTGGGCTGCAGTGTGGAGCCTGAGGAGAATGTCTGAGGGCAGCAGGGAGGGGACTGTGAATTGAGGCAGCAATAGATTGGTTATTTTTGAGGTTATTTTTTCTTTCTTTTGTGTGTGTGTGTGTGTGTGTGTGTGTGCCAAAGATTTACTTGTTCATTTCTTGCATTTGAAGTACTCTTCAATGACATCCTTGGCCTGAGACTCCTTGCCATAGTTCGTAACTACTATACAACTTCAACCAACCACTTTACACGGTTTCCCCTCTCTGTCAGTTTTACAGAGGCCTACCGATTCCCCTAGTTTCTGGTCATCAACCTTAATTAGGTTGATTTGGTGTTCAGCACAAAGGGCCTCCACCAACTTGACATACATAGGCTCATCACAGTTGGATGCAAGCACACACAGCACACAAAGATGGGCTTGGCACTTGTCTGAGGCTTTGGCAGCTTTGCAAATTTCATATGCTAGGCCATCATGGATGAGGGCGGTCTTCAGCACCTCCTGTAAAACAGTATTAATGTCCATTACACCTCCAGCAGCACTGCCTTCCTCGGCCATGGCAGTGGGTTACGAGTGAAGCCGGATCTTGAATGCACCCGAGACTCCGCCTCTATACAATTCAGTGGCAGCAGGGAAAGAGCAGGAGCCAGATTTCTTATAGTCAGAGAATTACAAATTTGGAAAGGGTGAAAACTAGAATAAGGTTGGAATTGGAAGTACTGGTATAAACTCCTACAGCTTTCGGTATGTGTAGATACAGAGATGTATAGGTGTGTGTGTATGAGTGGGGTGTGTGTGTGTGTGCATGCACATGCATTCATGTTTGTTCCCTAGCTCTGTTCCATGAGAGGGCTTGGGAACAGCAATGGCACCAAACAATGAGCATACCTACTGCCCAGATCTTGGTTTCTAAATACCATTTTCTGCTAAAAGAGACCAGATCTTAGAGAAAAAGCACCTTGCAGAGTTAGTGCAGAGGAAATACAAAGATGAGCATGGAATGTCTTTTTGTATTAGAAAGTAAGAACATGCTCCAAGAATGATGGGGACATACCAAAGGACACAGAAGCCAGCTTGAAGGGGTCGCCACTGGCCAAACGAACAAATTACAACTTCTCAAATAAAATAAGCCACAAGTCCACATGATATAAATCAATGAATAAATTGGAGAGAAGGGAAAGCTCTACCTTTTAGGGTAATGCCAACCAACAAATGTAAAAGGAATGATGGAATTAGAAAATCTGTATTTGGCAATCATTGTGGTACTGATTGATTCAGGTGAACATCTTCAATGGATGCTAAAACTAGTGAGTGAAAGTTGGATGATCTCTCTACAAGATACTTATTAACTACAAGGGGCAAAAAGAATAACCATAAAAGTGGAGAAGCCTCGTGATAATACCTAATCAATTGACCAAAGCCCCAGCCAGCAACTGGACAAATCAAAACTGTGTGACACCTGATAAGATGCAAGAAGACAATCTCTCTTTTGTGGTGTTCTTGCCAAAAAGGTACAATCTGAATCTAATAAAAAGGAAACATCAGGCAAACCCAAATTGAGGAACAGTCTACAAAATAACTGACCTGAAGTGTTCAAAAATGTTAAAGTAATTAAAGTCAAGAAAGACAAACTTCTTTTAAGAGTGGTGGAGACTAAAGAGACGTAACAAAATGCAATGTGAGCACTTGACTATGAAGGACACTGATGGGACAACTGGCAACTTGAACGGGGTCTGTGGGTTAGATGGTAATATACCAGTGTTAATTTCCTGGTTTTGATCACTGTGTTGTGGTTAAGTAAAAGAATGTCCTTGTTTGTAGAAATTACACACTGAAGCCTTTAAGATCATGAGACAGCACTGGCTCCATGGTTCAGGGAAAAAGGTTCTTTGTACTTTAACTTTTCCTGTAAGTTTGGAATTATTTCAAAATTTAAAAATTCAAAATAGAATCATAAAAGTAATATTTTTCATAATAAACAAGGGTAGCCTTTGTTAAAAAATCAGAAAAGCTGATATCAAAGTTCATTCTCTTATGTGGACTTAAAAATCAAAGAATAATTAGCTCCAAAAGAAAAGATTTGCCAAGTAAGATGTTTTTCTCTTACAAAATGGAAATTTAACTTCTAAATTTACTTCACATAACTTGCAAATGTAACCGGTTTTCTTACTTGGACATTTTTCATTTTACCAACTTTATTTTCTTTTGACTTTTCCAGGTATTCAGAGTTGATGTTTTTCCTAAAATAAACCACAGACTATATTTGGGACTATATAAGAGATACTAAGAAGTACAAAGGGCTCTTTCTCTTAAGTGTTATGAAAAAGACTTTGAATTTAAATAAAGCTTACAAAGAAATCATAAAACTAATTTTAAAATGCTTTTATGTAGGCAAAAGGGAAACTATAGTACTCTCACTACTTAATATTTCCAGTTCTGCCTAAAACAAAGACATACATTAATTTTTAACAATCTTTGTCTCAAAATTCTAGGAACATTTGGAAGAAGTATTTAAAGCTAATGCTT
Source organism: Homo sapiens (assembly GCF_000001405.40). NCBI lineage: Eukaryota > Metazoa > Chordata > Mammalia > Primates > Hominidae > Homo > Homo sapiens. Next base: position 60,940,572 of record NC_000002.12, read on the forward strand.
ACTCTTTGCGTGAAATTTTATATAATCTCAGGAATAGAAATTTAAGAAATAGAAATCTTCTCATTTCAGTTTGCTAAGCACATTCTTCATTCTTACATATTACAGGTCCACTAGATTCAAAGGTAAGCCAAAAATACCATGCAAAAGACTGCCTCCTAAATTATTTAAATCTCTTTTGTAGCAAAATTTTCCCAGAAACTGAGGAACATCCACACAGAAATTCTTACCTTTTTATCAAAAGTTTGTTATCCTTTTCTCATTTTCTGGGCCTTTCAATGCATTGGCATTGACAAGAGTGAAAAAATTATTTGCTGTTATTTGCATATCAAACACATGGTTTCAACGTGGTATGAAACTATGTTGGTTCCAACGTGGCTGACTCCTTTGTGTCCATTAAAACCATTTTCCTCATATCTAAAGTGAATCTTGGTATCTGTGATTTATGTTTAATATAGAGATGGGAAATGGTTAGTAATCTAATACTAGTCAAGTCACATGTATTCTTAAAAAAAGCTCAAATAGTTGAATTAGGGTGATGGAAATTATACTCAAATCTGAAATTGTAATGAGGCTCCTTTCTGAAACTTAAATGACCCATTCATTTTTTTTAGGTTTAGCTTAATGTTTTTCCTCTTCATAATACCAACTGAGGTTTAACTTAATAACAAATGGTAACTATATAAGATTGTATTAAATAGTCTTGGGCTATTTTTTGGTAAGCTCTTTGATTTGGTAACTACATTCCAAAAGTTAATTATCAGTTACATGAGTTTAAATGGCATCCATAGCTGCCCCTTCACACAAACAGGTGCTCAGTAATAGGGCTTATTAGAAAGACCCTAGAAACCAAGAAACTTCAGTTCTAGTCCTCAATATAGAAGTAGCTAACAATTTTGGATAAGTCATTTAACTTCTAGTCTTTGGTTTCCATATTTATAAAATGGAGACAATATCCTATCTACTTTAATAAGGTATTATTAAAATGTTTATAATTGGATAATATATTGAAGCATTCTGAAATAATACCAGTTCGTCTTTGTTTAGCAATCTCAATTTTTCAAATTCTTAACCCTGGGATTGAAGTTATTAAAGGCACTTGTTTCTCCTTATTTAAAAGATTTATGAAAGGCTCCTACCATGGCATGCCTTGGCTCCTACGGTTTTACTTTCCCTCCACAGGAAACCTATATTGACAATTTTAGATTGTCAAAATTCTTTCTTAATGAAAGTATTAATGAGAATTATTTCATTATTCATAGTTTGGTTAAGATTTATGACAAATCACAGCCAAAAGAACTTCATTGGTAATAGCTTGTTTGAGGCTTCCTGGGGAAAATAATGATGTCAGATTTGCATTTGCAATCTTAGACTATTATAGGATATTATGCTGCATAAATCTAGATATAACTTTTATTCAGATAATTTACAAAAATTAGAACATGATTTTAAAGGTGGTATATCTCTTGTGGAGGGAAATCTTGCTGAAATTACAGCTTCTTAGGTTAACAGAGAATGTGTCCTGTTTGTGCACCTCTCTAAATGAAAGAATTAAGGAGAATTATTTCATTATTCATAGTTTGGTTTGTGGGGGTGAAAGAGGGAATGAGAAAAATCCTAAGACATCCTTGGAACAATTTAACACAAAATATACACATATATAGATCCTGAGATGTTACAACAAATTAACAATTATATAGATCAACATGATCCAAATAGTTTTCAAGACACCGTTATGGTGGGTAAACAGCCATTTTACGGCATGTGCTCCATGGATGTCCACATCATGCCAGGAAAACCATACTCTTTGTCTCCAAATTTGAAAGCTAGTCATCCAGAGCAGGTGGCCAGTCAACATCTACAGACTAGAAGGGAGAAAAGAAGTCATTAAAACAGATATTACTGTTGTGGTAAGCATTTGCTGGTAATGCTGTATAAATTTAATAGTTTTAATATAGTGCAACAGAAGAAACTGCATTTGAAGAAAAGAGCTATTGAATACCATAAATTAACCCTCAAGTCTGTTCTAGGTATTCTTGGGCCTGAGGTCTTCTGAATTAATTGAGTAGCAGTATTTGGCTACTCAGTTGGTTATTAACTGTGCTTTTTGACTGATAAGAGAATACATTTAAATTTTTTAAATGGTATTTATGGGGCCAGGTGTGGTGGCTCACACCTTTAATCCCAGCACTTTGGGAGGCCGATCAATTATATAGATCAACATGATCAAGGTGGGCAGACCACTCAAAGTCAAGAGTTCAAGACCAGCCTGGCCAACATGGCAAAACCCCGTCTCCACTAAAAATGCAAAATTTAGCCAAGCATGGTGGCACACGCCTGTAGTCCTAGCTACTCAGGAAGCTGAGGCAGGAGAACAGCTTGAGCCCAGGAGGCAGAGGTTGCAGTGAGCCGAAATCACGCCACAGCACTCCAGCCTGGGTGACAGAATGAGACCCTATCTATCTCAGAAAAAAAAAAAAAAAAAAAAGTATTTATGGGTAAAAGTAGCAAACAAATTCAAGTGACCACCAATTTTCCCTCAGAAGTCTCAGAAACTTTTATTCTTCTGATCATTTTTATTCTCTCATCTTGCATTTAACAAATATTCAAGTAGTCTATAAGCCTATAGTCTTGTTGTAACACAGCAACAAAATGTGAAATAAATGATTATGAAAGATGACCTGGAACCAGAAAAGGATTAAGGATCTTTGTGCTTCAGTTCTGTAGAATTTCTGTTTCTTTAAAATCCAGTTCATCTATCTCTACTTACCTTTATTTTGTTCTTCTAGGACAAAACCTTGATCTTTGAGTCAGAATGAAATTACAGTAAACAGACTATTTGTCTCCACATAAACACATACCAGGTCTATCAAAGGCTAGGGGATCTACTTTAAGAGAAAGTTAAAAAAAAAAAAAAACCCACCGTATCTATCTGTGGCTTTTATTGACATTTAAAGTTTAAAACATAAAATTATTTACTGAAAATTTTTTCATTAATCCATGAGTCACTTCACGTACTGGCTTCAAAAAAAATTTATTAGAAAAGCCTAAATAGCTATGTGTGTGTGTGTCTTTTACAAATCTCAAGAAGATATTTTTGTTCTGTTTCAGAATATAGCCATATACCAAACACCCAAATGTAAATTAATGAGTGTTTTCTCAAGCTGAAAATAAAACATGACTGATCACAATCTTGTGTGTGTGTGTGTGTGTGTGTGTGTGTGTGGAGGGGAGGCAAGTTGTAGTGCTTAAAAAGCTCCACAAGTGATTCCAGTGGGCAGTCAGTGTTGAGAAACACTGGCCTGTGAGTCTTTGACACTCCTAACTGTTCTGAGAATTAAAGTAAAAAAAGATTAATGCAAGCCTGGGCAACACGGTGAGACCCCATCTCAACAACAACAACAACAAAAAAACGCCAGGCATAGTGGCTCATGCCTGTGGTCCCAGCTACTCGGGAGACTGAGGCAGGGGATCGCTTGAGCCCGAGAGGTCAGGGTTGCAGTGACCCGTGATCGCACCACTGCACTCCAGCCTGGGTGACAGTGCAAGACCCTGTCTCAAAAAAAAAAAAAGATGATGAGTAGAGATTTTCTTTAACAGAAGGTTTTCTTCCTCCAAATGATAGTTTCACTGAAGAGGCTCCCTGCAACCTTGAGGGCACGATCACTGGCTGTACTGCAGGAGCTAATCTAATCCCAGAGCACTTGAGAGAATTGCTGGTAAGGAAGTAATACTCCAGTGATCATTTGATTACCATAGATGTTTTCACATTGGGCAACTATGCCCACTTCTTTCTATAACTTTGATATTATTCCCAAGTACAAATCCCCAAGTCCTAAGATTCTGGGGAGAGGAGCGGGGGAGGTACTCTATTCCTAGTCAGATTTTCATGAAGAAACACCACTCGTGACTCAACACCTATTGATACTCAAATGAAATATTTATGGAGACTTGCCCGACAGAACCATTCTTACAATTACTTTAGAATTTAACCTTGTTTCAATTCAGACTGTAAGAGCAGAGAACTTGGACCACATCACAGGGGTCCTTATAGAACTGCTTTTATGAAGAACCATTGGCTCACCTCACTTTCTACCCTTGTGAATCCATGTTTCTGAATATGCTGCTTTAAAGTCTTTATAAAACGCAACAGGTATGGAAATGACTATTTCCGTGCTTGGTTTAAGGGTTTAGATTTGATACTACATGTAAAGCACAGTTAATAAATTAGCTATATATTTTCAAGGAACATAAATGAGACCTCATATTAAAAAAAAAAATCCGAAGACAGTCCCTCCCTTCAATACAATGTTACTGTGAGATTTTCACCATTCTCAAATACCTATGGAGGTGGGTGATACTAAAATGGCTTAATGCCAAAGAGCATAACTTTGGTTGAATTCAATTTGCCAATGTGCATTCCACAACAAAATGGTTTACCTCAACATCCAGCTCCAGAATGTCTGCAGTCACATTCATCAGGGACCCAATGTTTGGCTTGGTTCTCCCGAAGTCTCCATGTACAAACTCTTTAATGTAGCTGGGGTTTGTTTAAGGAAAAAATGAAGACAGCATGCTGTACCAACTATTTGGTAAGATTTGACAGGCAAAAATAATAATAAGAGCAGAAATGTTACAAAAGAAAGGTTACTTCTGAGCTCTGACTTGTGTGTCTTAAAAAATAAGCTTTGGCAATGTGGTCCCTAGTAGCCTGGCAGCCAACATCAGAGCCTGGGAAATGTGTTTACATCAAACTTACCAAAAATCATTACTTTCTTTTTTCTTTATAGCTCATCTCCAAGTGCCAAGGTTTGGATGTGGATTTTAAAAATTAACCATAGCTCAATGCTTTTATTAAAAAACAACTTTGCCACAATTTCTATGTTATTATCTTGTTAGTCCCATTTTTTTAATAATGGCAACTGTCACCTGCCAGATGGTAGGTTTCCACAGAGCCACACAGAGAGTGATCTCAATGATGGCATTCCTTGTAACATGACCCAGAGGCAATAGGGTGGAAGGAATAATGAGACTATTAGTTTAGTCTTAATGATGGCTCTTCGGAAGGATTACCAAAGACCTACCGTCTAGTTTGCTAACATGGTTAGCAAAAGAACTAAGTTAATTCTCTCTCTCTTTCTTAAAGGGGCAACTTTGTATTTCTCTCAAAATTGTATTTCAAATTTTGAAATCAATAACTAATTCTAGAATTTGTTTTTAAGATTAACATTCCTTACATAGGACTGTACTGCAGCTTTGACAATATTTATCTAAAAGATTTGTTTTTGCCAGAATTTGGTAAAAATGCAGCATTATGTTTTGTTCTACAAACCAGCATTTAGTAGAAAATAATTAATGGAACTTGAATAGAGAAATAAATTTGTTTCCAGATGATGAAAAATCTATATTATAATATGCTGATATTATGTCCTCACTTTCTGAACGTTTTACTCACTCTACCTTTGCCAAATGTTTTGACTAAAGCATAAGACATATAATTATCTAGTAACTGTGTTTTTTGGTAAACTCACAACTACCCAACAATTATTATCCATTTTCTCTCATTTTCTTTAAAGAATCCCCTTCTGCGTAGCAATGATGAGGAGAGAAAACCAAATAGCCCCAGAATAACCAGTTAAAATGTCCAGAGAGGTTCTTATTCCTAACCAGAGGGACAAGGTTTAAGTCAAATGAGCTAGCTCAGTGCAGTGATCAATGTAAATATATAAGGTATATATAAAGTAAATTTAGTAAGTGAAAAATTAATATACTTCTGTGTATAACCATGTGGCATCTAAAGCTTTAACACATAGTCTTTCTTGGCTAATACCTTAAGTACATGTACATGGCTTGTCCTAAAAATGTTTTAATAGGATTGAAAAGACATCAAATTCTACAAAAGACATTTCTCCTTGGCCCACCAGAACTAAAGGCCAGGATTAGGTAAGAAGACTTTTAAAAATATATACATGATTTGAAATTCCATCCATGATAGGCAAATATGCTCCAAACAACAAAGATACAAAGATCTGTCCACTGGAGTCTAAATTGATCATCCTTTGATCCAAATTACAAAATTTAGAAGATTTTAAGAGTAGATAACCTATACTTGGCTTAGCTGAGTAAATCCAGGTCCTGGGGTGGGGCAGGGGAAGAAGTGAATGCAGGCTGGTGGGGAAGGACAGGCAGACTAGTTACAGCAATATAGTAAGAATGGTATTTGGTGATTAAAACTTGCTTTTTTCCCATATATATATATCTAGTGTGTGTGTGTAATATATATATATAGACACACACACACACACATACAATAGTACATTAGTTCTATACCAGTTAGAAGGTATTTTGTCACTTCATGCTATTGGATCACAGAATAATATAAAACCAAGAAACAAACAAAAACTAGGAAGACCTTCAAAAAGTAAACTAAAGCTAAGCCTATTGGAGCTCCCTGATATATTTTAATCAGCGACTCAGTTCTGATACAAAAATCATACAAGTCAGGTTAGATTACGAACAAATTATCAGCCTTGGACTATAGATATTTTAACTCTGAATCTCAACCTTTCTGTAACACAGTCAAAGCTCTTTGCAGTCTGAAAATGGTGCTAACTAACTAATGATATGTCATCTGAATCGTTTTGTTTTTGTTTTTTTTTCACAAGGCACGTAGACAAAGATATTCTCTGTTGTACTAGGCCAGTGGCCAAGTAAAGATCCTGATGTAAAGTAGTGCTATTCCCATCTACTACCTGTGTTTAATCATCTGAGGCAAATACTTGAAATGTTGAAAAGACCCAAATATGGTCATAAATACGTGACTTGCAAAAAATGTCAAGACAGCAAATGAATCCATCTTTCTGAGTACTATGTGCTCAGCATTGTGTAAGACACTACAATTATAGGAAACATAACTTTAAAGCTGACATTGAACTGACTGCTACCTCAGGGTTTAGAATCATTTTGAAAAACAAATTTAGGCCAGGCGCGGTGGCTCACGCCTGTAATCACAGCACTTCGGAAGGCCGAGGTGGGCGGATCACGAGGTCAGGAGATAGAGACCATCCTGGCTAACACGGTGAAACCCCGTCTTTACTAAAAATACAAAAAATTAGTCAGGCGTGGTGGCAGGCGCCTGTAGTCCCAGCTACTCGGGAGGCTGAGGCAGGAGAATGGCATGAACCCAGGAGGCGGAGCTTGCAGTAAGCCGAGATGGCGCCACCGCACTCCAGCCTGGGCGACAGAGCGAGACTCTGCCTCAAAAAAAAAAAAAAAAAAAAAAGAAAAGAAAAGAAAAAGAAAATTAAGTGGGAAAAAACCACATCCAACAAAGAAACAAACAAAAATATTCTTCTTCAGTATAATCCTTTCCCGAATCCCTCCCAGACCAAGCTGACCCTGTTTTCTAGGGGACCATGAACTTTTCCAATAGAGTTCTGGTTCGATGGCGGCAGTGCAGCAGGTGGAAGGATACGTGCCAGCCTGAGTTTTCAAGTGGAGGCGGAAGTGGTGCTCATCCACGTACTGTGTCTCCATGAAGTGAATGACGCGAGCTCGCACAGCCAGGGGCCTTCGGTGAAGGACGCGCAAAGGTGTTTTCTGGTCGATTTTTAAGTCCTAGGGGAGAATATGACACACAGTCCCAGAGTCAGAGCTTTGCCACCCAGTGAATCCTGTCTTAGCCCTTCCCTCACCATCCATAGCTCACCACAGATGCTTCCTTGAGAGAACTAAAATGAATTGTGTCCCCTTAGGTTCAAACTCTGTGGGACTTCTCATAACCCAGTCTATCATTACTCATTTCACACCGCCATGCCCGGCTGATTTTTGTATTTTTTTGATAGAGATGCGGTTTCACCATATCTGCCAGGCTAATCTCCAACTCCTGACCTCAGGTGATCTGCCCTCCTCAGCCTCCAAAGTGCTGGGATTACAGGTGTGCTCCACTGCGCCCCGTCGAGTTTGCGTGTTTTAGGGAGAACCACATACCTACTGTCAGGGGTGGGTTGTTTTGGTTTTTTTTTGGTGAAGGAAAAGGGTTATACAAAAGGATATGTCTGGAAAAGTTATGAATACATCTTGTTTAGGGTGACATTTCAATATAATAATTACAAATCGATGTGCATAATAAACCGGGACCTTTCAATGTTTGTTAGCCCAGCTTGCAACTAATAATACCGCATGTCTTTTTACATTTCAGATTTTTTAGGGACACAGGCTTGTTTTTCTCACAATTCGTTAGAGATTTTCTTTTATGTCACAAGATAAAAATTAAGAAATAGAGGTTAACGCTGTAAAAGGTCAACTAATTCCAAGTTTTAAAAATTGGGCGTAATCAGAAATTCAGATTCATAAGAACTGAATCCTCTTCATTTTCTTGTCGGAACAACTCTTCCTAATTTCCATGGTTCTTGAGTGCCGGAAGGCCTGCTAAGAAAGAAAGGTTTCTGTCTGGTCTCTCCTCTATCAAGTTCTCCACCAAGAAGAAAAGAGCAAGTTCTGACAAAGACCGCATTTGAAAGGGTGTGACTGCTTTTACCAAAGTGGTGAGTCAATGGCTCCTCCTAACTCTGTGGTTTTTATGATTCTTTGATTTTATTATAGAAACACTTTGTCCTGATGAGATAAGCTGTCTCCATAAGATCTGATTTTTCTCTGGTCAAAGAGACAAAAAAAAAATACATAAATAAAGGATAAGGCTGAACTGTGAAGAAATCTATAAAGACATGGCTTCCACTTTAGAGAAACAGCAGGCCTTTAAATTAACAACTATCTATGGAGTCCTCTCCCCTGCTTCCTTTACCTTTAGAGTTATTCCCAGTACTTTGACCATGAGACAGTTGGTCAATGGAAATACCACGAGCCACATGTCTTTTTTGGTTTGTTTGTTTTTAGTTGACAAAAGGAAACCACTTCATTTATTCTAACATTGCACTCCGCTGCTCCCATACTGCTGAGCTTTCAGAAGCACACAAACACACACATACGCTTGTTTTTGTTTTTTTTTTTAGAAATAAGATGCTCCTGAAGAGGGGATAAGTAGTAAATTTGAAATGACTTTTTCTCAGAATGGGGAATTTAGTCAGTTTTTATAATTTTTATGCCAACTGGAAAACTAAAAACATTATTTGAAATCAACTAGTTGCATCAGTCTACTTAGGCTATGGACCATTAAAAAAGACCCTTTCACCACTTAGTCTGTACCTATGAAAATCATCTTTCAGCCCAGGCTGGAGTGCAATGGCGCCATGATGGCTCACTGTGGCCTCGACCTCCTGGGCTCAAGCAATCCTCCTGCCTTGGCTTCCCAAAGTGTTGGGATTACAGACGTGAGCCACTGCCCCTGGCCTCAGCATTGTTTCTGAATTATCTCTATGGCTACCCTCAAACTATGAACCTATTTTTTTAATGAGTTTATTTTTCCCATGGCATTCTCAATGACTTGTACGACCCATGTGAAAGGCATAAAGAAATTTAAAAATTCATTTTGCAATCTTAAAGATATCTGTCTATATTATAACTACCATCCAAAGAACCTTACATAGTATGGCCAAAAGCCAAAGGGTCTTAGCTATAGAATCACAGATCTAAGAACTGGAGAGGCCATTGGAGATGATCTAGTCCATCTCCTCATTTTATAAATGACTTTCTTTAAGCAGGTGAATGATTTGTGTGTTTTTACCAAAATATTCACACTATAAACATTATTCTGCACTTTGCTTTTTTTCTCATGTCATAAGTGCTCCTATGAGTCATAGATATAGACATACGTCTATCTTTTTTCCCAGCATTTTTAGGCACATATGTACATACTAACATGTAAATTAAATAGGGTCATATGCTGGGTTTTGTTTTTGCTTTTGTTTTGAGACAGAGTCTCACTCTGTCCCCCAGGCTGGAGTGCTGTGGCGCGATCTCAGCTCACTGCAACCTCTGACCTCTGGGTTCAAGCTATTCTCATGCCTCATCTTCCCAAGTAGCTGGGACTACAGGCATGCGCCACCACACCTGGCTAATTTTTTGTATTTTCAGTAGATACGGGGTTTCACCATGTAGGCCAGGCTGGTCTCAAACTCCTGGCCTCAAGTGATCCAACCACCTCAGCCTCCTGAAGTGCTGGGATTACAGGTGTAAGCCACCATGCCCGGCCTGATTTTGTTTTTTTTAATAGCTGTATAATATCCCAGTTTACTCTACCATTTCCTTATTGAGGGACGCTGATTTTGTTCCCAGTCTTTTTGTTGTTGATTTTGCCACTTAAAGCCCTTAAACACCATGTACATATTCTTATGCACTGGAGTTTTATTTCTACAGGACAGTTCAGTATATTTTAAATTTTTGCAGTCATTACCATGTTGTTTTTGAAAAAGGCTGAAATACTACATTTCTACTGAGAACTCTCCTCCACTCCAACCCACTGATAGGTATTATTAGTCTAAGGGGAATAAAGTGATGTCTTAGTGTTACGTCAACCTTTTCAAATGATTCTTGGCCACTGTTCTTTTTGCAGCTAACTGGTTCATATCCTTTGTCTATTTTTATTTGTTCTGTGTTCATATTTTTCATGATAAGTATAAATCCTATTTATCGTATCTTTTGCCATACAATTTGTTTTCTACACAATCCTCTATATGTGTATACATATACATATATATGCGTTTGTGTGTGCTTAAATCAGCAGTCCCCAACCTTTTTGGCACCAGGGACCAGTTTCTGGGAAGACAATTTTTCCATGAACTGAGGAAGGAGGGGATGGTTTTGGGATGATTCAAGCTCATTACATTTATTGTGCACTTTATTTCTATCATTATTACACTGTAATATATAATGAAATAATTTTACAGCTCACCATAATGTAGATTCAGTGGGAGCCCTGAGCTTGTTTTCCTGCAACTAGAGGGTCCAATCTGGGGATGATGAGGGACCCAGTGACGGATCATCAGGCATTAGATTTTCATAAGGAGCATGCAACCTAGATCCCTCGCACGTGTCATTTCCACGAGGGTTCGTGCTTTTATAAGAATCTAATGCCACCACTGAGGGAACAGAAGACAGAGCTCAGGTGGTAATGTGAGTGATAGGGAGCAGCTGTAAATATAGATGAAGCTTTGCTGTCTCATCTGCTGCTCATTTTCTGCTATGTGGCTAGATTCCTAACAGGTCACCAGCTGGTACCACCAGGGGGTTGGGAACCACTGGCTTAAATTAAAACATATCATCCTCTATAGAGTCTATACTTTTATTTTTTTCCTTAGCACTTACCAGAAACCTTTTCCTGTGTCAATAAATATTTATCTACCACATAATTTTCAATGGCTGAATAGTAGTGGTCCATTATACAGATAAGCCATTAATATTAAACCAGTTCCTTCTAGTAGGTCATCTAGGTTGTTGCAAAATATTGCCTATTTAAACAATGTGGTAACTATATGCATCTCTGTGCCCATGTATGCTCATTCCTTGCATTTGAAAGTAAACTATTTTTGGCCGGGCACGGTGCCTCATGCCTGTAGTCCCAGCACTTTGGGAGGCTGGGGCAGGCGGATGACAAGGTCAGGAGTTTGAGACCAGCCAGGCCAACATGGCAAAACCCCATCTCTACTAAAAATACAAAAATTAACCAGGTGTGGTGGTGGGCGCCTATAATCTCCGCTACCCAGGAGGCTGAGGCAGGAGAATCGCTTGAACCCAGGAGGCGGAGGTTGCAGTGAGCTGAGATTGTGCCATTGCACTCCAGCCTGGGCGACAAGAGCAAGACTCTGTCTCAAAAAAAAAAAAAAAAAAGAAAAAAAGAAAGTAAACTATTTTTATAAGAAGAGGTGGGGGCAGATGGCAAGAAGTATGCACATGAACAGGCACTCTACCATGACATGCTCAGGTATAGGAAAATGTCACATGTGGCAAAATGCATGTGCTTTACATATATTGTCATGTGTTTTATTCATGTATTTAATCTCAGCATCAGTTCTATTAGATAAGTGCTATTTTATATTTATTTTTGACAAATGACCAAAGATAATAATAGCATTGCCAAGTGTTTCCTATGTGCCAGGTACTGTTCTAAGTGCTTTATCTAATTAAACTCATTTAATTATTTTAACTAATTTTATAGATGAAGAAATTGAAGCAGAAAGAGGTTAAGTAACTTGTCCAAAGTCACACAGCTCAGAAATGCAGATCCAGCATTTGCACCCAGGCAAACTGTCTTCAGAGTGGGGGTCTTCCCCACTGGCCACGCTGCCGCTCCAGGGGGTTAGATGAACTGCCCAGTCCTTCAGCTAGTCAGTGGCAGAACCAGGCTTGGAACCCAGGTCTTGCTGACCCCAAAGCCCATGCCCTGTGACTTGCTAGTAATAAATTAGAAGACAATGGGATCTTTGATAGGCAACAGAAAAATGAAATAAAAAGAATAAGCACACTTAAACTACCTTTATGTCATTTAGGAATTCAATGTCTTTCTTCTGTATCGCTTTATTTGTCCAAATTAAGGCACTGTAGGTCTTTGTCTTTTCTTCTTCACCTTCTTTCATATGTCCTATTGCCTCTCTAAACAAAAACAATTTTTAGAAGTTTGTCCAAATAAACAAAATACAAAAAAACCTTGCCCTGAATTAGCCTTTCTTTAAAAACAGTTTACATATAATTTCCCAGTTTTAACTGTACAATTCAATGATTTTTAGTATGTTTTCAGAGTTGTGCAGCTATTACCACAATCTAGTTTTAGAATACTTTCATCACCCTGAAAAAGAAACTTTGTACCCATTAGTGTCACTTCTCATTATTATTCTCCCCCAGCCCTAGACAACCATTAACTGACTTTGTATCTCTATAGATTTACCTATTCTGAACATTTCACATAATGAAATCATACAGTACGTGGTGCTTGGTGACTGGCTCCTTTCATTTCATAATGTTTTCAAGGCTCACCCAGCTTGCAGCATGTGTCAGGACTTCATTCCTTTTCATTACCAAATAATATTCCATTGTATGGATATATCACATTTTGTTTATTCATAGACACTTGGGTAGTTTTCCACTTCTTTGCTATTGTGAATAATGCTATTATAAATATTCATGTACAAGTCTTTGTGTGGATGTTTGTTTTCATTTCTCTTGTATATATAATATCTAGAAGTGGTTAAGATTTGCATTTCCCCAATGACTAATTATGTTGAGCATTTTTTCATATGTTAATTGGCTATTCCTATATCCTCCTTGGAGAAATGTCTACTTAATCATTTCCCCATTTGTAGTTGTGTTGTTAAGAGTTCTTTATATATTCTGGATGCAATTCCCTTATCAAGATATGTGACCTGCAACTAAAACGTCCCTTTTGAAATCATCTCCAATGAGCCTACTCTTACCTTGTGACAAGCTGCAAGTCACGTACTTGGATTTTGTTAGATGAGTTATTAATTTTCTGTAGTAGCAGAAAAAGAAAAACAATTAGCAAGTCTAGCTCAGTTACAGAATTGCAGAAACATGACGATTTCCATGGCATGAAGTGGTTTACCTGCTGAAGTTCCTTAATTTCTTGTGAAGTGAAATGTACTCTATGAGGATTCACCAGCTCAATTGCAAAGGGCCTTCCTGGCAGCACACACCCCGTCATGAAACAGAAACGTGTTGATGGAGTTAACATTTGGGCTAATGCAAGAGGGTTAGGAGGTGTGAAAAGTGGGTTGAGCTCTAGAGGACTGAAAGTTTAGTGACATGACTACATCTGAGGGAGGGAAGAATGTGTGAGAAGAATCAAGGGGCTTTTTGCAGGGCTGCTAAACCCCAGCACAGGCAATATGTGAAAATGACTGCTTCCCCAAAGGCCCATGAACAAGCCTGTGTTAATTACAAAACACAGTTTAAATAACCACTAATTAACTTAGTTACACTAATGTAAAGTTGTCACATGCAGCAATGCCCTGTTGAAATCCATCCTTCTAGCCTGATCCACTAGTGAAATGGAAAAGCTTTGGTTCCATGAGAGGAAGGAACTATAAGCCTCAAACAGTTCAGGATTAAATGTCATCATCTTTCTGGTAATGCAATAGGGTAAAATGAGAGACATGAAGGTTAAGACAGCAGAATCACTTTTTAAATGAAGATGTACATTCTGAAAACTGTACTGGTCCTTCTGAAATGTTATTAAATGAAAAAATTAATAATCAAACTTTTGGAAAAAAAATCAAGCACCTCTTTGTTAATGCACATGCAAGTCCCTTATAACCTATAGGTATGCAATCAGGATGGCCTCTGAAGAAATGATTCCTGTTAAGGTGTATTTCATATAATTCATAAAGGGGCCTCCATAATCCACAAAGCTTCCTCCCTTGGAGAAGCTCTGGGCCTTGCTCACTTTGTTTTTCACTGAGTGACTATGCTAAGCCTGCTGTCTAGAAAGGATGATAATCAGAAAGTTAGTTCTAATCAGGTGATGCTGTTGCAGTCTTACCATTTCCTAATGTTCTCACATCTACATCTTCTCTTCCAGAGGATGAAAAATTAAAACCTTTGAAAAGCAGATAAAGAAAAAAAAATTAGAGACATCATAGCTCTAAGATATTCATTCCCAACCTTTGCTAGAAACCCAACTGAAGGTCTTGAACAATCTATAGGAGAATCCCCAGGGAGAGTCATCATCCCACCTCTAATGTCAATCTCTACTAAAAATAGTAATGCTAATAGTAAACACCATTTATTGAGAACTTATTATATGCCAGGCATTGGACTAAAAATGTTATATATATAATTTAAATTTTATTTATTTATTTATTTATTTTTAGAAATGAGATCTTACTCTGTCACCCAGGCTGGAGTGCAGCAGCGTGATCATGGCCCACTGCAGCCTCAAACTCCTGGGCCCAATCAATCCTCTTGTCTCAGCCTCCCAAGTAGCTGGGATCACAAGTGCACACCAGCACACCTGGCTAATTTTTAAATTTTTGTAGAGATGAGGTCTTGCTTTGTTGCCCAGACTGGTCTTTAACTCCTGAATTCAAGCTATTCTCCTGCTTTGGCCTACCAAAGCACCGGGATTATAGGTGTGAGCCACTGCACCTGGACCATGTACTATTTAATCCTTATTATAACCTTATAAAGTAGGTATAAAATAAAAGAACACCAAGCTTCAGAAAAGTTAGGTAATGTTCCCAAGGTCACACAAGTAAATGGCAGAGCTAGGTGTTTCTGACGTTAAAATCCAACCTTAACTACCATCCCATGGGAACGCCAAGGCAGAGTCCTGTTTGGAAGAAGAGCCCACCACCCCTCTGGCCATAAGCGTATGGTGAAAACTCTATAATCTTTCTTTCTTTCCTTAGAACAAAGCAAAAACAGTCATTATTTAAGAATTAAACACCATGAAAGGAAAAGGAGGGAAAAAAAGGTTTGACTCTAAGAAGCAAATTCATTATATATGATTATACATGTCATGAAACCAAAGCTGGGACCATGACAGAACCAGCGTATGCTCTGCGATAAGTTGATCGTCACGGACTAAAAGCTGCAAATATTGGAAGGAGAAAATTAAAAAAAAAAAAAATGTAAGGGGCTTACACAACAACTTTTTTAGATATAGAACTAGGCCAGGCAGGATGTAGGAGTCTGTGAACCACTAAGTCCCAAAAAACTCTCCCTTCTGTGTTTACACTCCAGTGTGAAGTTACTAATAAATCCATAGCAATATCGGTATCTTCTAATCAGAGTCAACAGACTCAACCTGTAGTGCTAACAACAGATGGATGGCCATAGTTCAATGGTGAATTCAAAAAGGGCATCTGGGAAGCTGAAGATGCAGACTCCTTGGGGCTAGGATTTGTCTTACAGCTGCCCACCCCTGTCTCCCGGTCAGCCCCGTCAGGAAAACAGGGTGTCCACAGTGACTGAACAAGAACCTGTGACTGGCAGGGGTGAAGGGAATGAACAGGCCTCAAAGAAATAAGTCTACTAGTTACTGAAGGAGCAGAAATCTTAAATTCATAAGTCAGCCATAAAACTTCCCACAAATTCCAGCCCATCAGTAAGAAAGAGGTGTAGAAAGCTAGGCCCTTGAGAAGGCCACAAAAGCATTTGATTCAGACTAAAGGAGAAGCCATATTTACTGATCTTTTAGAAAAATGTTTCAAACCAGGCTGGGTGCGGTGGCTCACGCCTGTAATCCCAGCACTTTGGGAGGCTAAGGCAGGTGGATCACGAAGTCAGAAGATCGAGACCATCCTGGCTAACTTGGTGAAACCTGTCTCTACTAAAAATACAAAAAAATTAGCTGGGTGTGGTGGCGTGTGCCTGTAGTCCCAGCTACTTGGGAGGCTGAGGTAGGAGAATGGCGTGAACCTGGGAGGCTGAGCTTGCAGTGAGCCGAGATCACACCACTGCACTCCAGCCCGGGTGACAGAGCGAGACTCCATCTCAAAAAAAAAAAAAAAAAAAAAAAAAAGAAAGAAAAAAAAAGAAAAATGTTTCAAACCTGAAAATTAAGGAAACATCCTTGGACTCCAGAGTGAGAGAAACCTGGGAGGTAAACCTGAAAACTTATTAGTGTGCAATTATAAATAGCAGCTGACAAAAAAGGAAAAGAAGCCACTCCCTTAAGTATTAGAAAATACATGCTTAAAACTTGGTTGAGTTTTTTCAACTCCCATTATGCCTTGTCTCATCCCCCTAAGAAACAGTATCAAGGGCAAGAATGATCAGGAACTATAAGTGGTTCAGCTAATCTGCAGTGGTCCTCGTGTGCTGATGCCTGGAACGCGATGCACAAGCCTTGGACAAAGGATGCTGCAAGACCCATGACACACCTGCCCCCTGGCTGGCTCATAGCATTTATGATGGGTGGAGCTGGCTAGTGGGGGAACATGTAGTACCCCCAGCCCAGGCACTGTGGTGCCCAGAGCAACACTGGGTTAACACCACTGGGATGGCTACCTGTCACGGCCTGTGTAAACATAACACGGTGCTGTACCTTTATCCCAGATAATCGGCAGAACGTAAAAGCAGCCCTGCAATGGGTCTCACGGGAGATTAAGACAGTCAAGGGTTTTACTGATGACCCCCTGCAGAGATGGCGGGCATCCCTAGGCTCTAGCCTACGCTGTGCCCTGGTAGACATAAGTAGCATAGCTGGGATCCTAGTGGTGATCTGTTGCTCTCTGTATTGTTGTTGTGAGTTATGGACTCAGGGCTCTGCCCTATGGCCGTGTGTCCCTGCCCAGAGGACACCCTCAGCCCAGGGGGTGGAGTATAAGGGAAATGGCTGTGTTTTAGTCAGGAGTAGACTGAGGCAGGCTTCCAGCACAGCATGACTCAGTAGGTTTGGTGCACAGGTGCACAACCCCACACATTATGTAACCATGCCACGTGAGGCACATTAGGTGATCACTCACATGAACTTTTGCTTGGCTCGGAGCCACTATTGTCTGTAAAAGGTATAACTACCCTGCTGATGCTGTACATATGTCTCGTGCCTGGGCTTTTGCCCAGAGAGAGAGAATAAAGCCATGTCCAAAACTCCCTAAGATTCCTTAAGTGTTCTTTCAGCTGCCCACCACTCATCCGCCCACTCCTCTCGGTCTTCAGCTTGGGCTGGAACCTGACACTTGGCGTGACAGGTGGCCCCAAAAAGAATCCAAATGAAACTTTTTGTGCTAACGCTTTATTTTCATCCCTTCATAACCTGCATAAGTCTTATGTGATAATCCATTTGTAAATACCAAATTAAGCGGGTAAAAGCTCATGGCAAAGCCCAGGGTCTTTACTGCTAAGATTTTGGAAAATATTAGGGTGCTGGTATACTCTTTTTTCCATTCAGTAAACAATTCTTAAAGACCCTTAAAGAAGGGCCACCTCTGTGATAGGCAACAAATTATAAGAGGGATGTGGTTTGAAGTGTTTCTCTTTCCTCCTTGCAAGTCAGGGAGCTGGAAGGGTCAGCCATGTCTCATCTAGACCATGTGTTTGTCATTATCAAAGCATGCTTATCTTAAGGTCTTTCAGAGAGAAGGATGGATTTCTAGCTGGTCTGTCACAAAAAGGTTTTCTGGCTGAGTGTGGTGGTTCACGCCTGTAATCTCAGCGCTTTGAGAGGCCAAGGCAGATGGATTGCTTGAGCTCGGGAGTTTGAGACTAGCCTTGGCAACATGGCAAAACTCCATCTCCACAAAAAATACAAAAAAATTAGCCAGGCATGGTGGCACATGCCTGTAGTCCCAGCTACTTGGGAGGCTGAGGCAGGAGGATTGCTTAAGCCCAGGAGCTAAAGGCTGCAGTGAGCCGTGATCACACTACTACACTAGAGCCTGGGCAACAAAGTAAGACTCTGTCTCAAAAAAAAAAGGTTTTCTAATTATACTAGGAGCCTCATTCCAAAGAGTAATATCATCCATGCCCTGCAGTTTTTCCTGACGTGTAACACCATTTCCTGCAATTGAAATCACAAGACATTATGCTGCCTTTGACCTGACAGGCCTGTTGAGACAAGGAAAACATAAACCTGATGGAACCTGACTCATCCCATGAACCTGGGCTCGTTAATACCTAAATTCAAAAACATTACAGCTGCCATTCAGTCTTTGTAAAATGGCTGCTGTTGATTTACTTTCTCTAGGCCTGAACTTTATTCCAGGACACTTTACAGGTTAAGAGAGAAGCCAAACACTTGCCAGTGATTACTCTTGAAGAAGCACTGGATGTGGAAGATGTGTTTTAATTTCCTCATATTCCCCCAAAGAGGCCAAGGCTGAGGTGTACCAAGGTCAGGGCTTAGGTGCATTCATTTAAAGTAGTTTCAGTTGTTTTGAATTTCCCCAGGAGAGAACAGTCATTTTTCAAATTTATTTTTTATTTTTTTAGGCAGAGTCTCACTCTTTCGTCCAGGCTGGAGTGCAGTAGTGCGAGCTCAGCACACTGCAACCTCTGCCTCCTGGGTTCAAGCGATTCGTGCCTCAGCCTTCCAAGTAGCTGGGACTATTGGTGCGCACCACCATGCCCAGCTGATTTTTGTATTTTTAGTAGACACAGGGTCTCACCATGTTGCCCAGGCTGGTCTTGAATTCCTGGCTGCAAGTGATTCGCCCGCCTCAGCCACCCAGAGTGCTGGGATTGCAGGTGCGCACCACTGCACTCGGCAGAGCAATCATCTTGAGAGAGGACAGGCAGATATTCTCGAGTGCCTTGGCTGAAATCCAGCCCAGGCCAGCGGCACCCAGAACATGATGCCATAGGCACAGGAAGCCTATGGCCAAGAGGCCCAGACTTGGTAGTGATTAACAAAATATAGAAATCTTTCCTGCCACCCCCAAGAAATCTATTCATGAATGTCAGTGTATTAAATATATGGCCAAGTGCAGTGGCTCATGCCTATAATCCCAGCACTTTGGGAAGCCCAGGCAGGAGGATCACTTGAGCCCAGGAGTTCGAGACCAGCCTGGGCAACATAGTGAGACCCCCCAATCTCTAAAAATATGTTAAAAAATAACCGAGCATGGTGGTGCATACCTGTGGTCCCAGCTACTCAGGAGACTGAAATGGGAGGGTTGCTTGAGCCTGGGAGATTGAGGCTGCACTCCAGCCTGGGTGACAGGCTCTCTCAAAAAAAAAAAAAAAAAAAAGAGAGAGAGAATAAAATATGAAGATTAGGTCAGGTGGGGTGGCTCATGCCTATAATCCCAGGACTTTAGGAGGCCAAGGTGGGCAGATCGTTTGAGCCCAGGAAGTCAAGGCTGCCATAAGCTGTGATCGTGCTACTGCAATCTAGCCTAGTTGACAAAGCAAGCCCCTATCTCAAAAAAAAAAAAAAAAAGAAAGAAAAGTATGAAGATCGTAACACTTACTCTCTGCTTTAAATACTGCCAACAGATGATCTGAAATTAATTCTTCCACTGAAGATTCCAGCTTCCTTTCTCCATCAATTATCCAAGGAGTTTGTGGTAGATTCCTGGAGTATTTATTATATCTCCCTGAGAAAGAAATAATCAGATAGCCTGGATGGAATGGAGTAATTAACATGGTAGGATAAAAAGAGAAGCAACAACTATAAGGGCCAATATCCTAAGTGCTACGATATAAAACAAGGCCTATCCTTTACCTAACTAACAATCCAATTTGGAGACCTGGGACATATACATGTAGATAATTAAATAAAAAGGTTTAAAGTAACAATAAAATAGATGGGTAAATATATGATATGAATGGTACATCAAATGAGTTTGAAAGGAATGCTCAATATATTTAATTTGATTGGCTGACTAAACAAGTTATATAATATTATGAATATACCAAGGATAAAAAAAAAAAAAAAAAAACGCAACCAAACTTGCTTTTACACCTGATGAGTAAAGCTACAGTAAGGCAGGTAGCTTTCATTGCCCTAGGATAGGATATTATAGTCAAGGCTGAAGAGCAATTTCACTTCAGCTATTACTATAAAACAGTTGTAACTTTCAAACAAAAATTTGTCTGCCAGATTACCTTTTAGGAAAGTCAATGAACAATTTCTTTCCAGTGGAAGCCAAGTGTTTAGTCATTTTGGAGATAATAAGTTATTTTTTCAAGTTTGCTTTTATGTTATAAAATAGCCTCTGTCCTGCTGTTTTTCTCCAAACCAGTTTTGGGTCTCTGCATCTACCCATATTTCTACTTGGCCATCTCTGATGAGAACTATTAAAACCTAGGAAGTGTCATTTCCCTTTGGCATGGCATTTAAAATAACTGATCTCCTAAGTGATCCTTTAGAATGCCCACAAAACCTAAAATAAGTTTGGCTATTGATTCTACTTCTCAAGAGAGTAAACTTATTAGAATCTAATAACAACAATAAGAATAAAATAGAACAGGAGTCAGCTGAGTTTTTAGAAAGGAGAGTACGTTCACAGTGTATGTATATTCTAGACTAAATATTTTACCAGCCACAAAAACAGCACCATGAGCACATTCAATTTCAAGAACAGCGCATACAGCCTTTGGTGAGTTTGGAGGACAAGGAAACTGCCTGCAAAACAAAATAAATTTTATAGCTATTTTCCAGACATAATATTGAATCACAAAACTTAGATGAATCAGCATTGTCTGAGACATACACAGAGCCCAAGTCTCTCTCTAACTTTTAGTTTCGCAACAATACAGGTCTTGCAGGCCTGTGGAGTAACAATTTTAACATATGAGAGTGGCACTAAGTAAATAAGGGCTCTGCTGCTACCTTTCACCTTCGGGAGGACTTATCTTCCGAGGCAAAAACTGCAATTACTTTTGCACCAACCTAATACTTTCCAATAGCCTCAAGATTTGAGGGAAAAATCCATACATAGGAAGTGGAAGCCCCTTCAGGCTCTTTAACCATTTTGCTGTCCATGGTCATGTGCAGTTTACTGCTGACTCTACCCCCCTTATCACATCATCGTTTGAAATGTATTGAAGGATCTTCTGGAAAGAAAACTTACAGTAATATTTTATTTAATAAAATGAATGTACCAAGAATTAAAATGTAAGGTTTATTGCATTTATTTTATTTTAGCATATTTTAACAAGTGAGGAAACTCATGAGCCTTCCTCTCCCTTTTCTGGAGATGAACGATACTAGGAAATACAGGACTAAGGATGTAATAGGCATAGCACTGGGCTAGAATTTCAGGACATCTGGCTCCAGGTCTACTCTATTACTAGCTTAGGCAAGTCAACTCCTTCTTTGGACACACTACCCTCTTCTAAAAGATCAAGAAGTTAAACTTGATTCGGCCGGGCACGGTGGCTCACGCCTGTAATCCCAGCACTTTGGGAGGCCGAGGCGGGTGGATCACCTGAGGTCAGGAGTTCAAGACCAGCCTGGCCAACGTGGCGAAACCCTGTCTCTACTAAAAATACAAAAAATTAGCCGGGCAGTGGTGGTGCATGCCTATAATCCCAGCTACTTGGGAGGCTGAGGCAGGAGAATCACTAGAACCCGAGAGGCAGAGGTTGCAGTGAGCCGAGACTGCTCCACTGCACTCCAGCCTGGGCAACAAAAGTGAAACTCTGTCTCAAAAAAATAAATAAATAAATAAGTATTTTTTAAAAAAAAAAGACGTTAGACTTGATATTAATTTGACAAACATTTACTGAACACCACATATGCCAGGTACTGCACCATGGGTTGGAGAGATAACAATGACTAAGACACAATCCTGGCCCCTGAAATACATCATCTTGTTTCAGAGATAATCCAGCTTATCTCTAACATTCCCTTTATTCTAAAATTTCACGATGCTTCTTTGTTTCTAAACTTCTACTTACTTAAGGAAATCCTCTTCCTTTATCTTATTCAAGGCTTTCATAACTGCCATTCTAGTGAATACAGACTATATAGGGTAAAATGAGAAGAAAAGACATTTTATTATCCAGACAAGAAAACATCAGACGTGAAACACAGAACATGGCTGGAGAAATTGTATCATTTCATTATATCATTTCATATACTTAACATGGAGAAATACTTAAGCATTTCAAGAAAATAAATAAAACTTAAGCATTCATGTCAGTTCTGCAACTGGCATACCTCTGTAACCCTTCTCTTCAATCTGGTCTTTGTCTATAATAACAGGCAGATCTAGCAGAACAGGTCTTCTTCACCACACTGTCCCACTTCTCTCAAATTATGGTATAATTCAAATACAAAACATGATGACACTGTAGGAAGTGTGATTTAATTTTTTTTCCCTTGACTTCAACAGGAATTTAGATTGATTCAGCTACCTTTTCTTTCCTACATCCCTTCAGAGGCCACAGTATGTAATTTAGGAGTTGGCTGCCAGGGTAAGGGATAAAGCAGAGCCAACCTGCCAGCCCTGGCATCTAGCAACTCAGTCTCACTCACCAGCCACAGAGTAAGCAAATCCACTGTACTGAACAGAAGGGCATCTACAACAAATGTTCCACTTGGATTTTTTAAGATAAGAAAAGCCAAACTGCACAGTAGACACACTAGAACTAATTAGTGCATATATACATGGCTTACCATGATAAATCACAATTAGTTCTTCTGTTAGGAGAAATCACATTTGACTGAAAAGGATTACAGTGTAGGCAGCTCAACAGTATATCACCAAAGGAATAATTTTTTCAAAACCATATTCTAGGGAACACTATGGCATTCTATAAGATACCATAGGGTTACAACTGAAAATTAAGTGCCTGTTTGATAAGATATGAAATCTTAGGCTTGAAAAAAATCTCAAAAAGTCATTCAATTTGCTCCCAGCCATGAGGCAAGAAAACTATACTTCAGACTCTACAACTCCCACTGGCCAATGGTGTGGTGTCTATGATGCTTTAACAAAAATCTCCTTATCCTATTACTTGATGCCTATTATTATATTTCCTTAAGGGTAAATAAAATAAAACTAGGTCTTCAATGTAGATACATCTTACAGGTTATTTGGGCAGAGCTTCCCAACTGGCATAGCAAAGCAGTGGACTATGGTTGTGCCAAGATGTTGATCTCTTTAGTTCAGAAGGGTTGCTGGGCAGGGCCTCAGACAGTGGAAACCCCAGGCCTGTTGCTACCAATCTGAAGCAACTCCATCCTGTTAAGCTCAGGGTGCTGAACAAACATGGAATGTTTTAGATGTGCCATGATATAAGAAAAGTAGGGAGGTGCTGCTTTCGGCTTGGTCTGCATTTCTAATTATTTCTGCACAGGGCATTAGGCAAATGTTACAAACTTCTTTCCCCCAGTTCTAAAAGGCCCAGCAATTAGTCAAAGCAAGAGGCAAAACCAACAGATGTACATTTGACAATGAGCTTATGTTCTTTTTAACAATCACAACAACAAAATGAATGTCAGTAAAACTGTAGGAATGCCTAAGTCTACGTACCAAACCACCTACGAAACTGATGCATGAAAGATGACCAATATCGCACCACATCATTCTATCCTGACATGATACGAGCTAAGAGTGTATGTTAACTAACTTGTCCGTTAACATGAAGATTAGCTAACATTAAGATGATAAAGAAGAGTTTGAATAAAAATGCCCTTTTTGCAAATGTAGCCAGAAAGAGGACATGTTAATTCAGGACTGTCCTAAATAAAACAACTTACTTTGAATTATATATTCTAAACATTGATTTCTGGAAAATGGATATTAGCTGAAAGTTTGGAATGCTACTGATACTTACCATTGATTTTCTCAGATGATGTAATTTGAGGGATTAAAATCTAAACGTCGAATTTAATGAGTAATAGTAACATCACTGAAACACTGATTCTAAATTTAACATCGTCAGGGGAACAATCTAGACACTACACAAACATGAGGATGTTTGTGTGCTACAACTTCCTAGCCAGAGGTGAAGGTTGAAAAAGTTGAAAAACAAAAATTAATGTAGCAAATGGAAATATTTAAAAGCTGATTCTTAGTATAATAGAGTTGCCATGTTTCTGATGCATATCCTTTTTGTTGGAAATTTGAATATTCAGCTCAGACAAAACTCACTCAAGACTAAGAAGCGGGAACCTTTCCTTACCTGTTTGTTTTTGGCTGGCTTAAAACAATCTGGGCATATCGCAGCTCTAAAATAAAATTCAAGTTAATATAAAAGGTTAATGAGTTTATTTTGGGGTAGATATAATTCAAATATATTTCATACAAAATGGCTGCTAAACTCAGGACATCAGGAGCAGACAAAATGAGTCCCTGTATGAGCTATATCGGTTTGCCCAGGAACTATGTTCAAGGACACATTTTATTTTTTTGAGGGCACATTTTAAACCTACTAAGACATAACAAGTTCTTCTCTTTCTTATTAGGAAGAGAAGCAATACTATTTTCATGAAAACCAAACAGCATTAACAATTTTACACCATTGACGTTGTTTACATGGCAACTTACAGGAAGTGGCAATCCTCAACTGTTTCTGGGTGAGCAAAGACCACACTCACTTCAAACAAGCTCTAAAAATTATAAAGACAGTTTAAAAATGAGCAAAAGGAAACTAACATCTAACAACTTATTAATGGAAATAGAAATTAATTCTCAAAGATTGGCTCAGAAAAGAATGACCAGAAAAACTGGAAATACTACTGCTCTCAAATCAACTTGTTATCAGGGCAGCTGTAAAGGAAATAGTTTTGTTTTTTTTTTTAACTTCTAAAACTCAGTCATTAGTGATCCTACCAAAAAAGTTTTAAAATAAATGTGTATACTTTTTGGACAAATGTGTAAATTAGGTATAAAGATGAATGAGAATTTACAGAATTGAAAATAAATAATAACAGAGAGAAATGAAGAATTATTCTGCCAATACTATGATTTGAATTATTAGCAAGGCAAAAAACATACTATTCAGATCCCTAAAAACCATATGAAGCTTCTTTTTAAAGTGCTCAAACGTCTTAATGGATTTGAGTTTTAAAACCAGATCTTAATTTTTTTTGTTTTATTACAAAAATTATACACATAAATTATAAAATGATCAAATACAAGACAGTTTTTCAATCCCACGCCACTGAAGCAGAACCATTAACAATTTGATGTTTCTTTCTAGGCATTTTTGTGAATATAAATGTATATGTATTATTTTTTAAGACATGCTTTTGGAAAATTGCTTTAATATTATATCATGGAAATCTTTTCAACTCTAGGGACTGTCAGACATTTAAGCTGTAGAAAATTTTTCTGTAACAAAAAAAAAATGCTATAATGAACATCCTTGTACACCAAAAAAAGCATGATTTTATACTTTTACCTCCATGGAGAATATACAAAATTCCATATCGGGGAGGGGTCAGGGGCAGGAATAGCTAAAAATGCCATACTATGTTGCAATTTTGTCTTTATATTTACTGAGTTCATTGGATAGTTAGTAGACCTATTAGCTACTCTAGAATCACAATAATGAATAGCTTTTTTTTTCTCGCTCCTTATTCTAATCTATACAATAATTAAAATGAACAACGCATTCCTTTTATTCAGGGAAACTTCACTCAACCCACATCTTTTGTTTTCTATTTTCTGTTCTCACTGATACAACATGTAAAATTATTTGTGCTTCAAAACTGAAATTTGAGGTAAAAATATTTTGCATTAATGACTTCTCTAACTTCCAAAATACTTTCATTACCTCATTTCCTCTTCATGCTATCTGTGAAGTGGTTTTATTCTCTATTCTCTCAATACTCGGTTTACAGAACAGAGCATATTCTTACAGAAGGAAATATTACTGCATAATTCAGAATGGTTTTGAAAAACTGTTTAGCTTTAGTAGATGGTTTTGTGATTTTATTTGAATAGGGGTGTATCTGATATTCAGGGAATTTCCTTCTAGCAAAATGATGAAGCAATGAGGCCATAATATTAAAATCTAATTTAAGATGACCTTCCTGTTTTCACACCTGGAAGCCTGTTGAGTCTTCCCTGAAAGTCAACCCATTTCAGAGACTGAGGTAAGGTCTGCTCTGGAAAAGGGAAATGTTCTGTTTTCAAAGGCAGTTACTGCCTAAAAGTAAACAGGGGGATTTGAGATACCAACAAGGTAGGATTGAGCCCATACTCATTGTAGTTGAATAGGTTCTGTCCATGCATTTGAAAACAAGATTAGCCACAGATAAACCAAAATTAAATAGTCCAGAGTTGACTCTATATTTGCTTGCAGTTATTTATATGTTGCTTTGCATCAAGTCTGATGCTTTGCATCAAGGCAAAGATTCATTTCTAACCTTTTAAGGTCAATTAGGGCACCTGGTACCTTCATAAGTGTCTTAGATCATAAAGAAGTCTAAGGGAAAAAGAAAAAAAGAAATGCTTTGACTTCAATTTAAGACTATCAGAATTTAACATTTTAAAAGCTTAAAAAATCCTTCACTGGATTATTTAAAAAGAAGTTTTTTTGGCTAACCAAAACCCTGCCATATAATTAAGTAAAACTAGTAAAATCAGAGAATAAAATTAACAATGCTGTTGACCCAATACCTTTCCATCAATGGGAACACCCAGTTCCTCTGAAAACAGGGGGTGAGTTATCCATTTGTAGGCTTCTTTTAGCTGAACTATATCATCTCTTCCCAGCGACAGACTCTGCTTTCTGAATAACATAAAAATTAATTCACTGACATGAAAAACTTTACTTTTTCTATTAAAGGCAAGAATTTATGCAATTATTTTTAAAATATTGATTGAGTGCCTAGTATGTACCAGGCACTATTCTACACATTAAATAGAAAGCAGAGAACAAAGCAGACAAAAATTCCTCACCTCATGGACCTTATACTCTAGTGGAATCATGGAATTACTTTTTTTAATGGCATATAACACAATTTTTAAAGCTTCAAAGTCAAAAGCACACTATGGGTTTTTCTAAGCTAGAATTGCCAGATTCCAGGATTTATACATCAGAAGACAGAAAGATGGGATAGAGATGATTGGTTTACTGCTCACAAACTATAAAACTGTGTATTACAATAATCACATCCACATTTTAATGCTTGCTTTTCCCCTCTTGTTGAAAATGGGGCTTACTTTTGGGAAATCAACAAAGAAGCTGTACTTTTTAAAAAACTTTACTGCTGAAGAAGAAATATTAAATCCTAAAGTATCAATGTTCTGAAATGCTCATCAATGTATTATCAGATAAATAGCTGAATAAAAATTTGACATTCCCCCAAAATATACTCATGAGACAATAAATAGGTTTTGGGAAGTCCCTTTTATAAATTATAGCTTTAGTTTGTAACCTAAAATTGTGATAGAAAGGAACTTGAGATAAAAGGGATGAAAAACATGGTGTGGTATTATTAAAACTCCTCTACTCTGCTGAGAACACTGGGATATTACTAACAAACTAACAAGCCCACGTCATTCAAATAATTAAAACTTCAAACCAGCCTTATGGCGATTTATAGGGCTGCTTTTAATGAAAGAGATGTAAGGGCCAACTTATGCATCATCCCTTTTAATGCCCAATTTTCACTGATAGAAATTACTCCTTATAGGCAACATCCATTGTAATTTAAGACCAAAAGACACTACTAACCACAGGTTAAAAACAAAAAGTAATTAAGCTAATGGCTGAATTTAGTTGATCAGAAAAAAAAAAGAATATGCAGATCACTATTCCTCTAAAAATGCAAAATAAGAAATAGTTGATCCAAAAAAAAATAAAAAAAAGAAAGAAGTAGTTGATCTACCCATTCTGTATCCAGCTGAGAATATAACTTGTTACAGAGAGAGCTTTCATATGGTTTGGGATTGTGATTTAACATTGAAATACCCAGATAAACTCTACATCTGACAAATAATCAAATTATTTCTCTACATCCAAGAACTTATTCAAATACTGTGTGAGCTTCATAAACTGTTCCTAATTCTCTGAATATTAGAAAGATTTTAGGTATTTTAAAAGACTATCCTGATACTGTGTCAACAGTTCAACTATTTAATATTTGCACAAAATAGCATCACAGTTGAAAGTAAATAATATATGAAAATACATTTTAAAGAATAAACGTTGAAACAGAAAACACAAGAATGGAAACAATTTTTAAAACTGTTTACATTCTGGAAAGTCCAAAGGGTTGTTACAAAAGCGAATCCCAAAAATGAGTTAAAACATTATTTAAGAAAACCAGTGTTTTAAATCCTTCACAGTCTTTGAAATATATTTAGTGCATTTGAGTCCAGTTTAAAAACTTCAACCATAGGTATTTTTTCCCTCCAGATTATAGAGCCAGAGGAAAAGGTTAACAGACAGCTTGGAAACCTCATCCTTATATATAAAGCAAATATACTACTTAAAATGCCAGATTTCCAATCCTGAAAGTTAAATGCAGCTAATAAGTTTCCTAATACAATTTGGGCTAAATATCTTCACAGAGGTCCCTAGCATATACCTGATTGTCCTTTAGAGGGACTAGTACTCATTAAAGTAAATTCAGTCCCCATTTCATACTTAGTAACTACACTTCTCTTTCTCTTCTCTGTCAGATAAGTGCTTATGAGGGTGTCAGTTGCAATCACTTTTGCTGTAGATACAACACAACAACCATTCTAAAGAAAAGATGAACCAGAGTATGCAAGGCAATTAATTTTTTTTGTAAGTTCCCTAAATCAATTCTTTAACAGCAATTCCTCCACAATCTTTTCAACCCAGAATGAACTAGGGACACTGAGGGAAAAGAACAATGACCTGTGTTTTTTTCTGTTCCATTATCCCTATATCAGTCAGAATCTTTTGGAAGAACTAAACTTAGTTTAAAATCCTTTGATAAGAAATAAAAAGCCGGGAGCAGTGGCTCATGCCTGTAATCCCAGCACTTTGGGAGGCCGAGGCATGTGGATCACCTGAGGTCAGGAGTTAAGAGACCAGCGTGGCCAACATGGTGAAACCCTGTGTCTACTAAAAATACAAAAAAAATTAACCAGGCATGGTGGTGCATGCCTGTAATCCCAAGCTAGTTGGGAGGCTGAGGCAGGAGAATCACTTGAACCTGGGAGGCAGAGGTTGCAATTAGCCGAGATTGCACCACTGCCTGGGCAACAGGGGTGAAACTACGTTTAAAAAAAAAAACAAAACCCGAAATAAAAACAGTAACTCATTAGCAACATAGATATAAATTGAAAACATTTAGAAAAAAGCATGCTCTGACTATGCTAGCAAATTTCTAAAAACATAGGATCAAGTTTTATTACACCAGAATCTAAACCATTTGAGACTAATTTAATAAGATCTAACGAAACCCCCAAACCTTATGTAGTTATTACCCTTTTGAAAATGCAGATATATAACACAAAACAAACAAAAAAGCCAAATTAATTATTTTTCTATAAGTCACTTAACCAAGTATGAGATTCTAAAACAGAAATTTATGCTTCTTCCTGGATTTTTCTCTCCAGAGTACATAGGTACTGCCAACAGTCATATGGCCCTTTTTTTTACTGGTATGTTTTAGTTTCAAATGCCAAAATATTCTGGAGAATTAAAAAAAATTTTTAAATTCAGTTGGGAATCAAATCCTGATTTGAAGGAGGCGATTTAGAGACTTTATCAAACTTACTATGAATATTCATATGTTTTGTTGCAGAAATATTAATATGTTTGATTATGTAGTACCACCCCAGAGCCTGGGCGGGGGAGGGGACGGAAATGATATACATGATCTCTAACATCATATCACATTTTAAAAATCCAAAAATTTTATATTTCAAAACACTTTTGGCCTCCAAGTGTTTCAGATAAAGGATTGTGAATCTATGTTTTCTATGTCTTACCTATGTGTAAACTCACTGTTGTTCCACCAGTTATTTACTTTTTATCTTTTATGACATAGTTTTATAGTTTAGTTTCTAAGACCAATATAAAATTTATTTTTAGGCTGCATGCTGTGGCTCGTGCCTGTAATCCCACCACTTTGGGAGGCCGAGGCGGGTGAATCACCTGAGATCAGGAGTTCAAGACCAGCCTGGACAACATGGTGAAACCCCATCTCTACTAAAAATACAAAAATTAGCCAGGCATGGTGGCAGGCTCCTGTAATCCCAGTTACTTGGGAGGCTGAGGCAGGAGAATCGCTTGAACCAGCGAGGTGGAGGTTGCAGTGAGCTGAGATCACACCACTGCACTCCAGCCTGGGTGACAGAACAAGACTCCACCTCAAAAAAAAAAAATAATAATAATAAATAAAATTTATTTTTAAAAAATAACTGCCCAAACTACATTACATAAGTGCCTAATGCATATAAAACATGTATTTACATTCATATTAAAACACACAAAAAATGAACCTGCTTTAATAAACTACTAATATGCTATGCAAATAAACTAATGAAACAAGATTGATACCCTAAATGTATAGAATAAAAATTGGTTCTTTGTGCTAATTTCTCTAGTAGCTAGTGAATGCACTATAAAAATAGAGATTGTAGTAGTAAAAGTGCTTTAAGAACCAGGTAGCTTGTATTTGAATGGTAGTAAAAATTCCCTACCTAAATTACTTACCCCATTTCCTGTTTTACCAGCAACCATGCAGCATGCTGTAGGCAATTTAGTCACACCCAGAAAGAGAAAAGGGGGAAACATGTTCAGTGAAATTAAGTCTCAATATCATTACTGAAGTGCTTAACTATTTGCTAATCAAACTCCCCTTTTTAGGTGACGAGTTAGTATTCAAAAATTTACCAGTGACCTCAGTCTCATTTAAAATCAAAAATGAGGTAAGATTTTATTTTGCAATGGTGGTTTACTGTGGCCTAGGAATTCAGCCGGGGTATCCCCCTCCTCCTTACAGATTTCTATTTCTCATTAATGAGGTATGAGTGTTTCTTTTTCTTTCTTTCTTCTCTTTTTTTTTTTTTTTTTTTTTTTGAGACGGAGTCTCGCTCTGTCACCCAAGCTGGAGTGTACTGGCAGGATCTCAGCTCACTGCAACCTCTGCTTCCTAGGTTCAAGATATTCTTCTGCCTCAGTCTTCTGAGTAGCTGGTATTACAAATGCCTGCCACCACACTCGGCTAACTTGTGTTTTTAGTAGAGACGGGTTTTCACCATGTTGGCCAGGCTGGTCTCGAACTCCTGACATCAAGTGATCCGCCCACCTCGGCCTCCCAAAGTGCTGGGATTACAGGCGTGAGCCACCGCGCCCAGCCCGCATTTAATCTGGGCCAGGCGCGCTGGCTCACGCCTGTAATCCCAGCACTTTGGGAGGCCGAGGTGGGCGGATCACGACGTCAGGAGATCGAGACCATCCTGGCTAACACGGTGAAACCCCGTCTCTACTGAAAAAAAAAGTACAAAAAAATTAGCCGGGCGTGGAGGCGGGCGCCCGTAGTCCCAGCTACTTGAGAGGCTGAGGCAGGATAATGGCGTGAACCCGGGAGGCGGAGCTTGCAGTGAGCCGAGATCGCGCCACTGCCCTCCAGCCTGGGCGACAGAGCGAGACACCGTTTCAAGAAAAAAAAAAGAAAAAAAAGAAATGTATGCCAAATGCTTTGCATAGTAAGTGACTGACACTGAGATTTCTGTTTCCTGTTAGACTCCCACAGCTTTCACCTTAAAGAAAGGTAACGATATGTCCCCCACAGCACACAGCATTTTGTAAACATGACGGAAACATTGTATAAGTCAATAAATACCACATGTAGTCTGCTTCTACGTGTCACAAAAAAAGGCCAACGATTATCATTCACATCCACTTCAAGACACGGCTTAATTTATGGATATGCTGTGGTTCGTATGTAGACCTGTCCTTCTAAACTAACAGGACTTCCTTCGGATGACCAGTAGGGTACTCTATGGACTCCTAAAGACTGATGATCACTTGGAAAGATTAGCTGCATTAATTCTTTCAGACGTCAGCCAAGTAGAATAAATTAACCGCTAACTGGGCACAACCTGTTTCCAGTGATGGCAGTGTGGACCGTCCGGAGTAGCTGCTGCCATCAAGCCTGCTGCAGCCGGGAGGTGTGGGCGGTGGCGGCAGGAGGGGTTGTGGGAGCAGCAGTGGCGGCGGTGGGACCCCTGTGCTCCACATCCCCGAGGCAGCCAACTGTGCCACCTCTGCTCTCGCATGGCCGGCCAGGACCTGTTCTCAGGCCCAAAGCCTCCGTCCCGGCCTCAACCTCGCTCCCCATCACCATCTCAGGGGTCCACAAGCACCCGGCCAAAGGCACAGCCGGGACTCGTGGGGCCAGCCCTGAAAGTGTCGGGTTAATTTGCACGGGGTTGGCTGGGGCGGCCTCTGCTGTGGGGAAAACGCAAAGAGGCAGGCAGTCCCTGGAGTCTCACCCAACTTGCGGCTGTGGACCTAAGCATCTCTGCACTTTCAGGGACCCGGGAAGGCCCCCCCGTTGTCCCCACAGGCCTGGAGGGGTCTGCTCCCGCTCCCTGACCTCTCCCTGCTCCCAGTGCCTGCACCAATCTCGGAGAAGGGTTGGAGCCGAGCCTGGGCACTGTCGCAGCCCAGCCAGGTGTGTGCACACTCATGGCAGTGCTGACACGCCAGCCCCATGCTGCCTCAGCCCCCTGTAGACTTTGGGCACCAACAAGTACGGGAGGGAGGCCAAGGAGGGGCTGAGGGCAGTTTGGTGCTGGCCTGCAGGCGCCCCTTGGCAAGAACAGCCAGGGCGCCATGAACAGCAGCAGGAGGCAGAGAGGTTCCTGGGCAGAAAGCGGCAGGTCCACAGTGAAGCCCCACCTTCAAGCCAGGGAGGGCCTGAAGCCTGGGGGCTGGGCTGCCAGTCCCCGGGACAGGAGTAGGAACTTGTGGTCCTTTTTCCAGGCCCACCCATGGCTGCCCATGGACCAATTGGCACACACTTCCTCCCCTCTGAGGCCCATATAAAGCCCTGGACTCAGCCAGACCCAAAGAGATGAGGGGACAACCAACAGCAGAGAGGAGCTATCCACCCCAGAGTCTCTCTGCTGAGAGCTGAAGAAACGATAGGACGACCTGCCTGCAGAGAGGAGCTTTCCTCTCTGCTCAGAGCTGAAGAAATGACAGACGACCTGCCTGCAGAGAAGAGCTACCCTCTCTGCTGAGAGCTGAAGAATGACAGGACGACCTGCCTGCACAGAGGAGCTACTCTCTCTGCTGAGAGCTGAACACTTATCGGGACACCCTGGCTATGCAGAGGAGCTACCCTACCCACTGTGGGTCTTCTCTGAACTGTTCTACCACTTGATAAAGCTCCTTTTTTTTTTTTTTTTTTTTTTGGAGATGGAGTCTTGCTCTGTCACCAGGCTGGAGTGCAGTGGTGCGATACCAGCTCACTGCAACCTCCGCCTCCCGAGTTCAAGTGTTTCTCCTGCCTCAGCCTCTCAAGTAGCTGGGACTACAGGCGCGTGCCACCACGCCCATAAAGCTCCTTTTCATCTTGCTCATCCTCCACTTGTTTGCATACCTCATTCTTCCTGGACGCAAGACAAGAACTCAGGACCTGACAAATGGTGGGGCTAAAAGAGCTGTAAAACAAACAGGGCTGAAACACGCCCCTTGCTCACCACGGGGGACGAGAAGGAGAGAAGAGAGAGGAAGAGAAGAGCTGTGGCCGGGAACCCAGACCTAGGAGCTCCCTGAGCCAGGGCGTGACACCCTCTTTAGGGCTCTGCGGTTTCTAGCGTCTCCAAATTTCCAGGTGCCACCATATTCCCCGGGGTCAGCTGTGGAAGCTGTTTATGGTATTTCTGGTCCAGCCTCAGCTTCACAGGGAGCCATGACTGCGCGTGGAGCTGCCTGCCCCACTGCAGCCAGCGTGCCTGCTGTGTGCGATGGCTGGACCCCATGCTCACTCACACACCTCTCGCTGCTCCACGCCTGGCTTGCCCTTGGCAGGCATCAGACCCAGGCGTAGCGTGCCAGGCCGAGTGGACAGAACGAGCCTAGCGGGCTAGAGAAAAACTCGGGCAAAGACGCCACTGTCCACAGAGGTTTCCAGCTGGCGAAGCAACACCCCAAGGATCCCGTAACACCAGTGCCTGAATGTCTCACCAGTACCTTCTGATGTGTTAGTTTACTCTGCTAGCTCAACCTAATACATTTATAGTAGTAGTATTACAAGACCCCTTCCTTTTTTCCTTTCATTTATTAGAGCCTTATTTCAAAATGCATGGGCATAGTATCATGGTTCTGTTTGTTTGTTTGTTTGAGACGGAGCCTCACTCTGTCGCCCAGGCTGGAGTGCTATGGCGTGATCTCGGGTCACTGCAACCTCCACCTCCTGGGTTCAAGCAATCCTCCTGCCTCTGCCTCCCGAGTAGCTGGGACTACAGGTGCACGCCACCACACCCAGCTAATTTTTGTATTTTTAGTAGAGACAGGGTTTCACCTTGTTGGCCAGGATGGTCTCAGTATCTTGACCTCGTGATCCGCCCGCCTTGGCCTCCCAAAGTGCTACGATTATAGACATGAGCCACTGCACCCAGACAGTATCATAGTATTATAACACACAAATTACTATGAGTCAGAAAACCTAACTTTAGGTTTTACTTAATTTCTGGGACTCAACTTTCTAATGTGTAAAATGAGAGAATTACTAAGATGATTGTAATTTAAACTTTTCTGGATGCCTAAAGAAATCATTTATAGGCACTGTTATTAAACTGTTTTATAATAGACGACTGAGACCTATGGGACTTAGGGAGCATTCAAAAAAAAAAAAAAAAAAGAATAATGGTCTCCTAAAACTGAAACCTTGTAGTTAATTTTGTCCCGCCCTTCCTTCAGCCTCATTCTTTTTCTTTGTTTTTTTTCTTTTATTTTGAGACAGAGTCTCACTCTGTCACCCAGGCTGGAGTGCTGTAGCACGATCTCGGCTCACTGCACCCTCCTCCTCCCCGTTTCAAACGATTCTCCTGCCTCAGCCTCCTAAGTACCTGGGAGTACAGGCACCCGCCACCACATCCAGCTAATTTTTATATTTTTAGTAGAGACCGGGTTTCATCATGTTGGCCAGGCTGGTCTGAAACTCCTGACCTTAAGTGATCTGCCTACCTCGGCCTCTCAAAGTGCTGGGATTACAGGCATGAGCCACCTCTCCTGGCCCAGCCTCCTTCTTTAAGAGATCAATAAACACATGTCCTTATATATACAAAAATATTAATACTTCCCTTGCAGGACTATTGTGATGATTTAATGTGTTTGTAAAGACCCAAGTCATATTCCTGGCAAATACTGAATAAATGGTAATTAATACTGTTGTTGAACTGAAACCTTATCTGTACTTTACAAATAATAAAATTCAGATTTATACCTTAAAAGATTTACAGGACTTGATCTCATTCCGTCATATTTCCAAACTGCTTTGCTATAGCTAGTTCTGAAACCTCCCTCTTCAATGAAATCTGAGCTATAGAGAGCTATCTGTCTCTTCTTTAAGGAACCTCAGACTCTTCCGTCTTTTCTTAGTGACCTTTGTGTCTCTTCTTTTGAAGCAAACTCTGTTCTCTACAAGTCACTTCCAGGTGATGTCATCAAGTCTGCAATGTATCCCACCATCCTCTAATTATAAAGTAGGGCGGAACTGGAGGTTGCCAAGGGAAACCAGGTAACCATGTGTAACACATGAAATTAAATCAAATGTCTTTAGTATCTGAGACTTGTTAAATGGTTTTTCCTTCCAAAGCCTCTGCAGGCTCCCTGCTCCAGCATGCCAGCAGATTGGACAGAACTAACCACACAGCAGGGGCTTAAAGGCTGAATCTCAAATAAGTCAGCATTGCTGGATTATTCAATTGTTACCACAAGCTAATAATGCCCTGGACCTGCTTCTGGCAAGGAAAAAGAAGTATATTTCTCCCTTTCAAATCACCAAGATAATTTTGATAAATGTTCTGTCCCTTAGTGAATAGAAAAAAATCTATTCTCTAGAGTAAACAAAAAAATTTTTCCTCCCCAACAGAAGCAAATGGCATTAAAGTTATCAGGTTTAATCAAATTTGATACCAGAGGCAGTATGTCACCTCTGGAAAATTAAGAAAACACAATTTAATCCTGGACTATGTTTAACTTTATTGGAGAATGTTAGGCAAGTCCTAAATGGGGCAGTTGAATAAGTGCTTGCTAAAGTGCTTGTGTACTCTGCTAACACTAACACACACACCATAGACCAGAAGGTCTATGCCCGGGAATGGTGTTTGAGCTTTCTGAGTTAGAGGTTCATCTAGTACCAAATAATGAGAGTGGGTGACAGTAGGAACAGGGATTGAAGTTGATTCAAGCAGAGGTGATGGAGAAAGGATAGAGACAGAGAGAGGTGTTAAAAATGGTGTGTTGCAAAACTACAATTCAGTAAAGTTGGACACTTTGGGGTATGTTATGTGTGTTCATAAGTGAGGTTAGGGGTTCAGCGATTAAAGATGAAACTGGAAAGTTCAGAAGGTTTTGATTGCCAAGCTAGGTCATGAACCCAAAGACTGAAACCATAACATGAGATGTGATTCATTTACGTATAGGCCAAGACTCGCGGCAGCACAAAGAAACATTTGATATTTGAATCTTCTATAATTCATCAAGTTGCAATATAACCATCATTTTTGTACTATTGTTTTTCTTGTGTGGTAGTTTAAGAGGAAAATATGTCTTGTGCTAAAATATTTCTTTATCATACATGGGAAAGTATACTGTGAGAAAGTCATATTTTCCAGAAAAATGAGAGAATGTGTCCAGCCCACTTTTCTCATTTTTGTTGTCTATCTGGCTCTTATAGACATCTGAGTCTGTAATTCCTGATGGAGGGAAACAAACACTAGATCAAAAGGCAGGCTCTGCTTCTCTTATGTGATCACTAGCAAGGTGGCTTCTCTCTCTGGGTTTCTCAAACCGTAAGAGGAAGGTATTCAATTTATTTAGGGGGTACTGCCTATGTGGTGAGATTGCAATTGAGAATGCAGAGATAAAAAAACAGTCTCTGCCCATGAGCAAACCCATGAACTAAGACAAAACGATAATAAACATTAAGCTATTAATAGTAACAGTAATGAAAATAATTAAAATACAGAGTGGTGGGGGCTGAGACAGAGACACACTTAGGAGGGGCATGTAAAGGATCCTCGGCTCAGTCTTGCAGGAGAAGTGACACCTAATCTGAGCTTCGAAGGATCAGCTACTTACAATTCACAGGGCAGGCCGGCTTGGGGCTCCCGCCTATAATCCCAGCACTTTGGGAGGCTGAGGAGGGTGGATCACCTGAGGCCAGGAGTTCAAGACCACCCTGGCCAACATGGTGAAACCCCATCTCTACTAAAAATACAAAAATTAGCCGGGTGTGGTGGTGCGCACCTGTAATCCCAGCTACTAGGGAGACTGAGGCAGGAGAATCGCTTGAACCTGGGAGGCGGAAGTTGCAGTGAGCTGAGATTGCACCACTGTACTCCAGCCTGGGCAACAGAGTGAGACTCCATCTTAAAAAAAAAAAAAAAAAAAAAAGAATTCACAGGGTGAAAAACGTGGAAAGTATGTTCCAAACAGAGGAAACCCAAAGGTGCAAATGCCAGAGAGCACTGGGAAGGTTCTGGGGACTATGTCAGTGGTCCCTAAAGAACTGAGGATGTGTGGCTGGGAAATGCAAAGGAGGAAGCAGGACTTAGATCACAGAACTACTGGACCCATACTAAGGGGTTTAGATATTCCCCTTAAGGCAATATGGTCCCACAGAAGGATTTTAAGGAATGAAGTAGCATGATCATATTTGTCTTCAGGAATGCCCACTCTGGTTGCATTGTGAATTAGAAGAAAAAGATGGGAATTAAAGAAAAGGAAGATTTGTCGTAAACTAAAGCAGTAATTCAAGCAAGAAAAAATATATTACAGCAATGCTAGTGATGATAAAGTGTAGGCAACTTTAAGAACTATTGAGAACACAGATTGGCAGGACTTGCTGATTGGCAGTGATGTTGAGGTTTCTAAATCACCACCAATGCCCTTCAAACTATATTCTTTTGAATCTTACACATCTCTTGGACTCATTTATAATAACAAAGATAAAATAAATATAGACTGAGAATAATGACAATAGAAAAATGACAATAGTTGTGTGGGCAGCTGGAGGCATTTAGCAGTACCCCCTGCTCCAAACTCTTCTCCCAACACATACACATACACATACACATACACATACACATACACATACACATACACATATGCATACATACATACAAACATTTATGTAATTTTTTCTTGCACTGTAATAGCCATTTGGAAACTGGGCTCAATAAGGAGGTTAGTGACAAGAGAAATTCTTCTTCCTTCTCTCTATCCAGACCACTGCCTAAGATTTCCTCCTTCTCCTCCTCCCCATCCCCAGCATGCTAGTGCCTTAAGCTTCTGCTCCATCAGGGCCTGTGCCTCACCGTGTGTCAGGGTTGTGGCAGCATGCTATAACCTTGAACATCTGCCTCTCCTTGTGTCTCAGGCGTGGTGGCAAAAAAGAGGAAGGTAAGAGAGGAAGGGGGAATATTTTCCTATAACCACTGTTTGATCTACCACTTAGTTGACTCTTGCACCACCACCATCTCCTCACCCCCGCCACCTCCCCATCTCAAAACTTTCTTCTTTTCCCCAAAGGCTTGGATGTCAGACGTGTGATTAAATGAATGTAACAGACTGAATCTAGGTGTCTCCTCTGATAAATAAAACCTATGTTGGCCATGTTTAAAAACCCATCAAAATCCTCTTTTCTTTCCCTACATGGTTGAGAAAAAAGAAAATGAAGTGAGACATAAGAAGAGATCATTTAACTCTAGGTTTTCTCTCTACTTTGGCAATAAGAACTTTTAGATAGCATTGAAAAGGTTGAAGATCTTCTTTTTGGACAAGTCAAGAGGGGAAAAGCAAGGACAGATCAGCATAGAATGAATCTGTGGGGCCAAATTAGGTTTTACAGCTCTATTACTCCAGTTCCTGGAATTGCTATTTTTATGTTGTGAGTTTTAAGGAAATTGTATTGCATCTTCCAACACTGTAGGTGCTGATGTTTGTTTAGAAATGAAGGATTTGATTGGAAATAACAAGAGGAAATTCTGCAAGTGGGGTGGGGTAGGAGTAGAAGCAGGGAGGGGGATCAGAAAAGACACAACAGTTACAATAAAGAAAAGGCTCTGGGATAGATAAATGAAGACAGATATGGCTCAGTACTGTTCTTTAGTGTCATATGAAAATGAGAGAGAACACACATAGCAACTGAATTTCAGGTAACTCTAGAGTTAATAACCTCAGTGAAACAAGGATCTCAAACATCTGTTGGCAGCCGGGTGTGGCTGAGAAGTGCAAATGTACTCCCTCTTTGAATTTGGTTTTAGAGAGCCAGCATCTTCTCTGAAACATTTATAGTGGCCAGGACTTTGTACAGTGAAGCCCCATTCTAAGGATACCTCTGAGTTCCTGCCTTGAGCACAATACAAGTTGCAAGAAATCCAGCACAACCATCAGAGGATAAGGCTGACCTGTGATGGCAGCTTCCCTGGAGGACCACCCATCTCCCACCAACTGTTCCTGCCTGTGGCTACGGAACTCTGTGCCTTTCATCCAACACTATCATCAGAAATCCACTAGCTCACATAACTAAATCACTTATAGAAACTTGGCCTGTGGACAAAATCAGCCACAAGAAAGAACCAAAACACCAAGTAGGTCAGTGCTTCCATTTAAGTTGCAGTTCTGCTGACAAACACACATGAACACACAATAAATGTGTAAAAACAAAAATGCATGTAAAATGTAATTATATATATAGATGAAGATATATACACACGTACAGTAGACTATTCTATTCAAAGAAGATTTAAAGAATTATAGAAGATGAGTACAGGCACCTTCAAAAAAATTAAATTGTTATATGTAGATCAGTGGTTCTCTAACAGTTTGGTTAAGGACCCATTACATTCTTTTTTTTATGAGACAGAGACTCACTCTGTTGCCCAGGCTGGAGTGCAATGACACAATCTCGTCTCACTGCAACCTCTCCTCCTGGGCTCAAGCGATTCTCCTGCCTCAGCCTCCTGAGTAGCTGGGACTACAGGCACGCGCCACCATGCCTGGCTAATTTTTGTATTTTTTTAGTAGAGATGGGGTTTCGCCATGTTGGCCAGGCTTGTCTCAAACTCCTGACCTCAGGTGATCCACCTGCCTTGGCCTCGCAAAGTGCTGGGATTACAGGTGTGAGCCACCACGCCAAGCCTACATTCTTAAGTTTTTAAGAACCTCAAGTAGCTTTTGTTTATGTTGGTTATAGCTATCAATATTTACCATATTAGCAATTAAAACCATAAATTAAATTATTTTTTTTGAGACTGAGTCTCGCTCTGTCACCCAGGCTGGAGTGCAACAGCAAGATTTCGGCTCACTGCAACTTTTGCCTCCCAGGTTCAAGCGATTCTCCTGCCTCAGCCTCCCAAGTAGCTGGGATTACAGGTGCCCGCCACCACATCTAGCTAATTTTTGTATTTTAGTGGAGATGGGGTTTCACCATGTTGGCCAGGCTAGTCTTGAACTCCTGACCTCAGGTGATCTGCCTGCCTTGGCCTCCCAAAGTGCTGGGATTATTGGCGTGAGCCACCGTGCCTGGCCTAAAAAATATTTATTAATTCATTAAAAATTAATGACAAAGTAATAAATCCATTATGTGTTAACATAAATAACTTTTCTTGAAAAATATATTTTTCAAACAAAATAATTTAGTGAGAAAACTGATGCTGTGGTACATTTTTGCAAATCTCTTTAATATACATCTTAATAGGAGATACCTGGATTTTCATTCTGCCTCTACATTCAATTTGCTGTAATCACATAGCCTCTGGAAAACTCCACTGTATACTCTTAAAAGAATGAGAGTGAAAAAAGCAAATTATTATAAACTATAAAAATACTTTTGACCTCGTGAACCCCTTGCAAGGACTTCTAGGGGTTGCTAGACCACACTTTGAAACAAACAATTTTGAAGGAAAGTAAAGTAACAAATTAATTATTTGGTAATTAAATAGCTAATATTTAATTAATCAAAATTTGACTCAAGAAGAGGGAAAAAACAGATTGACCAATAACTTTTCTTTTTCCATCTCCATTAAAAAAATAAAAATAATAAAAAAATAAAGAGGCCTCTAACTTCCTCCTAGTCACAATGCAGGTATTTGGTCCCAGGACTACAGGACTGCCTGACTCCAGCAGGAACTCCGTATACTTACTTCTCTCCTCTCTCCAGAAAATCTGTCTTTATCTTGATCCCTGGATTTATTTATTTATTTTATTTATTTATTTATTTATTTTTTGGAGACAGAGTCTTGCTCTGTCACCCAGGCTGCAGTGCAGTGGCACGATCTTGGC
The DNA here is from genome assembly GCF_000001405.40 of Homo sapiens. Taxonomy (NCBI): domain Eukaryota; kingdom Metazoa; phylum Chordata; class Mammalia; order Primates; family Hominidae; genus Homo; species Homo sapiens. The sequence goes on from NC_000002.12 coordinate 60,982,335, forward strand.
TTACTGAAACTTCCACCTCCTGGGTTCATGCAATGCTTGTGTCTCAGCCTCCCGAGTAGCTGGGATTACAGGTGTGCACCACCACACCCAGCTAATTTTTGTATTTTTAGTAGAGGCAGGGTTTTGCAATGTTGGCCAGGCTGGTCTCAAACTCCTGACCTCAAATGATCCATCTGCCTCAGCCTCCCAAAGTGCTGGGATTACAGGCGTGAGCCACCATGCCTGGCCAGATAGAACAATAACTTTTAATAGAAGAAATTGAAAAAGTAATAAAGACCTACCTTTATAACCATCTAATATCATTTTATAAGTGAATTTAACAACATTTCAAGAAACAAAAACAGATAATTTCTTTGTTGTTAAAATTTTCAAAGCGTAAGAAAACCTCACAGTTCTTTCCAAAAGTTTTACATAATCTAATATAAAATCTAATTGCATGATTTAATACCTAAACCAAATATCTATGTATGTAAATATCCTAAATAAAATATTAAGTCGAATTTTTTTTTTTTTGAGACAGGGTCTCTTTCTGACACCCAGGCTGGAGCTCAGTGGCGCGATCATGACTCACTGCAGCCTCTAACTCCCAGGCTCAAGTGATCCTCCACCTCAGCCAGCTGAATTGTATTCCCTTCAATTCAGCATTTCCAATTCTAAGAATTTATCAGACAAAAATATAGTCTTGAGTAGCTGGGACTACAGGCATGCACCACCATACCTAGCTAATTTTTTGTCTTGGTAGAGATGGGGGTCTCACTACGTTGACCATGCTGGTTTCAAAATCCTGGCCTTAAGCAATCCTCCTGCCTTGGTCTCCCAAAGTGCTGGGATTACAGGCATAAGCCACCACACCCAGCCCTTAAGTCTAATTGTTACTATAATCAGAATGAAAAATGCTTATTTCAAGAAAACAACACAAATTCAACACAAGGAAATTATTAGTTTACTTGACTACAAAATAGATAAAAGGAGAAAAATATAATTATTACAAATATCTATTTATTATTTTTAACACAACATACTATACTTGGAATAGAAGCAAATTTCATTAAATAAAGGATAGGCTGGGCGCGGTGGCTCACGCCTGTAATCCCAGCACTTTGCGAGGCTGAGGCAGGTGGATCACCTGAGGTCAGGAGTTTGAGACCAGCCTGACCAACATGGTGAAACCCCTCTCTACTAAAAAATACAAAAAAATTAGCTGAGCATGGTAGCGCATGTAATCCCAGCTACTCAGAAAGCTGAGGCAGGAGAATCGCTTGAACCAGGGAGGCGGAGGTTGCAGTGAGCCGAGATCGCATCATTGCACTTCAGCCTTGGCAACAAGAGCAAAATTGCATCTCAAAAAAAAAAAAATTAGATAAAGTGTACCTATCAGAATAGAGCTAACAATATACTTAGTATTAAAATATACACATATGATACACCTAAATATACTGTATATATTTTTAAAATAGTAAAAAAGAAATGACAAAACTATCATTATTTGCAAATAAGGTAACTGCATACCTAGATAATAACTGAAAAACCACTAGGATTAATAATAGAGACCTGCAAGTTAGTCAGTTCCAAGACAAACATTAAACACACACACCTACAAACATGCATATATTACTTTCCTAATAGCCAAAGAAAAAAAATTATGGGAAAAAGAGATTCCACTCAAATTTCAACTAAAATCAAAAATAAAAAACATTTAAAAACACATAGGAATAAATAAATGTGTGAGGAAAAACTATAATATAATTGAAAGATCAAAACAAATATTGAAAAAGTACAGATAAATTTGTTCCTAGATGAAAAGTTCCATAAAATTAGAAATTTATGTTTGTTAAATGACCACAAACAAAGGTAAATGGCAAATGTCAGGCTGGGTGGGAGAAACAGAATTGATGAAAGATTAATAGTCACTATGTCCAAAGAGCACTTACTAATCAATTTTAAAAAGCCAAATAACCAGAAAATAGAAACCCAGATGGCTAGTAAACATATAAAAAGATGTAAAAGTTCACCTGAAAATCAAATAGTACAAGTGTGAACTAAAACAAGAAAACTTTTGCATATAGGTTAGAAAATACCGAAGAGTGTAACTTCAGGTTTGAAAAAGACATGGGGTTGTAATACACTGCTGTAAACTGGTACCACCTTTTAGGAGGGCAATTTGGAAATACCTATCACAATTCTAAATCTGTATTCCCATCAATTCAGCAGTTCCAATTCTAAGAATTTATCAGACCAAAATATAGAAATACTAGACTCCATATACAAGTATGTTCATTGCAAATTCCATTTATAATAATAAAAACTGAAAACTGAAGGTGATCTGAATATTCTTCAACTGGATAAATGAATTAATTTAAGAAATTCTGATTTAACCATCTGTACGGGAAAGCTCATATATGCATATGTGAGCTCTGTAAGTTCTAACACAGTTGAAGGTTGTCAATGGTTGTTGCAAGGTAAAAAGTTTGCAGGACATGTATGTTTCACTAAAGCAAACAAACCCAAACTATGTGCAGTACATGCAGGTATACGTTAATATGTATATAGCAAAAGGTCTCAGAAAGAGATTACCAAAATGTTACTCCAGAAAATGGGAAGTAGAAAAGAGGAAGAGAAAGAGAGAGACTAATGTTAACTTTACATACTTCTGAGTTGTTTGGCACTTTCAGTAAGCATGTGCTGTTTTTATAATTTAAAAAAGAAAAAAATTAAATGTAATACTTGTGAATCCTTTTCAGAAATTTAAAGGTTATTTTAAAAACTCACAACCAATTATCTAAGTTATCTTTTGTATAACAGTAAGTTTGCTAAAATGAATTATATCTCAATTTATTATCAAATCAATTTACTAAAAAGAAATTAAAAGGAATATTAGATCACAAAATTTTAAAGTGTTACATAGTATATTTGCTTGGGTACTATTAGTTTGAGGAATCCTCATTTAAATATTATCTAATAGGTTGAGGTCTATTTTATTTTAAAATGTACTATATTTATAGGATCCTTGCTGCTTCACTATCACCTCTCAGCAATGAAAAACAGAGGAACAGTACAAAACAGTTTCTATTTTTGGGATGAGAATAAATTTTTACTTTTGAAAAATTTATAGGTTTTTTGAAATTTATTATTTCTATGAGGACTTTGTGCTAAAGATGAAATATTTTTTTCTCTCTTTTTTTTTGAAACAGGATCTCACTGTGTTGCTCAAGCTGGAGTGCAGTGGCATGATCTCAGCTCACTACAACCTCTGATTCCTGGGTTCAAGCGATTCTAACACCTCAGCCTCCCGAGTAGCGGGAATTACAGGCATGTGCCACCACAGCCAGCTAATTTTTGTATTTTTAGTAGAGATGGGGTTTCGCCATGTTGGCCAGGTTAGTCTTGAACTCCTGGCCTCAAGCAATCCACCCATCTAGCTTCCTAAAGTTCTGGGACTACAGAGGTGTTAGCCACTGCACCCGGCCTTTTCTCTTTTTTATTCCTCAGTGTCTTATTTGGATGGGGCCGTATCTAATGGGTTTACTCTAGGTTGGGTCTGCAATCCTTCAGAAATATGCTCGTAAGATTAGAACACTTGTTATAGGAGAAACCAGACTTCACCAAAAAAAAAAAAAAAAAAAAAAAAGTTACTTCTACTTTTGCATCAGGGAAATCAAAGGAAAATGCATTAAAAGTACCTACTAATTCAGAATGTGTGATGTTTTTGAATGGGTTGGGGAGGATTTACCTTTCTTTAGCAAGTACTTCCTTCATTGATAGATCAATAACACAAACCAGATTTTCAGGGACAATGCTTTAAATGTTTTAAAAAAACAGTTTTAAAGTGCTCTCCCATACATTTTTAAAGACCATATAATTAACATGCTAATTACAAATTTGGTTTTATCTATTCATTAAAAGATAACTCCAAGGATTCTTTCAAGCTGAAATTTAATGAATGGACTATGTTGACCTAGTTTAAGTTACCACATGCATTTGAATGTAATAAAACTACCTGTTTTAAAATTTTCTATATTTTATTTTCATTTCAAAGAGAAGAGTTACCCATTTATTTGAAGGTAAACCTCATTCCCCATAAATGCAACAGCTAAATTTTAGAGGTATTATGATATAGAATGAATGCTTTGTAAACTGTGAAATGCACACAAGCCCCATATATCATAATTTTATTTTTAAAGAAACATCTTCCTAAACTTAGTGAATTTTGCACTTTTCTTAAAATTATATGAATTTTGTGAAAAATAGGTTTGGTTATATGTCAAGCTGTTGATATTTAAGTCTTTCTAAATTTATTAAAGCAATACACCAAAAACTTCAAACAAAATCTTTCCAATATAAACAGTTAACTCTTCAATCTGCTAGTTTAGTGTGCCTGCCATCTCCTTTTCTTTCCAGGGACTTGCCTAAGTAGTATCAGAACAGCATAGGAAGGAGGTCATAAAGAATCCCAAACAAAGCAAGGGATTCGGAGACAGAAAGAACTGGGTTCAAGCTCTCTCTCCTACTTAGCCAGCAAGTGATTTAGAGCAAGTTCTGTGCCCTTTGGGTGTTTCTTTCCCCATCTAGAAGACAGGAAAAAAGAGGTTTCTTGTAAAATTGGAAGTTTAAATGAGATAGTTTATGAGAATGTTAATTGTTGTTTTTATAATACAGGTCTTCTGACTCTCTGTTCAGTAATTCGAAAAATAAATTAAGTTGCTTCTTAAAATCCATTAAATTAAAAAGGATCTCCTCAAGCTTTGATCTTTCCAAATTTTCTAGTTTTAGTCTAAAAGTTTAAAGTAGATGATATGATATTTATCAAAATTTGCCATGAATCTGAGAATGGAACAGTATCTGCAGTGGGTTAGTTTCTAGCTATGAATGCTTGTTAACAGGTGTGCAAGACGTAATGAATGACCAAGGCAGATTTAACCACACACCCAGTGACAAAATGCAATAAGACACGGGAAAGGAGAAAGGCAGGGGTCCCTGGACCTTAATTCCTGTCCAATTTAAATCCTGCCACTATCTTTATTAGGACACCTTGATGTAATATTTGCAAGGAAGAGAGGAAGGGAGGGAGGAAGAAAGAGAAGGAGAAAAATATAGAAAGTGAGAGAGAGAGAAAAAAAAGGAAGAAGAAAAAAGGAACCACAGATTCCTGAAAATAATTTGGTGACAACCTGTCTAAAGGCAAGGTCTAATGACAAAGCTTTGGTGTGTGGGAAATTTCAAGCAAATTTTTGGAGAATGGCAATGTGATGAGCTATTCATATATCACCACTAATTGTGTACAGTATGATATAAAAATAGAAGCTAAAATAGCTAAACAGGTCAGTGCAGTGGCTCGTGCCGCACTTTGGGATGCTGAAGCGGGCAGATCACTTGAGGTCAGGAGTTCGAGACAAGCTTGGCCAACATCACGAAACCCCATCTCTACTAAAAACACAAAAATTAGCTGGGCCTGCCTGTAATCTCTGCTGCTCATAAGGCTGAGGTAGGAGAAAAGCTTGAGCCCAGGAGGTGGAGGCATACTAAACTGGCAGTGAGCCTAGATCATGCGACTGCACTCCAGCCTGGGGGACACAGAGAGCCTCTGTCTCAAGAAAAAAAAAAAAAATTAGCCAGGCATGGTGGCACACGCCTGTAGTCCCAGCTATTTGGGAGGCTGAGGCAGGAGAATCTCTTGAACCTGGGAGGAGGAGGGTGCAGTGAGCTGAGATCGTACCACTGCACTCCAGCCTGGGTGAGAGAGCAAGACTCCGTCTAAAATAAATAAATAAATAAATAAATTTAATTAAATAACTAAACAAACTTTAAAAGGCCTAGGCTCACGAGATGTCAAAAATGATTATTAAATACATTATGAGAATAACCAGTAATGAATTTTTTCTACATTTCTCTTTAGCCAACTACTCCTCCATTACATAACCTTAAAATCTGCAAACATTCTAAGGGTCACTGTTAGGTGTAAATTCTAATATTAATTGCCAAAAAGAATATAAACTACTATAAATAAAATTTTGACATGTTTTCTCCTCATAGTCCTCCCTGTAATTAGTTTGTAAAATAAAAACTAGATTGGTAGATTTCCATTAGGGTTGCTTTAGTGTAAGAAAGTATTTCTGATCTTACAGATGAAAAAAAAACAATATAGTACACTTTGGTCTTAGTAATTTGCTTAATGCAGTAAATACAAATAATGTAACTATAATACAAATTAAAATTAGACAAATGCAAAAATTTTATCTTAAAAGTAAACAAATATAACTGGCCTTCTTGGTAAAAAGGGAAGATCAAATTTGAGGATGCGGTTTTTGTTTGTTTGTTTTTTGAGATGGAGTCTTGCTCTGTAGCCCAGGCTGGAGTGCAACGGTGCAATCTCGGCTCACTGCAACCTCTGCCTCCTGGGTTCAGGTGATTCTCCTGCCTCAGCCTCCCGAATAGCTGGGATTACAAGTGCGCGCCACCATACCGGGTTAATTTTTTTTTTTTTTTTTTTAGTAGAGACGGGGTTTTGCCAGGTTGGCCAGGCTGGTCTCAAACTCCTGACCTCAGGTGATCCACCTGCCTTGGCTTCTCAAAGTGCTGGGATTACAGGCATGAGCCCCACCACCTGGCCAGGCATGCGCTTTTGTTAAGCCCCTAAAACAGCAGTACAGAGGTTTGTTAAAACTGCATAAAATCCACTAGGATGGGGACAGTAGGAGTGCAGGGAATAGCAACAATTTGAAAGCTAGAAAGCAGATTGAACAGTGGTAAAGGACTTAGCAGACATCCCAAAAGTTGAATCCTAAATTGGCAGCAGAAGAAATGAATACTCCACAATAAAAACAGGAGTTAAGCAGCACCAAGGAATTCTGGAAATAAGCAGCACCAAGGAATTCTGGAAGTGGTGGTGGAAGGTAAAGGGTAGGAATAAAGAAAATTGACTGTTTGCAAAAGAGGCAGATTCTCAGATCCCCTACCCCACTCCATGCAGCCAGGTGAATGTCCCTCTCTAACCCTAGTAAAAGAACAGAGTTTTATTTCCTGGAGATGGTAAAATGAAGGTCTTTTGATTGAGTCTTTTGAGTCACATTTAAGGGCATTAATACTTCACTGAGTAAACATAGGCAGAAAGATGATGACATACACACATAACCCCAGGCCCCACCCGTTTTTGGACCTTGGCAGATTGCTAGATAGGAGACTGCATCTCTATAAAGAAATGTCACCTGCCCAAGACCTAAATGAAGACAGATAGCTCAGTATTCGGTAAAGCTCACAGTGAATCTTCCCTCTTTATTCACATATCTAGCTTCCAACTGCTTATTCTTTTTTTTTTTCTGAGACAGAGTTTCACTCTTGTTGCCCAAGTGCAATCTCAGCTCACTGCAACCTCCTCCTCCTGAGCTCAAGCTATTCTCCTGCCTCAGCCTCCCAAGTAGCTGGGACTACAGGCACCCACCACCATGCCCGGCTAATTTTTAAAAATATATTTTTAGTAGAGATGGGCTTTCACCATGTTGGCCAGGCTGGTCTCGAACTCCTGACTTAAAGTGATCCATCCGCCTCGGCCTCCCAAAGTGCTAAGATTACAGGCATGAGCCACCACGCCCAGGCTCAACTGCTTCTTATTCTGTACTCTTCAATATGACCAACTCACCAACAATAAGCAGGCAACTTGACATAGAAGGTACCAAAATAAACTGAAAAAAGTAACTTTAAGAAACTAGAGACAAAAAAATTACACAATAGCAACACATATTGATATTCTCAGAAAGATAAAATATTGTGTTTAACAAGAATAGGATCCTATTTTTCTAAAACACCCATACACATACTCACACGCACGCACGGGAAAAAAAACCTAGAAAACAGAAAAGGTCTTGGAATTAAAAACATAGTATTACTATTTATGAAAAGCTAAACAAGATTGGAAAACAAAGTTGAGAAAATTTGTTAATAGTGGATCAACCCTCCTGAGGACAACTAGAAAAGCTGGACAACTAAAAAAAAATTGCATGAAGACATCAGAAAGTTAACAAGGTAGTGAAGAGTTACAGGGCCAAAATTCAGAAGAAGGGAACCAAAGATGAGCCAGGTGTTTTGAGCAGCTTTTCCCTAAGGGGCATCTGTTGTCAGAAGAGAGAGAGGGAATCCTGATAAGCCCTATGTTTTGGCTGAAACCATGAAGCATGACACCCTAGAAGCAGGGGTAAATGGGGACGAGAACAGTCCTTAAAGGTGTTAAAGATCAACTTCAAATCACTGCAATCCCTGTAGCTGGATTAAGGTAATTGCAATCCCTGTGGCTGGATTAAGGTAATTCAGAATTGCTAATGCCCCTAGCTAGAACTCAGAAGAAAACAAAAATCCTCTCTGGAGGAGAACATTATTTTAGTTTCAAATTATATTTTTCATAATCAATGTCCAAATTTTCTTTTCTTTTCTTTTCTTTTGAGACAGGGTCTCACTCTGTTGTCCAGGCTGGAGTGCAGTGGCATAATCTCAGCTCACTGCAGCCTCCACGTCTGGGTTCAAGCAATCCTCCCACCTCAGCCTCCTGAGTAGCTGGGACTACAGGTGCACACCACCAAGCCCAGATAACTTTCTTCATTTTTTGTTGACATGAGGTCTTGTTATGCTGCCCAGGCTGGTCTTGAACTCCTGGGCTCAAATGATCCTGAGTTGGCCCCCTAAAGTGCTGAAATTACAGGTGTGAACAACCATGCCTGGCCTAACATTTTATTTTTTTGTAGAGACGGAGTCTCTCTATGTTGCCCAGGCTGGTCTCAAACTCCTGGGCTCAGGCAATCCTCCTGCCTCAGTCTCCTAAAATGCTGGGATTACAGGCATGAGTCCCTGCACCTGGCCTGACCTATACTTTAAAAAACAAAAACTAAACTAAAGGATATTCTTCATGCAGAAGAATATAATCCCAGATGACAGCTGAAATAAAGGGTAATACACAAGATGAATATGTAGGTAAATCTGTGAATATTGACTGATTGTATAGAATATTACTTGTATAAAATAATGTCACATGAGATTTAAACATGTGTCAAATTAAAACACACACAATGAAATGTAAATTAAGAGATACAAGGAATCCAAGTATTCCAAGGTCTTTGCATTCTCTGGGAAAGATAAAAGTATTTATTTTTATTTGAGAGAGAGAGTCTCACTCTGTCATCCAGGATGGAGTGCAATGGCTCAATCTTGGCTCACTGCAGCCTCAACTTCCTGGGCTCAAACAATCCTCCTATCTCAGCCTCTTGAATAGCTGGGACTACAGGCATGCACCACCATGTCCAGCTAATTTTTTATTTTTTGTAGAAATGGGAGTACCAATTTAATTAGTACTTTTAAGAGTAAAGGAAAAACTGTAAATGCATAACTTCTAAGATAATGATATGTGTGAGGGGGTAGAATTCAAACAGAAAAATAATCCAAAAGAATTCTCATTATCCCTAATTCTGTTTAACAATGTACTAGCGATCTTAGCCAATGCAACAAAGCAAGAAAAAGAAATAAATATTACGAAAATTGGAGGGGAAAAGTCATTGTGCACAGACCATATGACCTCCAATTTAACGTGGTAGGGGACACCTCCCTGGGGCCAGACCAATAAAGCAGTAACTGAAATATCAGTTGCTGCATGCCACCTAAGAAACAAGTTGCAGATTGAATGTTACTCAACAGAAGCACTTTTTTTTTTTTTTTTTGAGACAGGGTTTCGCTCTGTCACCCAGGCTGGAGTATAGTGGTGCGATCTCAGCTAACTGCAACCTCCACTTCCTGGGTTCAAGCGATTCTCCTGCCTCAGCTTCCAAGTAGCTGGGACTACAGGTGCCTGCCACCACACCCAGCTAATTTTTACATTACATTTTTAGTAGAGACGGGTTTTCGCCATGTTGACCAAGCTGGTCGTGAACTTCTAGCCTCAAGTGATTCCCCTGTCTTAGCCTCCCAAAGTGCTGGGATTATAGGCATAAGCCACTATACGCAGCCAGAAGTACCTTAATACATGTCTACATTTAAAAAAAAATGTTTTGGAATACAAATTTAGCATTCATGACTAGCTACTGATTTACTCAATAGGGCATGAGTGCACATGCCCACTCCACAACAGGTCATGAATTTCTGTGATGCTTTCAGAATATGAAAGTCTCACTAAAATCACCAACTCACGATTTCTAATATGAATTTCTAGTGATAATACTAAAGGAATATCAGATAATCAATACACATCATAACACCCCAGCCTCACAGAAAATTTAAATCCTGGATGTGAACTAAATTCTAAATAGAAATCACTTCATATTATGCTTCTTAATATAAGACTAAAAGGGCTATTTATGTTAATACCTTTGCATCTATTTTATTATTTCATTTCCTTTTATATGGCTCATGACCACATTTAAATAAAATCCATTTTATTTTTTCCCCACACAAGTTAGTTCCCCTCACATTATCTTTACTCAGCTACTGGCAATAACATTTTAACAACCAGTTTAGAGAGAAACTTAGATTCCACCAGAAAAAAGAATCAAAGGTTTTGATCATACTCGATACCGCAACATTTACTTACACAAGTAGCTTTCAAATTATAATTTAATGAATACGATATATGGCTCTTTAATTTGCCATGGATTTAATTTTTAAAGATAAAAAACTAGCCCTCTGCAAGTACGTGCTGAGCACTCTTGCCCTGGCTCTGGAGACTGCCATATATCCAGCTGATCTCTGACGCACTAATTGTGAAACCAAAAGCTACACACAATAAAAAGGAAGTAGCCCTGTGAAATGTCAATCCAGTGCTCAACTAGGGTTTTTTACATCAGAGTTTTATAAATTATGAAAGTGTCCAGGCCAGGCGCAGTGGCTCACACCTGTAATCCGAGGACTTTGGAAGGCTGAGGCAGGCAGACCACAAGGTCAGGAGATTGACACCATCCTGGCCAACATGGTGAAACCCCATCTCTACTAAGAATACAAAAAAATTAGCCAGGTGTGGCGGCACATGGCTGCAGTCCCCGCTACTTGACAGGCTGAGGCAGAAGAATCACTTGAACCCGTGAGGTGGACGTTGCAGTGAGCTGAGATCATGCCACTGCACTCCAGCCTGGGAGACAGGGTGAGACTCTGTCTCAAAAAAAAAAAGAAAAAAAGAAAGGTCCAAATTGACTGGAAAATATGTATTACATTAAGAAAAACTGGATAACTTTGCATAATAAACATAATGGCAAGGAGAAAGATACTCAGTTTTTTAAGACAAAATTCCCAGCTAAACATTTCCACCTGGGGCCTTGAATGGTATCTAGTCTAGAAAACAGATTCCACTAGTATTGATCCTGTATTAATATCAGTGAGGAAAAATATATTCAGTTTTATTTAAAAGGGAAGATTTGTAAAAATAACTTTCAATATTTGGAGCAGTAAAACCTAATTTTAAAAAGGAGGAGCAGCTGTAGCACTGCAATTGATTGACACTTTTTTTTTTGAGATGGAGTCTTGCTCTGTTGCCCAGTCTGGAGTGCAGTGGCGCGATCTCGGCTCACTGCAAGTTCCGCCTCCCATGTTCACGCCATTCTCCTTTCTCAGCCTCCCGAGTAGCTGGGACTACAGGCGCCTGCCACCAAGCCTGGCAAATTTTTTGTATTTTTAGTAGAGATGGGGTTTCACCCTGTTAGCCAGGATGGTCTCGATCTCCTGACCTCGTGATCTGCCTGCCTCGGCCTCCCACAGTGCTGGGATTACAGGCGTGAGCCACCGCGCCCGGCCAGATCGACACTTCGTAACTGACAAACCTGGCCAAAGACTATTTTGCTGGTCCTTCCTTCTGCTTGGAGGGAAGAAAGTAGTAGTACTATTCCTTAAGAAAGAGGTTTCTGACAATGAGTTTGGATGTGTCTGACTTCAAGGTAGCACTTGCCACCTAGCCCCCTCTTCTTGGACATTTGGACATATCCATGACAAAGGATGTGGCTAAAAACTTCATTGGGACTTCCACCTCCAATTAAGGGACTTCACCATCATAATTCATCATCACACATACATGCATCAATCTTCCTCAGAGCAAAAAAAAAAAAGGAAGTCAAAAATAGCTCCTCACAAAAATGACTTGAAATTCCTGAATTTTAAGATAGGTGCTGTAATAAAATATTTGACTCAAAACATCTTTGCACCTATTCCAGTCATCTGATAACAAAACCTGAACATAAATGTGATGGGAAAGTGCTAAAATTGTAATTTAAATTTTATTTCCAGAGTTATCATTTTAGAGAATCACAAAATAAACTGGTGGTTTACCATTACTCTTTTTAAATGATCACACTTGTTAAATAATTATGAGAGTTCTGGTTTCATATTTTTACCAAGAATCCTTTCCCTAACCTTGAAGATACTGGACCATTTGGAGAAAGAAAATACTAAAGTCAAAACCTAGGCTAAGTCCCACTTATAACACAGAAAGACAATAACCCTTTTGAAATCTGACCAAGGCCGGGTGCAGTGGCTCACGCCTATAATCCCAGCATTTTGGGAGGCTGAAGCAGGCGGATCACCTGAGGTCAGGAGTTTGAGACCAGCCTGGCCAACAAGGCAAAACCCTGTCTCTACTAAAAATACAAAAAATCAGCCGGGCAAGGTGACGAGCGTCTGTAGTCCCAGCTACCTGGGAGCCTGAGGCAGGAGAATCGCTAGAACCCGGGAGGTGGAAATTGCAGTAAGCCAAGATCACACCACTGCACTCCAGCCTGGGTGACAGAGTGAAACTCTGTCTCAAAAAAAAAGCGTAAACTTTGGAGTTTAATAGATCAGAGTTCAAATCCTAGCTCTGCTATTTATCAGCAATGTGACCTTCAGCTTCAATTTCATCATCTGTAAAATGGAGATGATAACACCACCTACTTTAAGGGGTTGTGATTATTAAATGAAAGAGCACATGCAACACACTCTGCCATGAAGATATTCAATAACTGTTGGTGGCTTGTTTTCCTAAGAAAGGGGTTTTATCTTGCTCCTCCTAAAAAATAACTACACATTATGGTGGTGTGGCTGTTTTACATATAAATGATTGCTTTATACATATGCATACATACATATATATTTGTTATTATTATGAATAATTTTTCAAAAACAATCATATCTTAGTAAGCTAGAATTATTAGGTCTAAAACACAGTGGTGGTATCAGAAAAAAGGACAGTTCTACGCAACAAGAAAAACCTAGACCTGAAATAGGCAAGAGTCTGAATTAGAAGTTCCCCTTTTCAGCAACTTAACTACGCCACACGGTCCTAAAAATTAATGGAGGAAAAATAGTTTAATAAAGATCTCTACAGTTAGAAGGTAGCAATGTGCTAATACGTTCAATTTCACAGGGAAATCATTTTAAAGAAAAAGGATGTGTTTCATCTTGTATTTTTTTTTATTCTGTTACATTACCATTTCTTATTGTAAATTTTAAAGAGGCCAAATGTGACAATTCACAAGAATAAGACCATACACATTTTTAAAAGAAACTTCAAATCTTTGAGGCTACCTCATGTTCTGAATGCACCTGATCTCCCTCAATTACCTACACTGCTAGATGAGCCACAGCAACTTCTTTTCTTCCTTGCTTCCTCCTCCATTATACTTAGCTGGGTTCAGGCCAAGGAAAAGGCAATGCCATAAAGAGATGCATCTTTAAGCATTTAAATATGTGTCTGAATAACCTGCCAACTGCAATCCTGAATCCAATATACATTATAGTATTGTGGTGGTCTTTAGAATTAGGCTTGCTTCTAGTCCTGCTTGACTGTGGCTTCCTCCTCACAGGAATGTGATTTGTTCCTCCTTGCTGCATGCCACAGTGACCTCGGGGACTGGGTGCTTTATCTGTTGGGCTTCTTGTGCCAGCACCCCAATAACGAGTTATTAGATCTCTTCAATATCTGCTTTGACTCTTTGATAGTTGGACTTCTGATTGTACATGCCAACCAGGGCTTGGGTTCTATATAGACCTTGACTAATCACATGTCACTCACTCTTTCTCCCTTGCAACACATCCTAGTAGTGTATCACGTAACAGAGTCCTAAACCTGCACCCATGTCTAGTCTTATGTTCTCCTTAACACAGCAGCTCTGCCTGGATTCATCACTCTGGTGATCTTCTGACCTTTAGTGATGTTCATGAGTGTATGGCTTAATAAGGGGAGTAGTTAAGAAAAGGTAATATCCACGGAGCCAAGGTAGTCAGGTAAATAAAACATATGAAAATACACAAGATGTAGAGATGGTATGGTTTAAAAAAAAAAAAACTTAAAAAGCAACAGCAGCATGAAGCAGGGAGGCATATCCAGATTCCAATAAACGGGACGCATGGGCAAATCACATACCCCTACGAGACTTGGAGCCTTGGTTTTCTCCTCTTTAAGTGAGCATAAGTGTGATGACTACTGAAGTGGTCTCAATCTGTGAAGCTGAAAAAAATTGCCCATAGCATATCTTCTTTCCAATCTACAGATACTACCCATTAACTGTCAGAGATTAAAAGGGGATGCCTTATACACAAAGGTTGGAAACTCCTGGACTGTCAATCAGACATTCCCAATAGGTATCAATGGGTTTACACTTGGGTGGTGGCCTGGATAAGACTCTGACAAATCACAACCATATACACATTGATGTTTTTCAATAAGTGCCATAAAAAGCTGGGGAGTCCTGTTCTAGCTGATCACCAAGGTCTCATATAGATATATGATTCCATGATTCTAACAACACAGAATTTCATACACCAATGTTACATTCACAGAAGCAAGTTCTTGGAGTTACCTTTGATAAGATAGAGTGGATTGCTGCATGAACACACTCATTTCCTGTGAATGGTTATAAAAATGGCAGCCTGTGTGCCTAAAACTAGCAAGGTTACTATACACTCGCCAACCCACTCATAAAAAGTCTATTGAAAGATGCTTAAGGGGTAGTCCCTAAAAGAACTAAGACTCAAAAGCATTTAACTTTTAAAAGGACTTAGTGGGGCCAGGCGCGGTGGCTCACGCCTGTACTCCCAGCACTTTGAGAGGCCGAGGTGGGTGGATCACGAGGTCAGGAGATCGAGACCATCCTGGCTAACACAGTGAAACCTCGTCTGTACTAAAAATACAAAAAATTAGCCAGGCCGGGTGGCAGGCACCTGTAGTCCCAGCTACTCGGGAGGCTGAGGCAGGAGAATGGCGTGAACCCGGGAGGCGGGGTTTGCAGTGAGCTGAGATCGCATCACTGCACTCCAGCCTGGGTGACAGAGCAAGACTCCATCTCAAAAAAAAAAAAAAAAAAAAGGACTTAGTGGAATGCTCTTTTCCCATAAATGGAAGTTTAGCCTAATATTAGCATATGTCTGGGACATTCATTGTATAATAGTTTTGTGTGGCATTATGCTGTAGAAGTTTAAAGGAATCAAACTTGCTTTGCATGGATAAGTGGACCATATAGGAACTGAAGGGAGTTCTAAACTAATCTAACCAAAAATAGGGCTATAAATTCTGAAAACTCCTTAGTAAGCTCAGAAAAGGCTTATTGAATGAAGTGGACCTTGGGTTGGTCTTACATGGTGGGTGAGAGAGAACACACACAGATTTAGGAAGAGTGCCTGTCATACAAAATAAAAATCGAGAAGCCATGCACAAATGGACAAAAAGCAGAAAATACACATGCTAAATCAGAAAGCGGAGTTAATGAACAAAGATGACAGCTCATGCCTGCACACACAATATATATATAGCTCCTATACTTAAAGTTGAGAATTTTGACACATTCTATTTATGAGCTAAACATAATTAGAAAAAATATAGTCCTTTAGAAAAAGAACATCAATCAATAACAGAAGGGAAATTACCAATTAAAAAAGATTCTAGGACTAATGGCCTGAGAGTTTAAGAGGCCTCTGTAAACACATACAAAATTTTTAGTATGTGCATTTTTAGGACAAAGGAATTCACTGCTTTCTTCAGATTCTGAATGAGATCAATAATCCTAAATTAGTTATGAATCCACAGATTTAAGTAAAAATCCAAAGCCATTTGAATATCCATTTTCCAGAATTTAAAAAGACAATTTCAGGTTGGGTGCAGTGGTTCATGCCTGTAATCCTAGCACTTTGGGAGGCCGAGGCGGACGCATCACCTGTCAGGAGTTCAAGACCAGCCTGGCCAACATGGCGAAACCCCGTCTCTACTAAAAATACAAAAATTAGCCGGATGTGGTGGCATGCACCTGTAGTCCCAGCTACTCAGGGAGGCTGAAGCGGGAGAATCGCTTGAACCTGGGAGGCAGAGGTTGCAGTGAGCCCAGATCACGCCACTGCACTCCAATCTGGGTGACAGAGTGAGACTTCATCTTAAAAAAAAAAAAAGAAGACAATTTCTTAAATAAAAAAATGCTGCTACAGAAATTGTACTGCTGTCTGTGGCCACACCACCCTGAATGTGCCTGATCTCACATGATCTCAAAAGCTAAGCAGGGTCAGGCCTGGTTAGCACTTGGATGGGTAGAAATGGTAGTGCTTTTATTCTTAGCTAATTTTCTAGGGTCATGTATAATTTGTAGTACTTACTGCAAAGTATGCAGATATAAAGTATAATAAATGATAGGAAAAAAGTTTTGATTTGACAAAACTCCAACCATATCAAGTTGCAAATTGATAAGCAGGTGTTTCATCCAAAGTAACACTTAAAAGACAATATATACATTTAAAGTCAATGGACTAAGCAAACTGTTTCCCATACACTACCCATGAAAAGAGACCAATAAGCCAAACTGATAGTACAATATTGCCCTCTACTGGACTCAACTAGTAAAGATGAACCTAAAAACTAAAACTGAAAAGCATTTAGCTTTTAAAAGGACTTAATGGAATACTCTTTTCCCATAAATACAAATTTAGCCTAATATTAGCATATGTCTGGGACATTCATTCTATAGTTTTTGTGTGGCATTATGATGTAGAAGTTTAGAGGAATCAATCATGAATATAAAATAACCACTATAGGGCCGGGTGCAGTAGCCTGTAATACTAGCACTTTGGGAGGCCACACCAGGAGGATCACTTGAACCCAGGAGTTCGAGACCAGCCTTGGCAACATAGGGAAACCTCATTGCTACAAAAAAATAAAAAATAAGTTATCTGGGCATAGTGGCATGCACCTGTGGTCCCAGTTACTCAGGAAGGTGAGGCGGGAGGATTACTTGAGCCTAAGAGGTCAAGTGCTGCAGTGAGCTGTGATCACATCACTGCACTCTGGCCTGGGTGACAGAGAGAGACCCCATCTCAAATAAATAAACACTATAATAAGTATTTTTCTTAAAATTATATAGAATCTTAGAGTTGAAAAGGCTTAAGATCTCTAGTCTAACCAACTATATAGTGCACACTTTCTTTCTATGTATCTTGGCCAAGTACATTGGCACTCTGTATCTGTGGATCTTGCATCTATGGATTCAATCAACCCTGGATAGAAAACATTTAGGGGGGAAAAAGGATCTGTACTGAGCAGGTACAGGCTTTTTCCTGTGATTATTCCCCAAATAATGTAGCATAACAACTATTTACATAGCACCCACATTGTAGTATATAAGTAATCTTGAGATGATTTAAAGTATACAAGAGGATGTGTGTAAGTTATATGCAAATAGTATACCATTTTATATGAGAAACTTAAGCATCTGTGGATTTTGGTATCTGTGAGGGGCTCGGGGGTCCTAGAACCAACCCCCCACAGATATCAAGGGACAACTGTATTTTCCAGCCTTGGCTTAAACACCCTAATGACGTGAAATCTCTGGAAACAATCTATCCTGTTCTGGATAATTCTAAATTCTTAATAGCTCTTGATTCTATCCTTGCAGCAATCTAATTCCTCTTTTATAAGGAAGCCCCTCAAATATTTAAGGAAAGCAAACTCATCCCACTGAATCATCTATTCTCAAAATTAAATAACCCAAGCTCCTTCAGCAGTGGCTCCTGTGACCAGGTTTCAGATGGCTCCACCATTCTGAATGCACTTAATCCTCTAAATGTGTATTCATTTTCTATTGCTTCTATAACAAATTATCACAAATTTAGTGGTTTAAAACAACACCAATTTATTATCTTTAGGTCCCAGGTCTGACACAGGTCTCACTGGCTTAAAATCAAGGTGCCAGCAGGGCTGTGTTCCCTTCTGGAGGCTGTAAGTAGTAAATCTGTTTCCTTGCCTTTTCTAGCTTCAGAAGAACATCTGCATTCCTTGGCTCATGGCTCCCTTCCTCCATCTTCAGAATAAACATTACATCTCTCTTACCATTATGTTATAATCACATCTCCCTCTTACCCTGACCTTTGTGGCCAACTTTCTTCCCCTTTGGAAAATTGCAACTGCCTTTATCTGTCTCCAGTCATTTGTAAAATCTGCTATTTTTAACCCATTTTCCTAGTGTTCCATTATTAGAACGCTAAGCTTGTGGGAGATATTTATATCCTACTGCTCTAGGTCATCGCCAAGGTCTGATTTTTCACCAAAAAAATTTGCAATCTCCAGCATAAATGGGTTAAAAGCCCTCAAAAATCAAGAATAGCTGCAAGTTCTTTCTGAAGCTATACTGAAATGTAATGCACCCAGGTCTAAACACCTGAACCCATCTTGAAAAGCTTCACCATGTGGAGCATTCGTTCTCCCTTACCAATGACCAGTCTACCTCTTTTCGGCAGGAAGATCATTTTCCTCGACATAAAGGACAGAAGCAAAACAGGATTTTTCAGAGCCCTGCTTTCTCTATATCATGCATCAGCAGTATACTATCAGTTCCAAATAGCAGATCTATCCATGCTTTTCATCTATTTCTTGCTCTAAACATAACTTTAAGTACACAAATCTTCCTTAGCAATTCTTGAAAGCTTCTATTCATTAGTAGCTTTAGTTTTCTGGTTGCTGTTCTTATAGACATAAGCCATAAGCCACCTCTTCTTTTTTTTTTTTAGATGTAGTCTCCCCAGGCTGGAGTGCAGTGGCACAATCTTGGCTCACTGCAGCCTCCCCCTCCCGGGTTCAAATGATTCTCCTGCCTCAGCCTCCCAAATAGCTGGGACTACAGGTGCACACCACCACACCCGTCTAATTTTTGTATTTTTAGTAGAGACGGGATTTTACTATGTTGGCTAGGCTGGTCTCGAACTCCTGACCTCAGATGATCCACCCACCTCAGCCCCACAAAGTGCTGGGATTATAGGCATGAGCCAACACCCAGCCAAGCCATCCTCTTTCATTTGCATTAATTTGACTTCACCTTTCCTGTATTTCTTCTGAAACTGATCCCAGGTTGGCAAAAAATTTAACTGCTGAAGTCGGATGACAGGTACACAGGAGTTCATAGGCCAAACTAAAAAGTCAAATAAATATATCTAAATACAAGCCTTTGTGTAAAAACAGAGGCAGAGATAGAAAGAGATCCCTACTTCTTCATTCAGATGTATTTTCCCCCACCCTTTTTTTTATTCATTGAGATAGTTTGGTTTGAATTAAAATGTGAATTGCACTTTCTCTGATGCTCTCAATCCTTTTAATTTATCTTCCAGCACAGAATCCTATGCCATTTTTCTTTGCCTTTTCTTTGTAGTGTTTGAAATCCACTTATCAAAAGTTTAGGATATATTCTACTTATGCCTCTTCCTCCCATCCTTCAGGAATACACATTTAAAAGGCTATCAGTTTTTCATTTAGGACTAGATTAGTTCCCCCACCATCCTTTAGGAAAATGGTTCTCAAAGTTTTGTCATTGTAACAGCACAAGCATTACCTATGAGCTTGTTAGAAATGCAAATTCATGAGTCTCACCTGACCTACTGTATTAGCATCTCTGGGAATGGGACCTGGGAAACTCTCCAAGTGAGTCTCATGCATGTTAGAGAACCACTACTTTAGGAAAAGAAACAGTTCCAATCTAAAAGTTGTCAGATAACACACTTTTAGTTAAACATGATTTCCATCATGTGCCGAAACACTGGGAGTCCCTCACACTACTGTATTCATTAGCCTTTGTGATTATTTTGTATCTGTAAATAAACAACCCTTCCCTTGGCCAGATATTATACAGTATACTTCTACTACTCTATCTATCCTGTTTTGTTTTGTTTTTTGAGACAGGATCTTACTTTGTTCCAGGCTGGAGTGGGAGCACAGTGGTGCAATCTCAGCTCACCGCAACCTCCGCCTCCTGGGCTACAGTGATCCTCCCACCTCAGTCTCCCAAGGAGCTGGGACCACAGGTACCACCATGAGATCACTCTCAGGATCTCAAATCTCAGTGCAGGTACATAATTTCTTGCCATATCACACTACTACATCTTTCCTCTTAACAAATCCGAGCCTTATAAGAAGGAATTATCCTTCCATTATTACATTCAAATGATAAGACCAAACCCAGAAACTCACCATGACAGTCGTAAGGTATTTATTACTCTCTTATAATCTCAAATTTATTATTAAAATGTTTATGCCATTATAGACTTTGGAGACTCTAAGCATTATGTCCCACAACTTTCCATATTGTTCTCTTGTGAAACCCTGAATACCGCCTTTATTTATTCTACTTACTACGTCTTACTGTAACACTGTTTCACCAGTTAATCTGCTTATGCTTCTCTTCTTTAGCAGTATTAAGTTTAAAGCTGTTCTGATTGATTAGCTAGTTCCTTCTAAGAAAACACATTTAGGAGATATACTCCATCCTGCTTCCATATTCTCCTGAACTCAGTGGAAAATGATTATTATACTAACTGTGAACAAAAATATAGACTTTTCTTTCTAAGCTTTTAAATTAATGCTTTTATAATGATGATAAATAAAAACTATTGGGGCCGGGAGCGGTGGCTCACACCTGTAATCCCAGAAGTTTGGGAGGCCGAGGCGGGCAGATCACTTGCGATCAGGAGTTTGAGACCAGCCTGACCAACATGGTGAAACCGCGTCTCTACTAAAAATACAAAAATTAGCTGGGTGTGGTGGCATATGCCTGTAATCCCAGCTACTCGTGAGGCTGAGGCAGGAAAATTGCTTGAACTCAGGAGGCGGAGGCTGCAGTGAGCAGAGACTGCGCCACTGCACTCCAGCCTGGCTGACAGAACAAGACCCTGTCTCAAAAAAAAAAAAAAAAAATTGCTGTCATCAGAAAGGGATTCGTAGAACCAATAATATAGATGCGTTAATGCAAATTTTATTGCTTAATTTTTTTTTTTTTTGAGACAGGGTCTTGCCCTGTCACCCAGGCTAGAGTACAGTGGTGTGATCATGGCTCACTGCAGCTTCAACCCCCCAGGTCCAAGCAATCCCCCCACCTTGGTCTCCAGGGTAGCTGGGACTACAGATACGCATCACCACACCCAGCTAATTTTTAAATTTTTTTGTAGAGACAGAGTCTCACTGTGTTGCCCAGGCTGGTCTTGAACTGACTCAAGAGATCCTCCCACCTCAGCCTCCCAAAGTGCTGGGATTACAGGCATGAGCTACTGTGACTAGCCATTTAATTTTTTAAAAAACTTTACTTGAGGCCACCCTCTGTTTCTTTTGTAAGCAGGAATATAATAAATACTACCATATTGATAAAGTGTTGTTTGCTTTAAATAGATCTGTGATAATCTACTTCTTAGAAGTGGAAAAAATCAAATCATTCAAATGGACTCAATTATATATTCTGGTGTGAATTATGAGATAATTGACATCAATCAATTTTATGGATAGTATATTGACGTTCGTTCTACAAACAGACAAAGAAGTTCTAAGGTAGAGATATTTACAAGGTCTAAGTTGAAAGCCACAATGTAGAACATGGCACTAGAGAAATCACAGAATTTAATTTATATTCAAAATGCAGAATATTCTGAAGATATACGTAACTAGCTTAAACTGAGATGTGTAACAAATAAGTGGTTTAAAAAGCAATTTCTATCCAACCTGGCTTGCACAGCATATCTCAACTCCAAAGAAATAATAAAAGACGGCAATAAAATAAAGTAACATGTGGCCAAGCATGGTGGCTCACGCCTGTAATTCCAGCACTTTGGGAGGCCAAGGCGGGCAGATCATGAGGTCAGAAGACAGATCAAGACCATCCTGGCTAACACGGTGAAACCCCATCTCTACTAAAAACTACAAAAAATTAGCCGGGCATGGTGGCGGGCACCTGTAGTCCCTGCTACTTGAAATGCTGAGGCAGGAGAACGGCATGAACCTGGGAGGCGGAGCTTGCAGTGAGCTGAGATCGTGCCACTGCACTCCAGCCTGCGTGACAGAGACAGACTCCGTCTCAAAAAAAAAAAAAAAAAAAAAAAGAGAAAGTAACATAAAAACAGCAAATCACGAAGTGAACCATAAACATAATTTTCTGAAGAAACCTGGGATGTGAAAAGAGTATACTGCATATAAAACTGTACTTTCTTGAATTTTTATTCTTAGGAAATGAATAGGTTAAAATATATTAGTCATTACTACAAATAAAACAATAAAACATAGCACACTAAACTATGGAAACATATTAATTCTTCAATAATCAGAACAGTCACATATTTCTGCTAAATAGTTTTCTGGCTAAAATTAGTTATAAAAAGTAGAGTTTAAGCAGAATAATTCTATTTTTAAAAACAGTATCTTCTGGCCGGGCACAGTGACTCATGCCTGTAATCCCAGCACTCTGGGAGGCCGAGGTGGGCGGATCACCTGAGGTCGGGTGTCGGAGACCAGCCTGACCAACGTGGAGAAACCCCGTCTCTACTAAAAATACAAAAATAAAAATTAGCCAGGCGTGGTGACGCATGCCTGTAAGCCCAGCTACTTGGGAGACTGAGGCAGGAGAATCGCTTGAACCCGGGAGGCAGAGGTTGCAGTGAGCCGAGATGGCGCCATTGTACTCCAGCCTGGGCAACAAGAACGAAACTCCGTCTCAAAACAAACAAACAAACAAACAAACAAATCTTCTGTTTCTAATACGGAATATAAATACCTTATAAATAGTAACATTAAGCTAATATTGTTAAAATCATCAAATAAGTGATAAAATGGATAATATGAATCTTAATGTAAAAATATAAACTTTGATTCACAGGCTCTGAGGGTTAGGGAAATATATAAACATAAGCTTTGAGAGGAAGGGTTTGGTTTTAAGATATATAACCACATTCAGAAAATATACTTCTTATTCCTATTTGTTTCTCAAAACTTTCACTAAAGTGACAGTCACTCAGCTTTCGGAAGTCTGTTTCTCTCTACCAAAATTGGACCAGAAGATGGCACATCAGTGAGAAATGCTTTGATGATTGACTAGAAAATGACTCTAAGTGTTTATAAGCCCAGTTATATCATCATCATCATCCCCTTTATTTTTCCATTTGCTCAGTTATCTTGTCAGCAACACAGATACTATATAAAATCATTCTACCCTTTTTCGTTTCCTGGCTCTTCTGTATCATTCTATCCAGCTTCAACAATCTTCAGCTTATTTGGAGCTAATAAACATGCTCACCCAAAGAAAGTGAGGGTTTATGATGTAATGTTCTGGTGATACTGTAGGTTTCTTAGGGGAAAGACATCTCATAAATATAAACGAATATGCTTAGAACCCATGGTTGTAATTTGAGATTACAGAAGTTTCTCACTATGCTTCATTTAACAGTATTAGCAAAGCTTTATGTTTTCATGTCAGTTTTGACACATAAGAATATTACAGCAGTGACTTTTTTTTTCACTTAACAAAGAAAACAGTTTAAAAAAAATGAGGCCATTTCTCTCCCTTTTATCATTGACTGGAAGATACGCCATCTTTTTATATTTTACTCCAAAGGGAAGAAGGCTCATCATAATTGAAATGACCCTATTCTAGGACTATTCTAAAATGCACATATCCACCTCAAAAGATCTCTGGAAACCTAGTCAAATCTCTTTCTCTGACCATCATGCCTCACATGGAGCTAATAATGAATGTCTGCAACTGATTGAGGGACTTTAAAAAAGATGGCAGTCCTAGGACAAACTAACTTGCTTTGTTAGGACACAACTAATTCCTTTTGTCATTCACTCACTCAACAAGTATTTATTAAGCAGCTATAAATTGCTTCAATCATTCAATAAGTAGACAAAATGTAAAAAATATAATAGAGTAAGGAATATTTCTACATTCCCATTTTTTGAGAAATTCCTAGCATGCACTTCACATACAGTTTTATGCATGCAAATGACCTTACCTCTCTTACAGATAGTTGTGGTGGGAAGGAGACTGAAAATACCAAGCTGGTGAATTCAAACCCAGAGGCCTCAACCTTTTGGCACACCTGAAAAAGCATTACAATTATGTAAATTCCCAGGAATTGCTGAAAATATTACTTACCCTAATCTTAATAACATGAATTTCTGGTCCAGGAGATGACATGGCAAAACTTCCAAACTTTCACATTTGACAGTGGAACACTCACAAATATCTTGAGATTAAATATTGCCTAACTATGACCCTGAAGACTAATACCACAAGGAACCAAAACAGCCAGGAGTAACAGCTTCAGAATAAACTGTTAAGTGTCAAAATAGCTTTCTATTAGGTCACCCCTAACTTTCAAACAAAATAAACCCAAATATAGCACTCTTGACAGAAAAAACAAACAAAAGGCAATCCCACATTCAATCATTTACCTTCTACAAGGCTGTACCACTAGTCTTTTCAGGACAATAATAAGGACAACTAGAAATGAACTTTTCTGTAACTTAGCTATGTTAAACAGCAAAATGAAAACAAACTGCTATATTTTTCTTCAATTAAATAGCACTTATGACTGAAATACATGAATACACATTTTATTAATTTTCAGATATGTCAATTAAAAAGTAATTTGAGAAGAGTAGGCTTTTGTTTTTTTTTTTTTAAAAAAAAGAAAATATTTTAATGATCCAATTGTGTGAAACAAGTTGAAATGAACGGCAGTGTTCCTTTCAATATAAAAATTCTTGGACCTGGGCATGGTGGCGTGCACCTGTAGTCCCAGCTACTTGGGAGGCTAAGGCGTGAGGATCACTTGAGCCCAGAGGTGGAGGTTGCAATGAGCCAATATCATGCCACTGCACTCCAGCCTGGGTGACAGAGTGGGACCCTGTCTCAAAAAAGACAAAAACAGAAACCAGAAGGTCGGGCGTGGTGGCTCACGCCTATAATCCCAACACTTTGGGAGGCCAAGTCAGGCGGATCACCTGAGGTCAGGAGTTCGAGACCAGACTGGCCAACATGGTGAAACCCCGTCTCTACTAAAAATACAAAAATCAGCTGGGCGTGGTGGCACGTGCCTGTAATCCCAGCTATTCAGGAGGCTGAGGCAAGAGAATCATTTGAACCTGGGAGGCGGAGGTTGTAGTGAGCTGAGATCTCACCACTGCACTCCAGCCTGGGTGACAAGAGCCAAACTCTGTCTCAAAAAAAAAAAAAAACAGAAAAAAAAAAGAATTTGGCCGGGCACGGTGGCTCACGCCTGTAATCCCAGCACTTTGGGCCAAGGCGGGCGGATCACGAGGTCAAGAGATTAAGACCATCCTGGCTAACACGGTGAAACCCCGTCTCTACTGAAAATACAGAAAATTAGCTGGGTGGCGGGTGCCTGTAGTCCCAGCTACTCGGGAGGCTGAGGTAGGAGAATGGCATGAACCTGGGAGGCGGAGCTTACAGTGAGCAGAGATTGCGCCACTGTGCTCCGGCCTGGGCAACAGAGCGAGACTCTGTCTCCAAAAAAAAAAAAAAGAATTCTTGGCCTTGGCCGGGTACAGTGACTCACACCTCTAATCCCAGTACTTTGGAGGCCAAGGCAGGAGGATGACTTGAGGCCAGGAGTTCAAGACCAGCACAGTAACATAGGGAGATCCTGCCTCTACAAAAAGATTAAAAAATTAGGGCTGGGCACAGTGGCTCATGTCTGTAATCCCAGCACTTTGGGAGGCCAAGGCAGGCGAATCATCTGAGATCGGGAGTTCGAGACCAACCTGACCAACATGGAGAAACCCTGTCTCTACTAAAAATACAAAATTAGCCAGGCATGAGGCTGAGGCAGGACAATTGCTTGAACCTGGGAGGCGGAGGCTGCGATGAGCCAAGATCACACCATTGCACTACAGCCTGGACAACAAGAGCAAAACTCCATCTCAAAAAAAAAGAAAAAAAATTAGGTGGGCATGGTGGTGCATGCCTGTAGTCCTAGCTACTCAGAAGGCTGATGTAGGAGGATTGCTTGAGCCCCAGGAGTTGGAGGCTGCAGTCAGCTGTGATTGTACCACTGCACTTCAGCCTAGGCAACAGAATGAGACCCAAAAAAGAATTGTCTTGTCTTGAAAAAAGGAAAGAAAAAAGAATTCTTGGTTTTAAGACTGAAAATCTCTACATAATTGCACCTATAATGAAAAACAGGTTATTTACCTTTTTAATGAAATCTTTCTCACAGAATTCTTGAAGAATTCCTAGGCATACATTACATACATTTAAATTTGAGTTCTTGGAAGCAGTGCTTCCAACATGACTAACAGAGATCCTTCCCTCTCCATTTTGACTTAGATTATCAATACTATCTTCCAGTTCTTGCAGTCGAATTTTCTTGGGAGGTGGGTTCATAACTTCCAAAATTAATTCATCTTTTTCAGTTTCCAGAAATTTCTGTAGTTCATTGAGCAACTCCTGGAAAGTTAATGAAAGAAAAAGTAATGACCCACTGACAATGTCCTTAAGGCTTTCTAGGTAAGATGAAACAAGAAAACATGAGTGAAAATTAGGACATATCACAAATTTTACAATGTTGACATATCAATTCTGAAGCAATCCAGTTATTAGCCAGCATTGGCTTTTATGGAATTTAAAAGAGAATTACCTATCTCTATTATATATGTGAATACTTTTTCAAAAGAGTTCCATATATCAGTGAAGCAAAAGTCATAAATCTGAGGAGAAAGGCTCCAATACAAATTTATTAATTTGTAGTTCTGTTGTGAGAGTCATTCATTGCTAATTTCAGTAAAAACAAACTTTAGTTCTAATGATTAACATATAAAAAGTACAAACTGAATTTCCATCCTTGCTAGGTTATTTAATAACCTCACAATCACTGAAAGCTCACAAGTACAATATTTATTTAATATGAAATCTGATCATTAGGGTAGTCTAATAAGTAAAAATAATTTGGAGAAAATTTACTAAGAAAGGTACACAAATGCTGACAATGCTGAAAGTTAGCATATGATTACAAACCATTTCCATATATTAATTGAAAGCCATGCTCTACTATATTCCAGTTTGCCTAATTTGTCTTGTATTAGAATTTAAAAACCTGCATTTCTTTGAAACCATTCTCATATTTCTCTCATTCAGATATTCCTCTCATCAAAATACTCAGAGGATTTTCCTCTGTTTTGTTTAGACATGTTTTATTATGCCATTGTTGAAAAAGTATATTTTTCAAATTCATTCAGATGACAATTTACTGACTGTAAAGGGAAAAAATCTTTCACTCAAACAAATTTAAATCCATTTTATTGAGAAATTAGCTCTCCTGCTTTAACAGAGAAATATACATACATACATACATATACAGGTACATTTTGACTCACACAAATATGTTTGTTGTTACCTAAGATCTATAATATAGATATAACATAGTGCATATACAGATGTGCATGTACATACATAGTTACATGAATAGAACAGATCAAAATTTATGAACATTTCCAAAAAGCTGTCCAAATATTCTTGTATATTGCCTTACATAAAATGAAACAAACGAAAGTTGATAACACTCAGTCTCTTAATATAATATAAATTTAAAACCTAATAACATATAATAGATAATAGGTTACAGTGTGTCTGAAAAAAATGTGTAAGCAGGGTTACACAAAACCAGTCTTATTACTTTACAGTCATATTGTGTATAAATGAATATACACATATTTAAATCATCATAGCACAAGTACCATTTCTGGTTTTTTGTTTTTGTTTTTTTAATTTTCAGACGGAGTCTCACACTGTTGCCCAGGCTAGAGTGCAGTGGCATGATCTCGGCTCACTGCAACCTCCGCACCCCCCACCCCTGGGTTCAAGCAATTCTCCTGCCTCAGCCTCCCAAGTAGCTGGGATCACAGGCACCTGCCATGGCGCCCAGCTAATATTTGTATTTTTAGTAGAGACAGGGTTTCATCATCTTGGCCAGGCTGGTCTTGAACCCCTGACCTCGTGATCCACCCGCCTCGGCCTCCCAAAGTGCTAGGATTACAGGCGTGAGCCACCGCACCCAGCCAATTTCTGGTTTTCAAAGTGTTTCCACGTACTTTATTAGGTATTGTCCCTTAAAGTCCTGTGAGGTGGGTATTATCATCATTCCCATTTACAGAGGAGTAAACTGAAGCTGGAAAGTGGTGGAACTGGGATTCAAATCCATGTCTTCTAGTTCCAAATCCTAGGTTTTGAATTCAGTCAGACTGTTCAAATCCTAGCTTGCTCACTTAATAGCTGTGTAACTTTGGGCAGGTTGCTTAACCTCTCTGTATCTCAGTTTCTTCATCTGAAAATAGAGACAATCATAGTATGTACTTACCTAATCAGTTATTATGAGAATTATATAAGACCTTGACATATAGTAATGATAATTGAATATTGTGTATTATTATTGCCAAAATAATAGAAACAACTAATAACATTTTAAAAATAACTGATACTACTAACTCCTGGACAATTTTTTAAATTATAAGAAACTGTGTGTGTATATGTTGTATACATACTGTTTATAATGTATATATTTACATATGTATTACTATCTGCTTCTAAAAAGAATATCACTTTTAGAATCAAACATTTCATAAAGATGTTACATATCTTATGCAAAAAAGTGTTATATTAAACCTCAAAGCTCTCTGTATATTACCATAAATGTCAAAGATCTCTGTATATTACTTTTGTCATTAATAACAGTAATAATGATGATAAGCATTTATTTCTAGAGGATTCCAAATACCTATTTATAAACACAACTGGTAATACAGAAAATGGGAAAAACAGAAAAAGGCAACCATACCCACAATGCTTCCACATAGTAGGACATGTAAGGAATATTAGCCCCTCCTGGGAGGAAGCAATATTTTGTGATATTCTGTTTAGATATCCTTTAGGAAACATCTATACAAGTGTTCAAATGCACCAGGGAGTTCCTCCACAAAGATCCCATTACACTAAATGTTAGAAAGCTAGATATAATCACTTAAGAAGGAACTTACATTTCTGAGACTATTCCAAAATTATGAATATCACTCATTTTATTATAGTTTTTTAATTTAAAAAAGAGTTATGAATAGATACCTGCCCTCAAAAGTACAAGCATTCATTGTAAAATACAGAGAACCTTCTCTTAATTTGAAAAAAAAAAAAAAAGAAAAGAAAATACCTTGTATGGAAGTTTGTAAGGTGCATGAAAATCCACACCACAGAATCTGAAGATACATCTTGGACAAGTACCAGTATTGAGCAACAACTGGGCCACATGCTTGTTTTCCTCAGTCAGTGGGAACATATTGAATAATTATAACTAGAAAGAAAAGAAGTAAAACTAATGAGCAGCTTCTGCGTTTTACTGTCACAGACAAGTCATCATGTTTAGGGATAAAAACTAGCTTTCATTTGAAAAACACTATTGTGTACTCTCTAACCAAGCCCCTTTCATTACACACATATTATAAAATACAAATTTTAAGGAAGTTCATAAGATGGATCCGGTAAAGGTTTCTAATTGCTAAGGAATTTAGTGTAGCATTTTGGATTATGATAAAATACATCAATATAACTAAGTTGATCAAAAGAAATAAAAATAATCAAGAATGGTTGCTTCTGAGGAGGGTAATGAAAACAGAGGTACAGGGTGAAATTTTGCTTTTTGTTTTGTACCATTCAGTATTGTACAAAGTTAATTCATTAAACTTTTCCTGTAAGAAATTAAAAATGAGTTTGCTGGTAGTGGGGCTCAGAAAGCCATACCCCAAAATGAAGGCCTCAGCAGCAGCCTCAGAAGCAAAAGTTTTTCTCTGACCTTCTGCCCTCCTGTCTGTCTCATTCTTCCCCAGACTAGCCATAGAAAAACTACAGTCTCTCTTCCTCAAAGTGAGTCATAGAAACCAGAACCCCCTTTCCCCAAAGCCAGCCATAAAATCTAAAAATATTACTCAAATTTGGTCAGGCACAGTGACTCATGCCTGTAATCCCAGCATTTTGGGAGGCCGAGGGTGGATCACCTGGGGTCAGGAGTTTGAGACCAGCCTAGCTAACATGGTGAAACCTTGTCTCTACTAAAAATACAAAAAAAAAAAAAAATTTGCCGGGCATGGTGGCAAGCAACTGTAATCCCGGCTACTTGGGAGGCTGAGGCAGGAGAATCACTTGAACCTGGGAGGTGGAGGTTGCAGTGAGCCGAGATTGCGCCATTGCACTCCAGCCTGGGCAACAAGGGAGAAACTCCGTCTCAAAAAAAAAAAAAAAAAAAAAAAAAAAAAAAAAATATATATATATATATATATACACACACACACATATGCCTATTACTCAAATTTTCCCTCCACCTTTCTGAGTAAAAACTGACCATGAAAAACTAGGCAAGGTGCAGTGGCTCACATCTATAGTCTCACCACTTTGTGGTTGTGGGGCCGAAGTAGGAGGTTCACTTGAGGCCAGGAGTTTGAGATCAGCCTGGGCAACAACCCACAAGACCCTGTCTCTACAAAAAAATTGAAAAATTAGCTGGGCATGGTGGTACACACCTGTATTCCCAGCTACTCAGAAGACCGAGGTGGGAGGATCGCTTGAACCCAAGAGGTAGAGGTTGTAGTGAATCAAGATCATGCCACTGTACTCCAACCTGGGTGACAGAGCAAGACCTTGTCTCTAAAAAGAAACAGAAAAAAAAAAAAAAAAGATGAAGAAATGATCTAACCTCTCTTGTCTGACTGTAGGTCATAAGACTCCCCATTCCATGGCAGGTCCTGCCCCACACCCAGAAGGAAGGAATGCATGCTCTGAGAGGCCAAGAACCTAGACAGGCTTGCTGGGTTTCCCCACTGAGTTGATTACCTTTTTGTTCAATCATATTTCTATGTGCCATCCATACTTTGATGAACCTAAGCATAAAAATGGACAATTTCCCCTGTTATCATTATGTCTTCATTCTGAAGGCTCCTGTGTATACACATTACATAAACGTGTATGCCTTTTCTCCCATTAATCAATTTGCCTCATGTCAGTGATTTTCAGAGAACCTCTAGGTGGCTAAGGGCCTTGGCATTCAGACTAGACAAAAAAATCTGATCAGTCTACCTTATATAATACTGGACTACCCTTAATGATAGCTTAGCGGCCAACTATTTAAAACAAATTGAGGCCGGGTGCAGTGGCTCACATCTGTAATCCCAGCACTTTGGGAGGCTGAGGTGGGCAGATCACTTGAGGTCAGGAGTTCAAGACCAGCCTGACCAACATGGTGAAACCTTGTCTCTACTAAAAATACAAAAATTAGTTGGGTGTGGTGGCTGGCGCCTGCACTCCAGCCTGGGCAACAGAGTGAGATGCTGTCTCAAAAATACAAACAAACAACAACAACAACAACAACAACAAAGTTGATCAGCAGGTCTAAAGACATCAACTTTACTTTGATTATATGACTAAATGGCAACCACCTGTTAACAAAATAAAAATCTGCCCCTTTCATGAGTAAAACCTCCAACAAAAGGTCAGGCGCAGTGGCTCACACCTGTAATCCCAGCACTTTGGGAAGCCGAGGCGGGCGGATCACCTGACAACAGGAGTTTGAGACCAGCCTGGCCAACACGGTAAAACCCTATCTCTACTAAAAATACAAAAAACTATTAGCCAGGTGTGTTGGCGTGTGCCTATAATCCCAGCCACTCAGGAGGCTGAGACAAGAGAATCACTTGAACCCCAGGAGGCGGAGGGTGCAGTGAGCCGAGATCATGCCACTTCACTCCAGCCTGGGCAATAAGAGCGAAATTCCATCTCAAACAAACAAGCAAACAAACAAACAAAAAAACCTTCAACAAAAACAAATTAAGTACAAAATATTTGAGAGCAACTGTTTGCTTAAATTGCCAATTTTTGCAATTTAAATAAACTCACAAAAAAATACTATATAGAGAATGAAGGCAAATCTGTCTCCTGTTACCGGGAAGGAGGGGGTACTAAAAATTCAAACAACCTAATTTGTTCAGCAAAACAAGATCTTCTAATTAGTGAAACAGTTCATATTACCTTAAAATGATCAACTGCCCATATTTTAGAAAATAATCATTGCATGGCAATCTTATGGCATGCTGTAACTGTGGTCATAAAGATGAACGACAGTGGCATCTTTTAATTTGTGCAGTTTCATAATTCAAATGAACTTGCTTAAAATTTGTGGAAGGGTGAAGCTCCTCCCAACAGCTTAGTATAAAGACGTGATTCTTCTAGTCTGCGTTTTCCAAACCTCTAAAACTTCCTACTTACTTGCAAGTTGCTAAATGTTTGGGGCCACTTACCAAGATTCTTGCACAAAATAATGAGGAAGACAGGCATATAGTTACATAGAACTCTTCACCATAAAAATCAGTTCAGCAGCCAGGACTACTAAAAACAGATTGCCTCTGGCTGAATTCTAATTCAGGGGAATATGTGAGTCAGCAGAGGGAAGAAAATCAGGCTTGTATGGACACACCATACAAGCTGACAAGGTGACAACTTTGAAACACCAGAATTGAGAAACGCATAGTTAGGGTTGCCTAAGTAAATTTGGGCTCCAGGGTATTTTCAAGAAAGAAAACAGAATATGTGGAAAACAGCCTCTAAATAATGAAGATCTGGCCAGGCCCAGTGGCTCACGCCTGTAATCCCAGCACTTTGGGAGGCCGAGGCAGGCATTATCACTTGAGGTCTGGAGTTCAAGACCAGCCTGGCCAACATGGTAAAACTCCATCTCTACTAAAATACAAAAATTAGCCACGTGTGGAGGTGTGCACCTGTAATCCCTGCTACTCGGGAGGTTGAGGCAGGAGAATCACTTGAACCCAGTAGGTGGAGGTTGCAGTAAGCCCAGGACTTTGGGAGGCTGAGGCAGGAGGATCATGAGGTCAGGAGATCGAGACCATCCTGGCTAACACGATGAAATCCCATCTCTACTAAAAATACAAAAAATTAGCCATGCGTGGTGGCACGCACCTGTAGTCCCAGCTACTCAGGAGGCTGAGGCAGGAGAATCGCCCGAACCCAGGAGGCAGAGGTTGCAGAGAGCCAAAATCGTGCCACTGTACTCCAGTCTGGGCAACAGAGCGAGACTCCATCTCAATAAATAAATAAATAAGATCTGTGTGGTCAAGGTCAAGTCATTACTATTTACTAGTGATCTGGATCCCTTTTCCCAGCCCATTTAATCTACTTTGATGCAGAGAAGAGATCGGATGCTGTGAGGGGCGAATATAAGCATTTACAGTGCATCTCTGACTACATACACAGAGAAACTGTTTCTGTTTCACCTGTTACTCTAAGTTATTTTTTCTCCATTAGTTAAGGTCAAGAATTTTACTTAATTCAGAAGTAACATTTAACTCAAAAAGAGACAGAAGAAATACACCCTCTTCCAATAAATCAATAAGCACTTTAAAAGGACACTTAATGAAGATTTCCCTCGATACTTAAATAGCTATATTAAAATTTATTTTATTTTCCATGGCTAGAAGACAATGTTTATTTTTCCAGTAAGTTCACAAGAACAAAGGTATCATGCAAAGTAAATAAATGACACATTACAATCTCCTGGCTCTGAGAAGTTCCCAAACCTGATTGATGAGAATTACAAAACTTCCAGTCCTGAGTAATTTGAAGAGGTCTAAAAATAGACCCCAAAAAAGACCTCTTTTGAATGTGTGTTAATAAACGAGCTATGAATTTACAAACCTCTCAACATCATTTTCACCTACCAACAATTTATCAACTTCTCAAGAATGTTAACATTAAAAGGAGAAAATACGTTACGTCTTAAATTTGGTTTTTTCATCGTGAGATAATTAAATGCCAGGATTTCATAAGATATTAGAAATCGGTTGTCCATATTAGATTTATTATGTTTGAAAGCAAGCCCTGAGAAAGGCATTCCACAATGTAAGTTTTCCAGTGTTGGTTACCCTCAAGATGTTTGCTTTTCGTTTATGTGTTTGTTTTATAGAAATAACTCTGTAACAAGTTGCTACAAAGCCGCCTTTCATGTGTCAGGCTCCCTAGGAGGACTGAATCCCTCCTCCCCAAATCAAGGATAACTAGCCCAGTCTCTGGCTTACTGGAGGAGAGGAAGGACTTTATTTTCACCTCTTGGACGATTACAAAAACCAGTCATCGAAAACGAGAAAAGGGGCAGGGTATAAGAAAAACTAGCGAAATGACCAGACTGAGTCTCATATCCTAAGATCTTTTAAAACTCATTTCCCTACCGAAGGGTGTCATTCGTAACGCGGCGTGGGGCTGGGGGTGTGGATTTACGGAGAAAGAGGTGATCACACTTCACTGGGCTTCTGAAACATTCAGCTCTGGAATCTACTGTGGACTCTTGAAAAGTTCATCCCGAGATCTAACCTCAAGCCTCAGTTTTCGCCAAGCAAGCCCTTCCCCCTTCGGTCAGGTGCAACAAACTTCCCACTCACCCCTCCTTTGCTAACAAAGCCGCTCCAGCAGGAGAGAAACGAACTCTCTCCCGCCACACCTCTTTTGCACCCAGTCTGCACTCCTTCACCTCTTACCTACCCGCCTCACCTTCTCCCCAGACGCCGGAGCCTGAGATTTAACCCCTTCCGGCCCTCGAAGGGAAGAGGGAAGACTAAAGACAACGCACCTATTGCGTCTAGCAATTCTGTTCCCCGAGGAAACGTGCGTTTTAGAACAAAAGTACCAGCCCGCTCTCGCTAGGACTAAGTGAGCTTCTCCCTTCTTGTTTGTAGAGGAAATCCGAAAAACTGCCTGGTTTGCCACCTCACCCTACCTCCCCCACGAGCGAAGGAGTGCGTGCGGCTTTACTCCCAGCCCGACTGGTCCACTCCCAGAAAAGCCTCGGTGGGACTCCGACGTCTAGGGAGTTGTAGCCGCTACCAGAAATATCGATGAGCCTTTACCCTGAGGTTTAGAAAGGCAGCTCTTTCTGGGGCAAATACAAAGAGCGTGTTTCTTCCTACAAATTAGTGGCATCCTCCCGCTGTATGGATTCAGCTGGCAAAGTAACTCAAGCCTTGTCCTGACTGCAAGGGTGGGCGGGGTGGACGGCTCGGTGTTCTGCCCGTTGTGTCTTACGCTCCAGGTGCTGGTCTACGCGGGCCTGGACAGTCAGGGGTAGGAGCGGGAGCCGAGAGGAGGCGGAGGAGATGGCGTCCCAGCCGCCACCTCCCCCCAAACCCTGGGAGACCCGCCGAATTCCGGGAGCCGGACCGGGACCAGGACCGGGCCCCACTTTCCAGTGAGTGTGGGATTCTTCAGGCTGTGAGTTTAGTGGGCCCGAGCGGGGACTTGGCAGGAGGCGGTTGTAGCGGTTGTTAGTGGAGGTATTCCCTTCCCCCCTTTAACCAATACCCAACCTTGGGGATAGGGGCCGAGGTGGAGCTGGGGCGCTTACCAGTGGGGACTTTAGTGTCTCACAGCTGTTTCTGACCCGGCAGCTCTAATCAGC
This sequence comes from Homo sapiens, assembly GCF_000001405.40. Taxonomy (NCBI): domain Eukaryota; kingdom Metazoa; phylum Chordata; class Mammalia; order Primates; family Hominidae; genus Homo; species Homo sapiens. The sequence goes on from NC_000002.12 coordinate 61,018,062, forward strand.
AACGTTTTTTTCGGGAGCTCCTGGGCGTCTCTCTGGGTCTCTGTGCTTGAAAGAAAGGGGGGCGGCTTCCTACCTACCGCTTCTGTTTTCACTTTGACAGAATGGCTTCTCTATCTTTAAAGCGTAGACTTTGGTCTGTAGCAGTTGAGAGCGGCATTTGTCCAGCCACGGCATCGACAGGGAGCAAAGTCTCTCCTTAAAGGTGTTAACCTCTCGAGAAGTTGCTGAAAGCCGGAAAGGTTTTACGCAACAGGAACTCAAGCCCCGTACACTTTGCATTCTTTTCCAGCATAACTCAGCCAGTGTTTCGGATCGAGATTGGAGAAGCAACTTTAAAGCAGGAGTTCTAGATCTGAGGCCTATGGATGGACTTTGTGTGCAAAATAGTGTATTTTTCTGAGGCCTGTATTTTTTTTTTGTTTGGTTTTTAATCAGTATCAGTTGGTTTCTAGGACTTTAAAAAGGCTAAAACATGCAGAGTTGGGAGTGTTTCGTGGCCTCGTGTGGCTTTTGTTTGGTAGTGCTGGACATCTTAATTCAGATAGGTGTGATTCAAATGTCAAATCACCTACTATTGTAGGTTTTCCTAAGCGTAAAAACCCCAACATATTGGAATGTATTTCTGCTGTATTCTGAAATCTTTTATTTAAACACTAAAATGCTTTAACACAGTAACGACTTAGTTTAATAAGGATATATACATAACAAGTAATAAGTTTGATTAGGCTGGTAAGCCACGGTGACATTATCTGCTACCTTTTTTTTGAGTGGGTTCTTTTTTCCCCATTTAGGCTGCTTGTCGAATGAGAGAGGTTTTATTTTTTGCATCTGTTAAAGTTCTTTTTATGTAAAATTAACCATTTTCCCACTTTATCGTGAAATATTTTAAACACAGAGACCAGTAGAGAGTAAGATAATACCTATATATTCACTACTCAACTTTAAACAGTGTTAACATTTGCCAGACTTATGTCGAATTTTTCAAAATAAAAGACGGCTAAACTCTCCCATTCTTCTTTATAGTGGTGACTATTGTCCTTATTTGGTGTTTCGCATACCCAGTAATGTTTTTATATTTTAGTACTTAGGTTTGTGCTATTTATATGCATTTTATATCTAAAACTTAACAATGTAACAATAATATATATTTTATATCTAATTACATGTTACTATTTATATATTATTTTTTGTATCTGTTTTTGTTTTTTCTGTTGCCCAATTTTCTATTGGCTTTATCTTTGCTTACCAATTTGTAAGAGTATTGTTAAACTAATCCTTTTTTGTTACTACATTTTGCTAATATTTTTCACTGTGTGGCTTCTCCTCTTTATATTTATGTTCAATTTTTTGTACAGATGTTTTTGATTTTAATACAGCCAAAATTGTCATATTTTATTGTTTATGCTTTTTGTCTTGGTTAAGAAATCCTGTCTACCTAGATCAGGACAGTTTTTCTGTATGTTTTCTTTTAAATCTTCCGGTTTTTTCATTTGCATTTAATCCACATGGAACTGACTTTGTATAAAAATCTAATTTTTTTTTCCATATAGGTAACTAATTGTCGCAGCACCATTTATTGAGTAGTCTATTCTTAGTTTTTAATGCCATCTATGTCATATCAAGGTTTCCTAAATATGTAGTTCTGTTTTGGGCATTTTCTGACTTTCTACTAGCACCACACTATCTTAATTACAGAATTTTATAAGTCTTGATATGTAGTATGTCAAGAGTTTCCACACATTGCTGTTCTTTGTAATTGCGCTCTTTACACTTAGTCCTTTATAAAAAGACTTACTGGGATTTTTATTGGAACTGAGCTGAATTTATGGATCAAGTAAGTTTTTATTCCATGAATATTGTATAAGCTACAATTGGTGGGAATTTATCTTTTTGCCTTAAATATCTTATAATTATCCACTTTGGGAGACTGGGCGGGCAGATCACGAGGTCAGGAGATCGAGACCATCCTGGCTAACTCGGAGAAACCCCGTCTCTACTAAAAATACAAAAAAACATTAGCTGGGTGCGGTGGCGGGCACCTGTAGTCCCAGCTAATCAGGAGGCTGAGGCAGGAGAATGGCGTGAACCCACGAGGCGGAGCTTGCAGTGAGCCAAGATCACGCCACTGCACTGCAGCCTGGGCAACAGAGGGAGACTCCATCTCAAACAACAACAACAACAAAAAACTTATAATTACCTCCATGAAATTTTTTTCCATATTTTATTTTTTATTCCTAGATTATTTTTGCTGTAGTAGTTGCAAATGGGCTTTCTTTTTTCCTTTTACATTTTCCAGTTGGTTATTAACTGGTATGGCAGAATGCTATTGATTTTTTTTAATGTAAATATTATGTACAGCATAATCTCAAACTCTTAATTAGTTCTGATGGTTTGGTTGAAATTCTCTTTAGTTTTGTGTAGCCAGTTCTGTCATTTACAGATAAGCTAGCATCCTTGTATTGGTCCTGACTTCCACTGGAGTGCTTCTGAAGTTTTACTGTTAAATGTGAAGTTTGCTTTTTGTTTTTGATAGATATCTTGTCAAAATTCTCTCTCTCTACCTTGCTCAGATTTATTTTATTTTATTTTTATTTCATTTTTATTTTTGTTTGAGATGGAGTCTCACTGTGTCTCCCAGGCTGGAGTGCAGAGACGCAATCTTGGCTCATGGCAACCTCTACCTCCTGGGTTCAAGTGATTCTCCTGCCTCAGTCTCCCGGACAGTTGAGACTACAGGCGCGTGCCACTCCGCCCAGCTAATTTTTGTATTTTTAATAGAGATGGGGTTTCACTATGTTGGCCAGGCTGGTCTTGAACTCCTGACCTCAGGTGATCTGCCCACCTAGGCCTCCCAAAGTGCTGAGATTACAGGTGTGAGTCACTATGCCCAGCCCTTACCTTGCTCAGATTTTTATTGTGAAGAAATATTAAATTTTATGAATGGCTTTTCTGCATCTGTTGAGACCATTGTATGTATTTTCGCTTTAGTATGAAAATGTGGGAATAGGAACAGCTCTGGTCTGCAGCTCCCAGCGTGATTGACGCACAGGACGGGTGATTTCTGTGTTTCCAACTGAGGTACCTGGTTCATCTCACTGGGACTGGTTGAACACTGGTCGCACCCCATGGAGGGTGAGCCAAATCGAGGCGGGGCATCACCTCACCCAGGAAGCGCAAGGGATTGGGGGATTTCCCTTTCCTAACCAAGGGATGCCGTGACAGACTATACCTGGAAAAATGGGACACTTCTGCCCAAATAGTGGGCTTTTTCCACAGTCTTAGCAACAAGCAGACCAGGAGATTCTCTCCCATGCCTGGCTTGACGGATCCTATACCCATGGAGCCTTGCTCAGTGCTAGCACAGCAGTCTGAGATCAATCTGCGAGGCAGCAGCCTGGCAGGGGGAGGGGAATCCACCATTGCTGAGGCTTGAGTAGGTAAACAGAGCGCCCAGGAAGCTTGAACTGGGAGGAGCCCACTGCAGCTCAGCAAGGCCTACTGCCTCCATAGACTTCAGCTCTGTGGGCAGGGCATAGCTGAGCAAAAGGCAGCAGAAACTTCTGTGGACTTAAACGTCCCTGTCTGATAGCTCTGAAGAGAGCAGTGGTTCTCCCAGCATGGTGTTTGAGCTCTGAGAACGGACAGACGGCCTCCTCAAGTGGGTCCCTGACCCCCGTGTAGCCTGACTGGGAAACACCTCCCAGTAGGGGCTGACAGACACCTCAAACAGGCAGGTGTCCCTCTGGGACAAAGCTTCCAGAGGAAGGATCAGGCAGCAATATTTGCTGTTCTGTAGCCTCTGCTGGTGATACCCAGGCAAACAGGGTCTGCAGTGGACCTCCAGCAAACTCCAACAGACCTGCAGCTGAGGGACGTGACCATTAGAAGGAAAACTAGTAGACAGAAAGGAATAGCTTCAACATCAACAAAAAGGACATCCACACCAAAACCCCATTTGTAGGTTACCAACATCAAAGACCAAAGGTAGATAAAACCACAAAGATGGGGAGAAACCAGAGCAGAAAAGCTGAAAATTCTAAAAATCAGAGCACCTCATCTCCTCCAAAGGATCGCAGCTCCTTGCCAGCAACGGAACAAAGCTGGACAGAGAATGACTTTGACGAGTTGACAGAAGTAGGCTTCAGAAGGTCGGCAATAACAAACTTCTCCGAGCTAAAGGAGCATGTTCTAACCCGTCGCAAAGAAGCTAAAAACCTTGAAAAAAGGTTAGATGAATGGCTTACTAGAATAAACAGTGTAGAGAAGACCTTAAATGACCTGATGGAGCTGAAAACCATGGCACAAGAACTTCGTGATGCACGCACAAGCTTCAATAGCTGATTCAATCAAGTGGAAAAAAGGATATCAGTAATTGAAGATCAAATTGATGAAATAAAGTGAGAAGACAAGATTAGAGAAAATGTTTATTGTATCAACCTTCTATTGTTGAACCATCCTTGCATTTCTCAATGAACTTTGATTAGTCTTGATTTTTTTCTGATATGCAATTCCAAATTCTATTCTAAACCAGTTGGAGTGGTTCACATTTGTAATCCTAGCATTTTGGAAGGCCAGGGCAGGAGGATTGCTTGAGGCCAGAAGTTCAAGACTAGTCTGAGCAACATAACAAGACTCTGTCTATAAAAAATTTTAAAATTGGCCAGGTGTAGTGGTGTGTGCCTGTAGTCCTAGCCACTAGGGAGGCTGAGGTGGGAGGATCCCTTTGAGTCCAGGAGTTCAAGGCTGCAGTGAGCTGTCATCATACCACTGCACTCCAGCCTGGGTGACATAGCAAGACCCTGTCTCCAAAAAGAAAAAGAACTCTATTCTAATATTGTGAGACTGTTGCATACATGTTCCTAGGTGAAATTGAATTTTTTTTCTTTGTACTATTCTGGTTTTGTATCAAAGTTTTATAGCTAGATAGGTTTTTCTGTTGAGTCTAATTTCCTTTTTTTTTTCAGACAGTGTCTCACTCTGCCACCCGGGCTGGAGTGCAGTGGTGCAGTCATGGCTCACTGCAGCTTCTACATCCTGGGATTAAGTGGTCCTCCTGCCTCAGCCTCCTGAGTAGCTGGGACTACAGGTGCATGCCACCATGCCCAACTAATTTTTATATTTTTAGTAGAGATGGAGTTTTGCCTTGTTTCCCAGGCTGGTCTCGAACTCCTGGGCTCAAGCAATCCTCTCACCTCAGCCTCCCAAAATGCTGGGATTACAGGCATGAGCCATCTCACCTGGCCTAATTCATTTCTTTATAGGCAGACTGCCTTCTCCTTAGTAGCCTTGATACGTTTGGTCCTCTAGCTTTATTATATTGTAACCAGGTAGGAATATACAGACACACACACACACACACACACACACATATTTTTTTTTTCTTCCTGCTTAGTATCCACAGTATTCAGTCTGAGGATTCATTTCTTTTTTTAATTCAGGAAAATGCTCATCAATTATACCTTTAAATATTATTTTAAGTTTTGTTTGAACACTAGTCTTTACTGTCTCTTCTTCTGTCAAGCATTATATCGGGACTAGTGTCTGCTATAAGTAACATTATCTGACTCACTGTGATTTGGACTATTAAGACATTTATTGTTTAGTTAGCAAGAAGTCTAGAGATCTGCCTTCTCAACATTGTCATCAAGGGACCTAAGTTTTTCCTGACTTCTTTTTTTTTTTTTTTTGTCAGCTCTCTTGACTTTTTGGCCATCTCTGTCTTTTGTTTTGTTTGTTTGTTTGTTTGTTTGTTTTGAAATAAGTTTCACTCTGTCACCAGGCTGGAGTGTGGTGACGCAATCACACCTCACTGCAGCTTCCATCTCCCAGGGCTCAAGCAGTCCTCCCACCTCAGCCTCCCGAGTGGCTGGGACCACAGGTAAGTGCCACAACGCCCAGCTAATTTTTGTATTTTTTGTAGAGATGGGTTTTTACCATGTTGCCAAGGCCGATCTTAAATTCCTGGGCTCAAGTGATCTTCCCACCTAGGTCTCCCAAAGTGCTGGGATTACAGGCATGAGCCACCACTCCCTCACCATCTCTGTCTTATTCTTTGCTCCTTTAAAAAGAATCTTACCCCACCCCTGATCTGGTTGCTTTCAATATTTTTTCTCTGTTTTAGTTTTCAGCAGTTTGCTTTGTTAGGCCTCAGTGTGGTCTTCTTTGTATTATCCTGGGTGGAATTCACAGGGATACTTGAATCTGACTTTGATGCCTCTTATTAATTCCAGAAAACTTTAAGCCATTATTTCTTTAAATATGGTTTCTATCTATTGTCACTTTACTCCTTTAACTCAACTTGCATATATACCCCATATGTCACTATACTCCCTGTATCTTACTCTCTTTTCTGTATTTATCCTTCTGTTTCTTATGCTTCATTCTGGGTATTTTCTTCCCATCTCTTTCCTAGTTCACTGATATTTTTCTTTCACTGTGTCTAATCTGGTATTAAACCAGTCATTGAGGCCGGGTGCAGTGGCTCATGCCTGTAATCCCAGCACTTTGGGAGGCCGAGGCGCGTGGATCACGAGGTCAGGAGATCGAGACCATCCTGGCTAACATGGTGAAGCCCCGTCTCTACTGAAAATACAAAAAATTAGCTGGGCGTGGTGGTGGGCGCCTGTAGTCCCAGCTACTCAGGAGGCTGAGGCCGGAGAATGGTATGAACCCAGGAGGCTGAGCTTGCAGTGAGCCGAGATCACGCCACTGCAGTCCAGCCTGGGCAACAGAGTGAGACTCCATCTAAGAACAAAAACAAAAACAAAAAAAACAGTCATTGAGTTCATAATTTCAGGTTTGGTTTGGTGTTGTTTTTAGTTGTAGAATCTTCATTTGGTCCTGCTTTATATTATAGTTCCTATTTTCTTTTGGAAAATCCCAATCTTGCCTTTTTTATTTGAATATATTCAACACAGTTGTTTAAAGTTTCTGCCTAATAAGTCTATAATAACTCTATTATCTAGATCCCCTTTGGAGCTCTTTGTATTATCTGAAGTTTCTTTTTTTGTTTGTTTGTTTTGTTTTTGAGACAGTCTCACTCTGTTGCCCAGGCTGGAGTGCAGTGGCGTGATCTCGGCTCATTGCAACCTCTGCCACCCAGGTTCAAGCAATTCTCCTGCCTGAGCCTCCCCCGTAGCTGGGATTACAGGCACCTGCCACTGCACCCAGCTAATTTTTTATAGTTTTTAATAGAGACGGGGTTTCACCATCTTGGCCAGGCTGGTCTTGAACTCCTGACCTCATGATCCACCCATAATTTTGTTATGTAAGCCCTATCATTATTATTATTATTATCATTATTATTATTATTATTAAGACAGAGTCTTGCTCTGTTGCCCAGGCTGGAGTGCAGTGGTACAATCTCGGCTCACTACAACCCCTGTCACCCAGGTTCGAGTGATTCTTGTGCTTCAGCCACCTGAGTAGCTGGGATTACAGGCATTCGCCACCACACCTGGCTAATTTTTGTATTTTTAGTAGAGACAGGGTTTCGCCATGCTGGACAGGCTGGTCTCAAACTCTTGGATTCAAGTGACCCACCTGCCTCAGCCTCCCAAAGTGCTGGGATTATAGGAGTGAGCCACCATGCCCAGCCAAGCCCGTTTATTTTTTAATGAGAGCTGCACATTGTATATAGACAGTTTAATGTGATTTGAGGCCTAAGGATATCTTTCTCTAAAGACTTTTCCTTTTGACCAGAATGTTAGGCCACTAACAATCTAGAATCACTTTAATCCAATAAAGGATTGAGCTGATTTAAAACTTGGTTTTCATTCCTGCCAGGTAGTCCATTTCCTGTTAACCTTTTCACCCTTTCTACTAGCATATTTCCCTTTTTAAGGTCCCAATCTGAAGTGTGAGGGTTCCCTATGGCTTTCCTCTTTAGGGTTCTGAACTCCAGTTTATGGCTCCTTAGCCCAGGGAGTCTTAAAATCTCTGCCCAGCTTCTCATCCTGTCAACCATCTCTTCTGGAATTGGCCCTGGTTTCTAGAGAAACGCCTGAAAAGATCTGGCTCTCTGGGTTTTTTTTTTCCTCCTTGATTTTGTCTCCAGAATTCTTCGGTGCCTCGTTCTCTAATGCTTTAAACAGAATTCCTTCCTATTTCCTTCCCTTCTAGTTCATTGGGAGGGTTAATCTAATTACCTCGACAACCATTACTTAAAATAGAATTCCCAAGTTCTGTATTTCCATTCTGCTCCTTAGTGTACAGCAGCTAATTTTCTTCTTGACCGGTAGTTGAAAAACGGTTCCAGTGGCTGTGGCCACCTTTTCTTTTTTCTTTTTTTTTTTTTTTTTTGAGACGGAGTCTCACTCTGTCGCCCAGGCCGGAGTGCAGTGGTGCTATCTCGGCTCACCTCAACCTCTGTCCGCTTCCCAGGTTCAAGCAATTCTCTGCCTCAGCCACCCGAGGAGCTGAGATTACAGGCGCCCACCACCACGCGTGGCTAATTTTTGTATTTTTAGTAGAGACAGTATTTCACCATCTTGGCCAGGCTGGTCTTGAACTCCTGACATTGTGATCCACCCACCTCAGCCTCCCAAAGTGCTGGGATTGCAGACATGAGCCACCACGCCTGGCCTGTGGCCACCTTTTCTAAGATTTCTAATGGAATTTTTAAAATATTTAAATGTTTTTATTTAATTTCAATTTTTATTTCACAGATATTATTTCATTTCTCTCTCTGATAATTTTTAACATATCTAAAATCATTCCTGAGCTGTTATATAAAATTAGTTTTTTTAAATTGGGTTTTATACTTGCTGATTTTTGTTGGCTTTGTTTCTTAGTGTTTTTATTTCTTCATGTGTGTGGCATTTTTGAGATGGTCATTTTGAGTAGTAATTTTGGAGTTCTGTTTTCTCTCCTTTCCCTCTTCCATGTTCCCCTCTCTCTATCTAATAGGTGTCCTGTTGCCTCTCCCTGTTCCCTCTACCTACCACTTAGGTAAGAATCAGGTGTAAAAACAGTGGGTCAGACTGGGCATGGTGGCTCACACCTGTAATCTTAGCTCTTTGGGAGGCCAAGGCAGGAGGATTGCTTGAGCCCAGGAGTTGGAAACCAGCCTCTCAAGATGTAGCGAGAACCCATTTCTACAAAAAATATCAAAAAGAAAAAAAAAAAAAAAGGCAGGCATGGTGGTGCACGCCTGTAGTCCCAGCTACTTGGGAAGCTGAGGTGGGAGGGATCGCTTGAGCCTAGGAGTTTGAGGTTGCAGTGAGCCGTGATTGCACCACTGAACTCCAGCTTGGGTGACAGAGTGAGACTCTGTCTCAAAAAAAAAAAAAACAAAACACACACACACACACAAAAACAGCGAGTTAGATTAAGGATATCACACATCAAGTCGGTCAGTTGTTTCATTTCCTGGGCTGGAGGCCTTATCACAGTCCTCTCCCTCTCTTAGTTCTGTAACTTTCTCAAAATATTAAACTGTCATCAGCAAATTTTATAATCTCTTTGTAGGAGTCAAGGTGGCACATCCTCATTCCCAGCCTCAAGCATTGAACTGGTTCCATTTTAATGGAGCACTTTTCGTTTTTGTTACTTCATTGAAGCCTGCATCTTGGCTGTCACTGCCTGATTACAGAACCAGAATTGAGTAGGCCCGTAGCTTCAGCCCTCCTTACCATTTTACATTTCTGTTTAGTTTCTCTTCCATAAGTCTGTCTTGTGTTAAATCTAGATAATGTCTGTTTGTTTGTCTCTCTGTTTTCTCTATTATTGCTTATACTTGGGAGCAGAACTGTTTCATTAAAGCCTGAATGCACTGCACTATCTGGCCGTTCACTGGCTCCTTTTAAGTTTTGTTCCATTTTTAAATATCAGATCCAATAAAAGAAAAAAAAATAGAGTTCTAGTAGCTTGTTTATAATATTACGATACAAGTCTAAATTAAAACTTTAGCCTGGATTAGAAAATTACCATTTTGCAGTTCCACATCTAATATTTGTTTCAGGCAAGGATGATGAATCGATGCTAAACTATCAAATGAACAGTTGCTGAGGAATAGAATATTTGTGGTACAAAACTGTCATCCCATAGATTATATACTAATTACAAAGGGAAAGATACATTTTAATGGAAAGATCTAATAGTCACCTCCTTAACCAACTAATCAAATTTAGCTTCACAAATGCGCCTCCTAAAGTAATACTGTGTGAAGTAAACAACATCACTTATGAATTATTCTTGCCAAAAAATATTGAACCTGATTGCAATCAAACCGTTAAATGCAATCTTAATTTAATAGGAGGCGAAATAAGAGTACAAGTTAAACAACACTTGGGGGAAACACAAATCTGGGGGTAGGACATTTCTTTCTTTTCTTTTTTTTTTTTTTTGAAACAGAGTCTCACTGTGTCACCCAGACTGGAGGGCAGTGGCATGATCTCAGCTCACTGCAACAGCCGCCTCTGGGGTTCAAGCGATTCTCCCTCAGCCTCCCGAGTAGCTGGGACTACAGGCACCCACCACCACGTCCGGCTAATTTTTGTATTTTTAGTAGAGACGGGGTTTCACCATGTTGGCCAGGCTGGTCTCGAACTCCTAACCTGAGGGGACCCGCCTGCCTCAGCCTCCCAAAGTGCTGGGATTACAGGCATGAGCCACCATGCCTGGGCTGGGGGTAGGACATTTCTAGAAAAAAACTGGGTTGACTCTTTAGAAGGTCAGGGATATTTGAAAAAATGGGATTGTTCTCATTTAGAAAAGAAAGGAAACAAACCAACCAAATGCAGTGTGTGAGCCTTAATTGAATTTTTGTTCAAAAAAATTTTTAAAGATATTTTTGACTCATGTAGCACAATAATTTAAAAAGCAGTGATAAAAAGGCTAAGCCAAGTACAATGGCTCATGCCTGTAATCCCAGCACTTTGAGAGGTAGAAGTGGAAGGATTGCTTGAACCCAGGTATTTGAGACCAGCCTGGGCAACAAAGTGGGACCCTCATCTCTACCAAAAAGTTAGCCGGGAGTGGTGGTCTCACCTACATAGGAAGCTGAGGCAGAAGGATTACTTGAGCTGTGTTTGCGCTTCTGCACTCCAACCTCAATGACAGAGGGAGACCCTGTCTCCAAAAAAAAAAAAAAAAGAGGGCGAACTTAAAAGTGGGCAAAGTATCTGAATACATATTTTTCCAAATAAGATTGTAAAACGACCAATAAGCACATGAAAATATGCTCAACATCATTAGCCGTCAAGAAAATGCAAATTAAAACCACAGTGAAATACCACCTCACGCCCACTAGGATAGCTATAATGAAAAATATAAGAGCAGATGTGGCCAAGGATGTGGAGAAATTGGAAATCCTCATACATTGGCGAGAATGTAAAATGGTACAGTTGCTTTGGAACACAATCTGGCAGTTCCTCAAAAGGCTAAATATAGAGTTTCCATATAACCCAGCAAACATGTCCGTACAAAAACTTGTACATAAATGGTCATTGCAGCATTATTTGTAATAGCCAAGAAGTAAAAACAGCCCCAATATACATAAGCTGATGTGTGAATAAATATAATTTGGCAATAAAAATTAATGAAATACAGTTGGCCTTCCACATCTGATCAACCAACTGTGGATCAAAAATATTCGGAAAATAGGCCAGACGTGTTGGCTAACACCTGTTATCCTGACATTTTGGGAGGCTGAGGTGGGAGGATCACTTGAGGCCAGGAGTTGGAGGCTGCGGTGAGCTATGATCATGCCACAACACTCTAGCCTGGACAATAGAGTGAGACCCTGTCTCTTAAAAAAAAAAAGTATTCAGAAAAAAAAAAACTGCATCTGTACTGAACATGTACAGACTTTATTCCTTGTCATTATTTCCTAAACACTACAGTATAAGTAATTACATACATTTACAGTGTATTAGATACTATAAGCTAGAGATGATTTTAAGTATACAGGAGGATGTGCATAGGTTATATGCAAATGCTATACTATTTTATATTAAGGACTTGAGCATTCATGGATTTTGGTATCTGAAGGAGATTTTGAAACCACTCCCCCACAGATACCAAGGGCTGCCTGTGCTGATACATGCTATAAAATGGATAAACCCTGGAAACATTATGCTAAGTGAAAGAAGCCAGTCACAAAATACTACGTATTGTATGAGTCCATTTACCATAGATCCTCATTATTTGTGGATTCTGTATTTTCAAATTGGTCTGCTCACTAAAATTTATTTGTAATCTGAAAATCAATATTCCTGGCACTATCACAGTCATTTGAGGACAAACGTACATCAGGTAAAAATCTGAGTTGTCCCTCAGCTGACAACTGAGGGACAACTGAGAGACAAAAAAGCAACACTCTGGTTTCTTATTTCAGCTCTCATGCTGTAAACAGTTGTCTTTATCAAAGTCTGTTTAGTGCCAGGTTTTTTCACATTTTTTTATGGTGATTTTGCTGTCTAAAATGGCCCCCAAGCATAGTGCTGAAGTGATCTCTAGTGTTCCTAAGCACAGGAATGCTGTAGTGTGCCTTACAGAGAAAATACAGGTGTTAGATAAGCTTCATTCAGGCATGGGCTATTGTGCTGTTGGCCATGAGTTGTTAATGAGTTAACAATATACCTGGAATAAAGTGACTTTAAACAGAAACATATAAAATAAGTATATGTATTGATTGGTTGATGAAAGAAGCAGTGATTTGGTATCTGCTGGTTCAGAGTTCACAGCAACTTTACAGGATATAACTATCTTAAATAACAAGAATTAACTATATATGAAATGTCCAGAATAGACAAACCGAGGGACAGAAGGTAGATTCATGGTTGCCAAAGATGGGTGGAGGGGTGGGCAGGAAATGGGGAATAGCTGCTAATGAATATGGGGTTTCTTTTTTGAGGTGATGAAAATCTTCTGAATTAGACATGGTGATAGTTACACACCTCTGTGAGTGTACTAAAACCTATTAAATTTTAAACTTTAAAGTGATGCCTGGGCACAGTGGCTCACACCTGTAATCCCAGCACTTTAGGAAACCAAGGCAGATGGATCGTTTGAGCCCAGGAGTTTGAGACCAGCCTGGGAAACATGGTGAAACCCCATCTCTACAAAAAATATAAAAAATTAGCCAGGTGTGGTGGCATGCACCTGTAGTCCCAACTGCTCAGGAGGCTGAGGTGGGAGGATCACTTGAGCCTGGGAGGTTGAGGCTACAGTGAGCTTTTGATTGTGCTACTACACTCCAGCTTGGGCAACAGAGTGAGACCCTGTCTCTAAATCAATTAATCAGTCTTCAGTAGAATTTGTCATAGCACCAGGTATATAGGAGATGTTTAATACTTACTTTGAATTGAATTTATTGTATGCTTAAATAACTGTTTTGAATCTTTTTTGGTTTTAGATCTGCTGATTTGGGTCCTACTTTAATGACAAGACCTGGACAACCAGCACTTACCAGAGTGCCCCCACCTATTCTTCCAAGGCCATCACAGCAGACAGGAAGTAGCAGTGTGAACACTTTTAGACCTGCTTACAGTTCATTTTCTTCTGGATATGGTGCCTATGGAAATTCATTTTATGGAGGCTATAGTCCTTATAGTTATGGATATAATGGGCTGGGCTACAACCGCCTCCGTGTAGATGATCTTCCACCCAGTAGATTTGTTCAGCAAGCTGAAGAAAGCAGCAGGGGTGCATTTCAGTCCATTGAAAGTATTGTGCATGCATTTGCCTCTGTCAGTATGATGATGGATGCTACCTTTTCAGCTGTCTATAACAGTTTCAGGGCTGTATTGGATGTAGCAAATCACTTTTCCCGATTGAAAATACACTTTACAAAAGTGTTTTCAGCTTTTGCATTGGTTAGGACTATACGGTATCTTTACAGACGGCTACAGCGGATGTTAGGTTTAAGAAGAGGCTCTGAGAATGAAGACCTCTGGGCAGAGAGTGAAGGAACTGTGGCATGCCTTGGTGCTGAGGACCGAGCAGCTACCTCAGCAAAATCTTGGCCAATATTCTTGTTCTTTGCTGTTATCCTTGGTGGTCCTTACCTCATTTGGAAACTATTGTCTACTCACAGTGATGAAGTAACAGGTAAGAGAACTGTAAGGGAACAGGTTCAGATACCATATAACAATCTCAAATTTCAAGAATAGATTTGTTAGTTTTCTTTATATTGATTTGTATTTACTGTTTCCAGTTATATTTTCAGTTAAGAGCTTCAAAACTGGCAGAGGAATATATAGCAAAAATAGGCTTGCTGATTAGTTTATTGTTCAGTTTAATAGTGCACATTACCTGTTTACAAGGTACTGAAATTGGTGCTGTGGAGGATACAAAGATACATAGGGCATAATTCCTATCTTTCTAAAATTTATTGGAAGGGAGGTGGTTTAAGACACATATACAGGTAATGAGGCAGAAAGTGTGATAAGAAATATAACAATTGGGGAGAGACATAAGGTTTCTTGAACCTTTTTTAATATGCAAGACACTGTGCTAGGTATTTTGTGTGTTTTATCTCATTTAATTATTTCAACAATCCAAAGAGATAGGAATTATCCTCATTTTGCAAGTGATAAAACTGAGATCCAGAGAACTCACTTACCTAGGGTCACATCTTTAATAAGGCAGAACTATAAACAAAACCAGGACTGGTTGAATGTTAAGCTGTATTCTCTCAACTAGTAGAGAGTATTAGCTCACTTTAGAAAAGAGAAGCTAACATTTTTTACTGTGGTATCCAGGAAGAAATGGCATCTAAGTTAGATTTTTGAAAGCTAGGCAACCTTTCAAAAGTTAGATAAAGAAACAAAAACTATCAAGCTGATAGACCAGCTTGAACAAAAGTATATAGGCAGAAAATATGAGATTTATTTGGTAGTTGTCCTATAGTATTGCATTGGATCGTAAGAAATAATGCTGAGAAATTAGGTTGAAAGCTAATAGTAGAAGCTCTTAATTGGCATTATGAGACTTAATCTTTACATAAGGAATGGATGGTTTTTTGGTAGTTTATGTTTGTTTTTGTTTTTAAGCAGACTGTGACATACATGTAAACGAAAAAGTCAGTCTGAAGGGTTTAAGATAAATCAGTAGAAGTCAGCACGTTGTAATTAGGTGGTAAAGTTCATAAAGGATTTGGGTTGTATTCACCTTTGTATTCCTACTGTCTAACCTGCTTGACACATAGAAGGTACTTAATAGATATTTATTAATTTGGGGGCATCAGTAATGATACTTTTGCATTAGACTGTTTGAGAGATAATGAAGACCCAAAATAGAGTGTGTGAGAAGCAGGATTCATATAATAGATTCAGAGGATGTAGTTACTGACTAAATGAGGTATATAAAGGCAAAGTAGAAATCAAAATGCCCTAGACCTTTAAATTTGGGTTATTAGAAGGATAATGTTTTATTAACTCAATAAATATTTGTTGGGTGCCAACTACATACCAAAGAATTCTCAGAGCTAGGGATATAGCAATGAATAAAATATATTCTAAAAATCTCTGCCTTTGTGGCAGTCTAATAGGGAGAAACAGTAAATAAATAAGTAAAATATATAGTAAGCCAGAAGGTACTGGTAAGTGCTATAGGGGAAAAAACAAAACTGGGAAGAATTTTGGGAGTGTCAGGAGGAGGAACAGGGGTTGCAGTGCTACATATAGTCAGGGAACGCCTCCCTGAAGGAGTTAAGGGAGTAAGTCCTACAGCTCTTTGAAGGAAGAGTGTTTTCAGTCATAGGGAACAGCAAAAATGTAGAGGTATGTAAGTGGCATATCATGGGAACGGGAAGGAGGCCAGTGTGATTGGAGCAAAGTGTTAGTGGCAGGAGATGAAGGGAGTAGATGGTATAAGTTGTAGACATGTGTAAGAACATTGGCCTTTATTCCAAAATGGGAAGCCACTGGAGATTTGTGAGCAAAGGAGTAATATGACCTGACTTAGGTGTTTTTTTTTGTTTTGTTTTTTGTTTTGTTTTTTTTCTTCGGGAGACAGAGTCTTGCTCTGTCACCCAGGCTGGAGTGCAGTGGCGCGATCTCAGCTTACTGCAACCTCCACCTCCTGGGTTAAAGCAATTCTCCTGCCTCAGCTTTCTGAGTAGCTGGGACTACAGGTGTAGGCCACCACACCCGGTTAATTTTTTGTATTTTAGTAGAGACGGGGTTTCACCGTGTTGCCCAGACTGGTCTCAAACTCCTGAGCTCAGGCAGTCTGCCCACCTCAGCCTCCCAAAGTGCTAGGATTACAGGCATGAGCCACCACACCCAGCCGACTTAGGTTTTAAAAAGAATACCTTTTTGCGGGCAGTCGCTTCCAAGATAGCCAAATAGGAACAGCTCCGGTCTGCAGCTCCCAGCAAGATCGACGCAGAAGGCGGGTGATATCTGCATCTCCAACTGAGGTACCTAGTTCATCTCACTGGGACTGGTTGGACAGTGGGTACAGCCCACAGAGGGCGAGCTGAAGCAGGGCAGGGCATCGCTTCACCCAGGAAGCACAAGGGGTCAGGGGATTTCCCTTTCCTAGCCAAGGGAAGCCATGAGTGACTGTACCTGGAGGAATGGTACACTCCTGCCCAAATACAGCGCTTTTCCTATGGTCCTCGCAACTGGCAGACCAGGAGATTCCCTCCTGTGCCTGGCTCGGCAGGTCCCATGCCCACGGAGCCTTGCTCACTACTAGTGCAGCAGTCTGAGATCAACCAGCAACGCTGCAGCTTGATGGGGCAGGGCCAGCATCTGCCATTGCTGAGGCTTGAGTAGCTCACAGTGTAAACAAAGTAGCCCAGAAGCTCGAACTGGGCGGAGCCCACCACAGCTCAGCAAGGACTATTGCCTCTCTAGATTCCACCTCTGTGGGCAGGGCATAGCTGAACAAAAGGCAGCAGACAGCTTCTGCAAACTTAAACGTCCCTGTCTGACAGCTCTGAAGAGAGCAGTGGTTCTCTGAGCACAGTGTGCGAGCTCCAAGAATGCAGACTGCTTCCTCAAGCAGGTCCCTGACCCCTGTGTAGCCTGACTGGGAGACACCTCACAGTAGGGGTCAACAGACACCTTCAACAGGCGGGTGCCCTTCTGGGACAAAGCTTGCAGAGGAAGGATCAGGCAGCAATATTTGCTGTTCTACAGCCTCTGCTGGTGATACCCAGGCAAACAGGGTCTGGAGTGGACCTCCAGCAAACTCCAACAGACCTGCAGCTGAGGGGCCTGACTGTTAGAAGGAAAACTAACAACAGAAAGGAATAGCATCAACATCAACAAAAAGGACATCCACACCAAAACCCCATTTGTAGGTTGCCAACATCAAAGACCAAAGGTAGATAAAACTACAAAGATGGGGAGAAACCAGAGCAGAAAACCTGAAAATTCCAAAAACCAGAGCGCCTCTTCTCCAAAGGATCGCAGCTGCTCGCCAGCAAGGGGACAAAGCTGGATGGAGAATGAGTTTGACAAGTTGACAGAAGTAGGCTTCCAAAGGTTGGTAATAACAAACGTCTCGGAACTAAAGGAGCATGTTCTAACCCATCGCAAGGAAGCTAAAAACCTTGAAAAAAGGTTAGATGAATGGCTAACTAGAATAAAGAGTGTACAGAAGACCTTAAATGACCTGATGGAGCTAAAAGCCACAGCACAAGAACTTCATGATGCACACACAAGCTTCAATAGCTGATTCAATGGCCAGGCATGGTGGCACACGCCTGTAATCCCAGCACTTTGTGAGGCCAAGGCGGGCGGATCACCTGAGGTCGAGAGTTCGAGACCAGCCTGACCAACATGGAGAAACCCCATCTCTACTAAAAATACAAAATTAGCCGGGCGTGTTGGCACATGCCTGTAATCCCAGCTACTAGGGAGGCTGAGGCAGGAGAATTGCTTGAACCCAGGAGGCGGAGGTTGCAGGGAGCCAAGATCACACCATTGCACTCCAGCCTGGGCAACAAGAGCGAAACTCCATCTTAAAAAAAAAAAAAAAAGCCGATTCAATCAAGTGGAAGAAAGGATATCAGTGATTGAAGATCAAATTAATGAAATAAAACAAGAATACAAGATTAGAGAAAAAAGAGTGAAAAGAAATGAACAAAGCCTCCAAGAAATACGGGACTATGTGAAAAGACCAAATCTACGTTTGATTGATGTACCGGAAAGTGATAGGGAGAATGAAACCAAGTTAGAAAACACTCCTCAGGATATTATCCAGGAGAACTTCCCTAACTAGCAAGGCAGGCCAACATTCAAATTCAGGAAATACAGAGAACACCAGGAAGATACTCCTCGAGAAGAGCAACCCTAAGACACATAATTGTCAGATTCACCAAGGTTGAAATGAAGGAAAAAATGTTAAGAGCAGCCAGAGAGAAAGGCCGGATTACCCACAAAGGGAAGCCCATCAGACTAACAGCAGCTCTCAGCAGAAACCCTACAAGCCAGAAGACAGTGGGAGCCAATATTCAACATTCTTAAAAGAATTTTCAACCCAGAATCTCATATCCAGCCAAACTAAGCTTCATAAGCGAAGGAGAAATAAATTCCTTTACAGACAAGCAAATGCTGAGAGATTTTTTCACCACCAGGCCTGCCTTACAAAAGCTTCTGAAGGAAGCACTAAACATGGAAAGGAACAACTGGTACCAGCCACTGCAAAAACATGCCAAATTGTAAAGACCATCAACGCTATGAAGAAACTGCATCAATTAACGGGCAAAATAACCAGTTAACATCATAATGAATGACAGGATCAGATTCACACATAACAATGTTAACCTTAAATGTAAATGGGCTAAATGCCCCAATTAAAAGACACAGACTGGCAAATTGGATAAAGAGTCAAGACCCATGGGTGTGCTGTATTCAGGAGACCCATCTCTTGTTCAAAGACACACATAGGCTCAAAATAAAGGGATGGAGGAAGATCTACCAAGCAAATGGAAAGCAAAAAAAAAAGCAGGAGTTGCAATCCTAGTCTCTGATAAAACAGACTTTAAACAAAGATCAAAAGAGACAAGGCCATTACATAATGGTAAAGGGATCAATTCAACAAGAAGAGCTAACTATCCTAAATATATATGCATCCAATACAGGAGCACCCAGATTCATAAAGTAAGACCTTAGAGACTTACAAAGAGACTTAGACTCGCACACAATCATAATGGGAGACTTTAACAGCCCACTGTCAATATTAGATCAATGAGACAAAAGGTTAACAAGGATATCCAGGACTTGAACTCACCTCTGGACCCAGCGGACCTAATAGACGTCTACAGAACTCTACACCCCAAATCAACAGAGTATACATTCTTCTCAGCACCACATCACACATATTCTAAAATTGACCACACAATTGGAAGTAAAACACTCCTCAGCAAATGTAAAAGAACAGAAATCACAACAAACTGTCTCTCAGACCACAGTGCAATCAAACTAGAACTCAGGATTAATAAACACTCAAAACCACACAACTACATAGAGACTGAACAACCTGTTACTGAATGACTACTGGGTAAATAACGAAATGAAGGCAGAAATATGTTCTTTCAAACCAAGGAAAACAAAGACAGAACATACCAGAATCTCTGGGACACATTTAAAGCAGTGTGTAAAGGAAAATTTATAGCACTAAATGCCCACAAGAAGCAGGAAAGATCTAAAATCAACACCCTAACATCACAATTAAAAGAACTAGAGAAGCAAGAGCAAACAAATTCAAAAGCTAGCAGAAGGCAAGACATAACTAAGATCAGAGCAAAACTGAAGGAGATAGAGACATAAAAAACCCTTCAAAAAATCAGTGAATCCAGGAGCTGGTTTTTTGAAAAGATCAACAAAATAGACTGCTAGCAAGACTAATAAAGAAAAGAGAGAAGAATCAAATAGATGTAATAAAAAATGATAAAAGGGGTATCACCACCCATCCCACAGAAATACAAACTACCATCAGAGAATACTATAAACACCTCTACATAAGTAAACTAGAAAATCTAGAAGAAATGGGTAAATTCCTGGACACATACACCCTCCCAAGACTAAACCAAGAAGAAGTTGAATCTCTGAATAGACCAATAACAGGTTCTGAAATTGAAGCAGTAATTAATAACCTACCAACCAAAAAAAGTCCAGGACCAGACAGATTCACAGCCAAATTCTGCCAGAGGTAGAAAGAGGAGCTGGTATCATTCCTTCTGAAACTATTCCAATTAATAGAAAAAGAGGGAATCCTCCCTAACTCATTTTATGAGGCCAGCATCATCCTGATACCAGAGCCTGGCAGAGAAACACACACACAAAAGAATTGTAGGCCAGTATCCCTGATGAACATCAATGTAAAAATCCTCAATAAAATATTGGCCAACCGAATCCAGCAACACATCAAAAAGCTTATCCACCATGATCAAGTTGGCTTCATCCTTGAGATGCAAGGCTGGTTCAACATTCGCAAATCAATAAATGTAATCCATCACATAAACAGAACCAAAGACAAAAACCAAATGATTATCTCAATAGATGTAGAAAAGGCCTTCAACAAAATTCATCAGTCCTTCATGCTAAAAGCTCTCAATAAACTAGGTATTGATGGAATGTATCTCAAAATAATAAAAGGTATTTATGACAAATCCACACCTAATATCATACTGAATGGGCAAAAACTGGAAGCATTCCCTTTGAAAACCAGCACAAGACAAGGATGCCCTCTGTCACCACTCCTATTCAACATGGTGTTAGAAGTTCTGGCTAGGGCAGTCAGGCAAGAGAAAGAAATAAAGGGTATTCAATTAGGAAAAGAGGAACTCAAATTGTCTCCGTTTGCAGATGACATGGTTGTATATTTAGAAAACCCCATTGTGTCAGCCCAAAATCTCCTTAAGCTGATAAGCAACCTCAGCAAAGTATCAGGATACAAAATCAGTGTGCAAAAATCACAAGCATTCCTATACACCAGTAATAGCCAAATCATGAGTGAACTCCCATTCACAATTACTACAAAGAGAATAAAATACCTAGGAATCCAACTTACAAGGGATGTGAAGGACCTCTTCAAGGAGAACTACAAACCACTGCTCAATGAAATAAAAAATGACACAAACAAATGGAAGAACATTCCATGCCCATGGATAGGAAGAATCAATATCATGAAAATGGCAGTACTGCCCAAGGTAATTTATAGATGCAATGCTATCCCCATCAAGCTACCACTGACTTTCTTCACAGAATTGGAAAAAACTACTTTAAAGTTCATATGGAACCAAAAAAGAGCCAACATAACCAAGACAATCCTAAGCAAAAAGAACAAAGCTGGAGGCATCACACTACCTGACTTCAAACTATACTACAAGGCTACAGTAACCAAAACAGCATGGTGCTTGTACCAACACAAATATATAGACCAATGGAACAGAACAGAGGCCTCAGAAATAATACCACATCTACAACCATCTGATCTTTGACAAACCTGACAAAAACAAGAAATAGGGAAAGGATTCCCTATTTAATAAATGGTGCTGGAAAAACTGGCTAGCCATATGTAGAAAGCTGAAACTGGATTCCTTCCTTACACCGTATACAAAAATTAACTCAAGATGGATTAAAAACTTAAATGTAAGACTTAACACCATAAAAACCCAAGAAGAAAGCCTAAGCAACACCTTCAGGACATAGGCATGGGCAAAGACTTCATGACTAAAACACCAAAAACAATGACAACAAAAGCCGGAATAGACAGATGGGATCTAATTAAACTAAAGAGCTTCTGCACAGCAAAAGAACCTATCATCAGAGTGAACAGGCAACCTACAGAATGGGAGAAAATGTTTGCAATCTACCCATCTGACAAAGGGCTAATGTCTAGAATCTACAAAGAACTTAAACAAATTTACAAGAAAAAAAACAACCCCATCAAAAAGTAGGCAAAAGATATGAACAGATACTTCTCAAAAGAAGACATTTATGCAGCCAACAAACATATGAAAAAATGCTCATCATCACTGGTCATCAGAGAAATGCAAATCAAAACCACAATGAGATACCATCTCATGCCAGTTAGAATGATCATTAAAAAGTCAGGAAACAACAGATGCTGGAGAGGATGTGGAGAAATAGGAATGCTTTTACACTGTTGGTGGGAGTGTAAATTAGTTCAACCATTGTGGAAGACAGTGTGGCGATTCCTCAAGGATCTAGAACTAGAAATACCGTTTGACCCAGTGATCCCTTACTGGGTATATATCCAAAGGATTATAAATCGTGCTACTATAAAGACACATGCACACGTATGTTTATTGTGGCACTGTTCACAATAGCAAAGACTTGGAACCAACCCACATGTCCATCAATGATAGACTGGATTAAGAAAATGTGGCACATATACACCATGAAATACTATGCAGCCATAAAAAAAGATGAGTTCATGTCCTTTGCAGGGACGTGGATGAAGCTGGAAACCATCATTCCCAGCAAACTATCATAAGGACAGAAAACCAAACACCGCATGTTCTCACTCATAGGTGGGAGTTGAACAATGAGAACACATGGATACAGGGCAGGGAGCATCACACACTGGGGCCTGTCAGGGGGTGGAGGGGCTTGGAGATGGGTAGCATTAGGAGAAATACCTAATGTAAACGACGAGTTGATGGGTGCAGCAAACCAACATGACACATATATACCTCTGTAACAAACCGGCACACTGTGCACACGTACCCTAGAACTTAAAGTATTAAATGTAAATATATATATAGGTATATACATATATATATATACCTATATATTAAAGTATAGTATATATAAGTATATATGTATATATATAATATATGTGTATATATATAAAAAAGTATATATATGTGTATATATATAAAAAAGGTATATATATATACACCTTTTTACTAAGAATGGTTTTTAGGTAGAGCTAGGGCAGAAGAGACCAATCAGGAGAGTCAAGCAGCCATTACCTTAATTCAAGTGAGAAGTGATGGTGGCTTGGCTCAGCATGGCAGTGACATGGGTCCTAAGATAGAGTCAGATTGGGATTACTCACCCCTGTAATCCCAACACTGGGAGGATGAGGCCTGCAGATCGCTTAAGCCTGGCAAATCGCTTGAGCCCAGAAGTTTAAGGCCAGCCTGTGCGGCATAGGGAAAACCTGTCTCTACAACAGTTACAAAAAGTATCCGGGTGTGGTGGTGCATGCCTATAGTCCCAGTTACTTGGGAGGCTGAGATGGGAGGGTGGTTTGAGCCTTGGAGGTTGAGCCTGAAGTGAGCTGAGATTGTACCACTGTACTCCAGTTTGGGTGACACAGCAAGACCCCGTCTCAAAATAAATAAATGGAAGAACTAATATAAGTGAATGATACTACTATCATACATAGAAAGATAGAAAAGAAGACAGACTAAGATGGAAATCAGGAAGAACAGAAGTAGAACCATATTATTGCTACATTATGGAGGAAGAGTGGAAGGATGATGAATGATGTAAGGTTCTACAATAAGATCAAGAACTGAGAAAAGATTATTAGATCTGGCAACTGGAAGTCATCAAGCTCCAGCAAGTAGTTTTGGTAAAGTGGAGAAGACAGAAACTGTAGCAGAGGATAAAGGGTAAATAAAGTCAGAAGATGTGGAAAAAGAAAAGATTAGCAGTGAATGGAAGGAGGGAGGAAAAGAATGGCCAAATTGAGTGATCAAGTTGTTGTGGGAGATTGTCAGTTTTTTGTTTTGCTTTGTCTTTTCAGAAGTGAGGAGATCTGAGAATGTTTTTAGGCTAAAAGAAAGGAGTCAGTAGAGAAGGAGCAGTTATAAATAAGGGAAAGATAGGAGTTAAATGATGAAGAAGCTACTATAGGAAGTAAGAGAGGGTGTGATCTTACGGAACCTGGCAGGTAAAAAGGAAGGACGGTTTTTTATCTGAGTCAAAAGGAGAGGAAATCGGTAATGATACAAAGAGATTTTTGAGGAGAAGCAAAATTGAGGTCCTATTACTTTAGCTCTTAGAGCAGGGGTTGGCAAACCGTGGCTTGTGGGCCAAATCTGGCCTGCTCCTATTTTTGTACAGCTCACAAGCTAAAAATGGTTTTTATACTTTTCAGTTGCTGGGAAATTAAAAGAATGTTTTAAAAATTGAAATAATCTGTGATGTGAAAATTATATAGAATTCAAATTTCATTAATAAAGTTGTATTGGAGCACAGCCACACTTATTTCCATACATATTGTTATGGCTGCTTTTCCACTGTAACAGTGGAATTGAATAGTTTGCACAGAGACTATATGTGAAATTCCGATGGCTTCACTTTTGCTCTGCCCACTACAAATTTCAGTAACTTAGTTATAACTTGATAGCATGATGAGTAATATATACATTGTTATACTACAGTGGGTTTTTTTTGAAATTATGAATTCATATATGACACACAAGAAAAAAGTGTACTTTGAGTGTCATATTTTCAAGGCACAGTATAGTATGAATTATTTCGTTATTGAATTAGATAGTAAAAAAAACTGTATTTATTATACAATGACACTATAGCTATGTTAAATGGCTATACTACATATCAGCATTACCAGATTGAGCACTCATCACAGAAAATCAACAGTCAAAAAAATTAGAAAATTTAAAATGGAATTCTCATCACAGCAGAATTTCCGCATCAAAATAAAAATAAAATAAAATGAGGCTGCAACCAAAATAAGTTCCTGAGAGGTTCATATGTTACCCAAGCAAGGAAACCTGTTTACTCATGGTCATTGCAACAGCCAAAAAAAATATGTCCAGAGAAAGTAAACTTGTTTAAGATTATTAGCTTCTCAGTGAGAACAGTTCCTTGAAGAGTTGATGGCATTTTGAACAACATGGCCAACTTAAAATAAGACAAATGATTTGAATGTTTTTCCTTGGCTCATCATGACCCAATGGATATTAATACTTGCTAAATCTGTTGGCTAAATGTTGTCATCATGGGAGTGAGTTCATTATCTCGAGAGTGAGTTTGTTATACAAGCTAGTTTGGCCCTCTTACTCTCTCGCATGCACTCTTTTGCCATGTGATGCCTCCTGCCATGTTATGACACAACAAGAAGGCCCTTACTAAATGCCCCTTGATCTCGGATTTCCTAGCCCCCAGAACTGTGAGCAAATAAACTTCCATTGTTTACAAATTACCCAGTCTGTAGTATTCTGTTAAAGTAGCATAAAACAAAGACAGGCTGGGTTCGGTGGCTCATGCCTGTAATCCTGGCACTTTGGTAGGCCGAGGCGGGCGGATCATGAGGTCAGGAGATGGAGACCATCCTGGCTAACGTGGTGAAACCCTGTCTCTACTAAAAAAAAAAAAAAAAAAAACAAATTTTCAAAAAAAAGACAGTACTGCTTAGTTGTTTATTTGAGAAATCAATGGTGAATTGGAAATGACTGAAGAATTAGCCTCTATGAATAGTCATGGTTCAACTACAGACAAGAACATTTTCAAAGAAGGTGAAAACACTGATTCCGTACAACCTGAATCTGCTAAGATGTGTTGCACCTGATAATGGTGAAAATTCTAGGTGGAGCAGGAAAAGGCCTAGTTGGACAAAAGTTACAAAGGTTTTGAAAATACAGTTTTTTTGTTTATGGTTATTCATTGTATTATCAGCAGCCACATTGCAGAAAATATTTGAATTTATCATGTGTTATTGAACTAGTAGTGTCAAGGTAAAGTTTATTCACTCTTGTGACATAATCATTGTCAGTTTTGTGAATTTTTGTCAGATACAGAAGCTGAAGATCCCGACTTGCCCTACCGCATGGCAATTCAATGGCAGAACAAGGTTTAAGTTTTATTTTATTTTTTTTGAGATTGAGGCCAAGAATGAAATTTTTCTGAACAGAACTCCTTTTCAGCTATTGTTATTAAACCCATTCAGCTTTGGAAATCACCTTTTACTGCAGACTTAGTTAAATTCTGAGTTCTTTTTGGAGACAGGGTCTTGCTTTGTCAGCCAGGCTGGAGTGCAGTAGCGTGATCATAGCTCACTGCAACCTCACACTCTTGGGCTCACATGATTCTCCCACCTCAGCTTCCCAAGTAGCTAGTACTAGAAGTACACACCACCACACCTGGCCAATTTATTTATTTATTGTGGAGACGAGATTCCACTGTGTTGCTCAGGCTGGTCTTGAACTCCTGGCCTCAAGCAATCCTGCCTTAGCGTCCCAAAGTGCTGAGTGAGATTACAGGCATGAACCACCATGTCCAGCCCAGACTTAGTTATATTCTTTGTTGTTGTTTTCTTTTTGAGACAGGGCCTCACTCAGTTGCCCAGGCTGGAGTGCGTAGTGCAGTCTCGGCTCACTGCAACCTCTGCCTCCCAGGTTCAAGCGATTCAAGCTGAGACTATAGGCGCGTGCCACCACATCTGCCTAATTTTGTTTATTTTTTTGTAGAAACAAGGTTTCCCTATGTTGCCCAGGTTGGTCTTGAACTGCTGGACTCATGCAATTTCCCCTGTCTCAGCCTCTCAAAGTACTGGGATTATAGGCATGCGCCACCATGCCCGGCTAATTTTGTATTTTTAGTAGTAATGGAGTTTCTCCATGTTGGTCAGGCTGGTCTCAAACTCCCGACCTCAGGAGATCCACCCGCCTCGGCCTCCCAAAGTGCTGAGATTACAGGTGTGAACCACCACGCCTGACCTATATTCTTAAGTAATTCAAACGGAAACCACAAAGCAGAACAGTGCTTATATGCAAAACTTATGCTGGAGTAAAGTTTTGACAACACCTAATACAGTTTGACTCACAAGTAATGTCACACTGCTTTATAGACCTCTCAGACTGTCAGAAGTTAACACAAGCAGTATCTCCATTCCCACGCAAGTTGGCAGCAGATACATTTTCCAAGCTTAAGCTATTAATACAATGCCAGAGCATTTTTTGGACCTCCATGCAAGCACAAAGGAAATTTCCATATTTCAAAATCCATTTAACTATGCAATTGAGGAACTTCCACTTAATCTTCATTTGGAAGTGATTAATCTGCAATGTAATAACATGGTAAAAGGCAAATATCAAGAGAAGAATTTAACAGAATTATATTCTGGCCTATTACTCTCCCAACTAATAAATATGCTCAATTAAAACCACATACTCATAGACTCATATTAGGATTTGACATTACCTATCTGTGTGAAAAGGCATTTTCAAAAATGCAGTACCTCAAATTTTATTACAAATTAGAATTAGCAAGTGAATATTTATAATTGATTTCCAATTAAGTGAAATATCCTTCCCCCAAAATATTTCATTCTTCTAAGTAACTTCCAAATAGACCTGTATTACCAAAAAGAAACATGGTTATTATATTTTTAATCTTGTCAATAAATTTATGGAAATTTTGTTTCCTCTTTTTATAAAAGTAATTGCCCAATATCCTGTTTTGCCTCTTGGCTTTCAAAGTCTAAAATATTAACTATCTGACCCTTTTCAGAAAAAATTTGCCAACCCCTGGCTCACGGTAAGAGAGCGGGAAGTTGGAGCTTAAAGAAAGGAAAAAGTTCATAATAGGTATCTTTAGTGGATCTATTGTTGATTTAACATAGTATTCATTATAGTTTTTACTTGGGAGGGGAGGACTTTTCTCTTGGCAAATTTATGCAGTTTGCAAGCCATAGCCAGTGAAATATCTGCATTTTTCTTTTGTAAATTTTATTAACCTAATTTTAATTTGGCTTATAGACAGCATCAACTGGGCAAGTGGTGAGGATGACCATGTAGTTGCCAGAGCAGAATATGATTTTGCTGCCGTATCTGAAGAAGAAATTTCTTTCCGGGCTGGTGATATGCTGAACTTAGCTCTCAAAGGTAATAAATTATGAATAAGTTGGAATTATCTGTAAATTTTGATATTCATAAATGCAGTATTAAAAACTACAACAAAGGATCTTGTTCATTGTTAGTTAACTTAGAGATAGTTACTAGAACTTCTTTTTCATGTCAATTTAGAGCTTCCAAATCTGGAGGAGTCAGGAAGAAATGCCCCAGCAGAGTTATTCGAATACTATTTCACTGAGATAAGGAAAGGCTTTGTTTATATAGGCTTTTCTAAACTCAAAATACTTGAATTTCAAACTGTTAATCCCCACACAAAAACGTGATGTCAGTAACTAAACATAACAAATCTAATAAAGCAAAGGAATTATGTAACATCATCTAAGCATTGCTGTTAGTCCTTGTGGACTGGTGTTGCTTCTTTATTACTTCAGCAGTGTTTACCTCAGAAATTTCATCATAAGTATTTTAGGAAATAGTGTCATGAAGTATTATAGAACCCCAGCAAGAGATTTATACGCATCTCGGGTTTATTTTTGGACCAAGTCACTGATACTTTTTAATGACTCTAGGCAAAATGACCTTTTCCTTCACCCTTCCTGAGTAATGATTATCAGGATTTTTATGGATTTTTTTAAATATGTGTATTTATGGGGATTCAAGTTTATTGCAAAAAGTGATGTTTTGTTGATAAAGGTACTAATAACAATAACATGTTATTTATTGAGTACTTACTATGTACAAGGTACTGTATTTTACATATTTCATTTAAGCCTTACAATAATACGGTGAAGTGGTACTATTATTATCCTGTCATTGTTTTACCCTTGAAGAAACTGAGACTCAGAATAAGTAAATTGTCCAGTATCACAAAGCAAAGGTGCAATAGAACTGGACTATGAATCTAGGTTTGTCTAACTTGAGACCTTGTGCTTTTAACAACTCTGGCTGTTTTTTCATGGAAGGATCTATTTATGGAAACTTCACCCTTTTTTTGGTTTTAGTCATTTTTTGCAGGGAAGAAATACTTTCAATGTTCAAATCATTACTATGTAAATAATTGAAAATTTTGGATGAGATTACTAAATCTTTGCCTCATCCCTTTTACAAAAAACCTAGACTTAAGCGAGGTGCAGTGTGTGCACCTATAGTCCCACCTACTCAAGGGGCTGAGGCAGAAGGATCACTTGAGGCCAGGAGTTTGAGGCTGTAGTACATTGTAATCACACCTGTGGAACAGCACCACTGCACTCCAGCCTGGGCAACGTAGTGTAACCTTGTCTCAAGAAAAAAAAAACAAACCTCTAGACTTTTAGGTATTCTATTTGTATTTTTCTTTCTTTTTTTTTTGTTTTGAGACAGAGTCTAGCTCTGTTGCTCAGGCTCGAGTGCAGTGGCACGATCTTGGCTCACTGCAACCTCCGCCTCCCGGGTTCAAGTGATTCTCCTGCCTCAGCCTCCTGAGTTGC
This sequence comes from Homo sapiens, assembly GCF_000001405.40. Classification (NCBI taxonomy): domain Eukaryota; kingdom Metazoa; phylum Chordata; class Mammalia; order Primates; family Hominidae; genus Homo; species Homo sapiens. Next base: position 61,047,288 of record NC_000002.12, read on the forward strand.
TGGGACTACAGGCACATGCCACCACGACCAGCTAGTTTTTGTATTTTTAGTAGAGACAGGCGTTCACCATGTTGGTCAGGCTGGTCTCGAACTCCTGACCTTGTGATCCGCCCGACTTGGCCTCCCAAGGTGCTGGAATTACAGATGTGTACCACCACGCTGGGCCTATTCATATTTTTCTTATAGGGAAAATAGCAATTTACTATTTTGGATTTCAAACGAATGATTTTTTAAAGATTTGTTGTTAGAGACAGGAACAACACAGATAATTTTAATTAGAGGTCATGTGGTTTCTTTCAGTTACATAACACTTCAGAAAAATTTTATATTTCATTATTCTTCAATGAATAGTGCCTCTTAACACTAGCTTGCTTCTTGGCTTTCCTCCATTGCTCAAGAAAAGTATGTTTGGGCCTTTGGAACAAAATCGGTCGTAGACATGGTAAATTTGTTTTTTCCTGTTATTATAGAGCATTAAACATTAAAAAGTCTTATATTGTGCCTAAATTATAATGTTGAACTAAAATTGTAACAGTTAAGCAGCTTTTTAAAGATATAGATAAAATAGGAAAATACAATAGAAAATTGAGTACATTAAATAATCTTTCTTTAAGCTTAGAGTATTGCCTTTATTTATCATATGGCTAGAAATAACAAAGGTCTTCAATTTTTTGCCCATCTTGGATTGAAATTAATATTTACTGTCTTCAGGATTGTTTATTACAATCACATGAAACGAATTTTATATTTTTGCCAAAAGTAGGCTAAGAAAGCTGAGTGCATTAAAGGTATATCTTTTCTATACTTATTCCTAACTTACCCAGTTGAGAAGGAATAAGATATTCATTTTTTAGACTCCAGTTTAAAATATGAAAGACATTGATGTTAGTTTTCAGTTTTGAGAGAACTAAATCTCCCTACTCTATGAATGGACCAACTGATAATAAACTTTATGTTCTTCAAGGTGGAAGGAAATATTTAGTAAGTATAAAATAAAAATAGAAGAATGGACCCTAGAACTGTTAAGCCTACTCAGCATTTGATTTTGAATATATATGCATGTACTATTTGTTATCTACTATGTAAGCATAACAGATTTTCCTGAATGTGATATTTTACCATTACTATTCTGTTGGACCTCCAAAGTATATTGTAATTACAAGACTGTCTTTTTTTTCCATCAGAACAACAACCCAAAGTGCGTGGTTGGCTTCTGGCTAGCCTTGATGGCCAAACAACAGGACTTATACCTGCGAATTATGTCAAAATTCTTGGCAAAAGAAAAGGTAGGAAAACGGTGGAATCAAGTAAAGTTTCCAAGCAGCAACAATCTTTTACCAACCCAACACTAACTAAAGGAGCCACGGTTGCTGATTCTTTGGATGAACAGGAAGCTGCCTTTGAATCTGTTTTTGTTGAAACTAATAAGGTTCCAGTTGCACCTGATTCCATTGGGAAAGATGGAGAAAAGCAAGATCTTTGATATCTTTCATGTTTGCCTGCAGTTGAACAATACTTTAGAGTACTTTTTAAAATTATTTCTCACAAAGAAATGAATGTACAATCCAATGAAAACATTTGTTATTGGCTATTTCAGGTGTTTTGCTGCTAGAAATTATTAAAGTTACACACTAGTATGTTGGTCTGGTGACCTGGTTACATTTTATTATACACATTATTGGACCATAAGGACATTTGTTTCACCTAGATTTTAAGATTATGGAGACTGCTGTCATTTTTATCTTATTTAAATCTCTAGGTTTATTGGAAGAGTAAGATTGATGAACTATAGCATGCACAGTTTGGTACAGTAGAGATCATTAATACTTTTAAAAGTTCTGCATTAATTGACTTGGAATCCTTAGAAATGGAGTGGTGACATGTCAGTATGAGAACAGGCAAAAGGTAAATTTTTTTTTTTTTTTACAACCTTAAGTAATCTCAATAATAAAATTTTCTGATCTGTATTATATCCAGTGTTGGGTTTATATTTTCACCCACAAACAACTGACACTGCTATCTTTTACTGTATTTTTAAAAATTTAATTTGAAAAGGTCACCCAGAAGCATTCTGAAGGAAATGGTTCTAGAATTATAGAGTATGTAGCCCTAATAGTTTTCCCTCCTAGCAAAAAGTCTGAAATTTATCTTTCTTACAAACTGTTCCATTTCTTCTAAGGATCCCTTAATTATTTATCTCTTTAAGCCAGGCATGGTGGCTCACGCCTGTAATCCCAGCACTTTGGGAGGCTGAGGCGGGCAGATCACCTGAGGTTGGGAGTTCAAGACCACCCTGACCAACATGGAGAAACCCCATCTTTACGAAAAATACAAAATTAGCTAGGTGTGGTGGCACATGCCTGTAATCCCAGCTACTCGGGAGGCTGAGGCAGGAGAATTGCTTGAACCCCAGGAGGCGGAGGTTACGCTGAGCCGGAGATCTCGCCATTGCACTTCAGCCTGGGCAACAAAAGCGAAACTCCATCTCAAAAAATAAAATTATTTATTTCTTTAAAATATGACTAGTTTTCATACTGGGTGAATCAGAAGTATATGAAAGGTATACTTTCTTTTCCTACAACAAATACTTGAGTTCTTTTGAGTTTGCACTTAATGATATAATCAGTTATAATAGTAATTTTTAATATTTTCATAGATTGTTTGCTTCTACCTTGTGTAATTTTTTAAATTCCATATTTAGGATGCTCTGTAAATATTGAAAATGTGTCACATTGGATACATTTTTCTTTTAGGTTTAGTTTTTACTACTGAGACTTATTTATAGTCTTAGTGCTCTATTGCCATTTAGAATATGATAATCCTCATGCCTTTAATCTCAGCACTTTGGGAGGCCAAGGCGGGCGGATCACCTGCGGTCAGGAGTTTGAGACCAGCCTGGCCAACACGGTGAAACCCTGTCTCTACTAAAAATACGAAAATTAGCTGGGTGCAGTGGCGTGCACCTGTAGTCCCAGCTACTCAGGAGGCTGAGGCAGGAGAATCACTTGAACCCGGGAGGCAGAGGTTGCAGGGAGCTGAGATCATGCCACTGCACTCCAGCCTAGGGGACAGAGCAAGACTCTGTCTCAAAACAAACAAACAAAAAATAATAATACGATAATGCTATTTGACGTGTTTTTTGGTTTATAATGATTTTAAATGCAGTTAACTTTCAGTACACTGAATATTTCCCCAGAAAATTGGAAACTTCATATACTTGGCTACGAACATACTACAGAGTAATACTATCAGGAATACAGGTGTATAAGAATACATTTATAGATATTGTTGAAAACTTTGAACTGTTTGATAAAAATTGTGATTTAGTATTTTTTCTTTTGTCTTTTTTTGAAACGGAGTCTCACTCTGTCGCCCAGGCTGGAGTCCAGTGGCGCGATCTCGGCTCACTGCAAGCTCCGCCTCCCGGGTTCACGCCATTCTCCTGCCTCAGCCTCCCGAGTAGCTGGGACTACAGGCGCCTGCCACCAGGCCCGGCTAATTTTTTTTGTATTTTTAGTAGAGACGGGGTTTCACCGTGTTACCCAGGATGGTCTCCATCTCCTGACCTCGTGATGAGCCCGCTTCGGTCTCCCAAAGTGTTGGGATTACAGGCGTGAGCCACCGCACCCAGCGATTTAGTATTTTTTTCTAATAGACTATGTTCAACAAATAAGTAATTCTCGAATAGTTCAGATTAAAACATACAGGAACCAAGTACATACCCAGCATAGAAGAACTTTACTAAAGGCTTCTTGGAAAGCCCTTTTTTGAAACGACAGTATCGTAAGTAACATATCATTTATAATAGAAATCTTGACCCAGTGCAGAAAAATAAATATAGTAAAATTTATTTATCTTTGGCCAGTTTTCCAACACCCAGGTATTAGCCTTGAAGTTGAAGAGATAAGGTTTCTTGTATATTATTTTTCATTTGTGTTCTACAATTAAAGGTTCTGCTTTGATTTGTCAGATAATTTATAGAAATTTTGTTCTCAAAACAAATGTTTGATAAAACAGATTATTAAATTTGGGGTTGAGATGTCTAAATTGAATGCTAGAAGTAAAGTAGAAGTGACCACTATTAAAGATGTATAGGGAGAAGAGTACAGCACAAAGTGATAAAATAGTGACACTTTTGTAGGGGTGTTTATTGTTTGGTTAAGTCTGCTAAATTACGGTATGCATTATCTGGTGACTATTTGTGCCTGAAAATTCGTTTTGTATTAAAATTCTGGAGAAGGAATTCAGGACTAGAATAAAGAGAAATTTTGTAACCTTTTTTATCATGACAGTTTTAGAATAATTTTTTTAGCTGAGATTAAATGTTCAAGGCTCCAATATTATTTTTAGGAACTTATTTAAGGAGTGCTACTTTACAGAAATTACTAACACACCAAAACATTATTAATTAAATAAAATATAAGTTTACAATAATAAAACATGTTTCTTTTAATTTTTCTGATTATATTTTATGAGTTCAGAAAGGAAATGGTAAAAGAACTATACATTTTCATGTTTTAACATTTTATGTACGTACTTGATTCTGTCTGTGTCATAATTACACATTTACTTGAACACAGCTATCCTTTATCTTGTGCTTTCTTTAATAGAAAAATGAACAGAAACTGAATGCAGTTAAATTTTTATTTTTAGTAGGTTGTGAAGTTACTTTTACTGGAGAAATAAAAATATGTTAAACTTGATTGACTTTTTAAGATAAATTGTTAACACTTTTGCAGGATTAGAATTAATATGAAGTATCTCTTTAACATTATTGTATATATTACCTACTGCAAACCTATCTGTTCTGTTTCTTTGTGATTTAAAGAAAAATAGGCCAGGCATTGTGGCTCACACCTATAATCCCAGCACTTTGGGAGGCCAAGGCGGGCGGATCACAAGGTCAGGAGTTCGAGACCAGCCTGACCAATATGATGAAACCCCGTCTCTACTAAAAATACAAAAATTAGCCAGGTGTGGCGGTGGGTGCCTGTAGTCCCAGCTACTTGGGAGGCTGAGGCAGGAGAATTGCTTGAACCTGGGAGGCAGAGATTGCAGTGAGCCGAGATCGCGCCACTGCACTCCAGTCTGTGCGACAGAGCGAGACTCCATCTAAAAAGAAAAAAACAAAAAAAAAAGAAAAATAATACATTTATATAGAATTACCTACAGGTGTGTTAAATAAAAACACTTCATACCTAGATTTTGGGGGATCTAGATTCTAGTTTAGACATCACTGCTTACTGTAAGATTTAAGTCCCATTATTTATTTTTCAGTTTCCTAAATTATAACAATAGGCATAGCTGCTACACCTGCCTCACATGAAAGTGCTTTTTTTTAATGTTAATTTTAATTTTATTTTTGAGACAGGGTTTTGCTCTTGTCACCCAGGCTGGAGTGCAATGGCGAGATCTTGGCTCACTGCAACCCCCAACTCCTGGTTTCAAGCGATTCTCCTGCTTCAGCTTACCTAGTAGCTGGGATTACAGACACCCGCTACCATGCCCAGCTAATTTTTGTATTTTTAGTAGAGTCGGGGTTTCACCACATTGGCCAGGCTGGTCTTGAACTTCTGACCTCAGGTGATCCACCCGCCTCAGCCTCCCCAAGTGCTGGGATTACCGTCATGAACCACCACGCCAGGCCTGAAAATGCTTTTTAAAAAATACAGGGGCCGGGTGCGATGGCTCACGCCTGTAATCCTAGCACTTTGGGAGGCCGAGGCAGGCGGATCACCTGAGATCAGGAGTTCAAGACCAGCCTGGGCAACACGGTGTGATCCCGTCTCTACTAAAAATACAAAAAATTAGCAAGGCATGGTGGCACACACCTCTAGTCCCAGCTACTCGGGAGGCTGAGGCAGGAGAATTGCTTGAACCCGGGAGCCGAGATTGCACCACTGCACTCCAGTGTGGGCAACACAGCGAGACTCTATCTCCAAAAAAAAAAAAATTTATATATATGTATATATATATAGAGAGAGAGAGGTGGGTGTGGTGGCTCACCCTGTAACCCCAGCACTTTGGGAGGCTGAGGTGGGTGGATCACCTGAGGTCAGAAGTTCAAGACCAGCCTGACCAACATGGTGAAACCCCATCTCTCCTAAAAATACAAAAATTAGCCGGGCATAGTGGCGAGCACCTGTAATCCCAGCTACTCTGGAGGCTGAGGCAGGAGGATCACTTAAACCTGGGAGGCAGAGGTTGCAGTGAGCCAAGATCATGCCATTGCACTCCAGCCTGGGTGATGAGTGAAACTCCATCTCAAAAAATAGAATTATACTTGTGTTCTGTTTTACCTTAAGAGTTTTTATTCATCTCCCTCCTGCAATTTCATACTCTACGCTCCCTATTTAATATTTGTCCTTCCAAGCCATCTCTCATGTTTTGGATATAGTTTCTTGAAAACCATATAATATTTATATGTTTAAATTTTTTACATAAATGATATTGTGGCATAAATTTTATTCTCCTAACTTTCATGAAGTATTAGGTTTTTAAGACCTACCCACGTTACTTATATAATGTGCTTTTTTTTTTTTTTTTTTGAGACAGCGTCTCGCTCTGTCACCCAGGCTGGAGTGCAGTGATGCAATTTCAGCTCATTGCAAGCTCCGCCTCCCGGGTTCACACCATTCTCCTGCCTCAGCCTCCCGAGTAGCTGGGACTACAGGCGCCCACCACCACGCCCGGCTAATTTTTTGTATTTTTAGTAGAGATGGGGTTTCACCGTCTTAGCCAGGATGGCCTCAATCTCCTGACCTCGTGATCCACCTGCCTCGGCCTCCCAAAGTGCTGCAATTACAAGCGTGAGCCACCACGCCTGGCCTATAATGTGCTTTTGACCGGTGCATATTATTCTATTGTATTCATATGCCAAAGCTTATCTTTTCCTCTAGTCACAAATACTTATATTTTTCCTAGCTATTTCCACTTCTGCAAGCTTATACATGTCTTCCTATGAAGGAAGAATGCCCTTTCAGGAAACCTGCCCTTTCATTTCTTTGCTATATATGTCCTAGAGTAGAAAGGCTGGAGTTTGAGGTATATGCATATTTAATTTAAGTCATGCTGGATCGTTCTCAGGAATGGTTGTCACAGTTTTCCTTTCCACAAGCAAGACCTGAGGGTTTCATTTTCTCTTCATTTTCAGTAGCACTTGATATTTTCTGATTTTTGCTAATCTGATGTGTATAAAATTGTATTTTTTCTTAATCTGCATTATCTGATTACTGATGAAGGTGAGTATTTGCTTTTTAGTCATTCCGATTTTCCATTCTGTGGATGGTCTGTACTTATAATTTGTCTCTTTTCTATTAAGTTTTTCTTTCTTGCTGATTACAGTATAGTATATACAGTGTGTGCATGTGTGTGTATATATATGTGTGTGTATATATATGTGTATATATATGTGTGTGTGTATATATATGTGTATATATGTGTGTGTGTGTGTGTATATATATATATATATTTTTTTTTTTTTTTTTTTGACACAAGGTCTGGCTCTGTCGCCCAGACTGGAGTGCAGTGGTGTGATCTCACCTCACTGCAACCTCTACCTCCTGAGCTCAAACCATCCTCCCACCTCAGCCTCCCAAGTTGCTGGGACTAAAGGCGCGTACCACCACGCTTGGCTAATTTTTGTGTTTTTTTGTAGAGATGGGGTTTCTCCATGTTGCCTAAGCTGGTCTCGAACTCGTGAGCTCAGGAGATCTGCCTGCCTCTCTGCCCCCAAAGTGGTGGGATTACAGGTGTGAGCCACTGCTCCCAGCCAAGAAATTCTTTATATGTAGATACTATTTTCTTGTCAAGTTCAGATGTTGGAAATAACTTGCCATTTGTTCATTCTTGTCTTTGTTGTTTTTCATATAATAGAAATCCCCCCAATGTTTTATATCTTTTATGTCTTTATTTTGTTTTGTTTTGTTTTTGAGATGGAGTTTCCCTCTTGTTGCCCAGGCTGGAGTGCAGTGGCACAGTCTTGGCTCACTGTAACCTCCGCCTCCCGGGTTCAAGCGATTCTCCTGCCTCAGCCTCCTGAGTACCTGGAACTACAGGCATATGCCACCACACCTAGCTAATTTTTTTTGTATTTTTAGTAGAGACAGGATTTCGCCATGTTGGCCAGGCTGGTCTCGAACTCCTGACCTCAGGTGATCTGCCCACCTCGGCCTCCCAAAGTGCTGGGATTACAGGTGTGAGCCACCACGCCCAGCCATAGGTCTTGTTCTTCTATCAGTTTTATAGTTTTACCATTTACATTTAGGTCTTAAATTTAATTGGAATTAATTTTTGGATATAGTATGAGGTATGAATTCAACTTTTTCTCCATCTAGTCATTAAAAGGAAAGAGTTAACAAAACCCCTTCTCTTGCTCTGGGGAAAAATGATCTTGGGTTTACTTTCTTTTTAGCACTGTTTCCTTGGTAACCTACAAAGTTAAGATAAATATGGAAAGTCAACTCTTTACCAGGCAGCCTTTGTTGTTTGTTTTAACTGTAAAAAGACAAAACACAGATGTTGATTTATCTGAGTAAGATATGAAACCGGTAACCAAGCTTGTTCCTAGTTGTAGGGACCTGGAACCTGCCTTGAGGGTTTTTTACAAGATAGCGCTCCCTATCACACATGAGGCTTACCTAAAGAGGATGCCTCCTCTACATGCCAGTTGTTTACTGTGCTATATCTTTCTGCCAACCTAAGTGACCTTGGTGCCAAGTTATATTCTTCTGGGTTTTCCGAGTGAATGTCTGCAGAACATGCCAAGTAGGATTGCAGTCAGTTTTTCTAACACCATCTACTACATAATCCGTATCATCTCATTTCATTACATTCCAAGTTCTATAAGCATGAAACTGGGGGCTCTCTGTTTTGTTGGTATGTGTCAGTTTCTTTCCCAGTACAACATTGTCTTTTTTTTGAGACAGAATCTCGCTCTGTCTCCCAGGCTGGGGTGCAGTGGTGTGATCTTGGCTTACTGCAACCTCTGCCTCACAGGTTCAAGCGATTCTCCTGCTTCAGCCTCCCAAGTAGCTGGGACTACAGGCGAGCGCCACCATGTCTGGCTAAGTTTTGTATTTTTTTAGTAGAGATGGGGTTTCACCATGTTGGCCAGGCTGGTCTCGAACTCCTGACCTCAAATGATCTTCCCACCTCAGCTTCCCAAAGTGCTTATACTTCTCTTTTGTTGATTTGGCCAAGTTGTCAGTCTATATTTAGCACTAACTGTGGTAGCAGGTTTTTTTTTTATCTTATTTCTGCTTTAGATTCTAAAGTTGCTCTATTAACTCGTGATATTTGCTGTGAGTTTTATGCTAGTCTTTATCGAAAGCTTTTCTCTTTTTTTCTCTCTCTCTCTTTTTTTTTTGAGACGAGTCTCGCACTGTCGCCCAGGCTGGAGTGTAGTGGCACAATCTTGGCTCACCACAAACTCCGCCTCCCAGGTTCACGCCATTCTCCTGCCTCAGCCTCCCGAGTAGCTGGAACTACAGGCGCCCGCCACCACATCTGGCTAATTTTTTGTATTTTTTAGTAGAGACAGAGTTTCACGGTGTTAGCCAGGATGGTCTCAATCTCCTGACCTTGTGATCCACCCACCTCGGCCTCTCAAAGTGCTGGGATTACAGCCATGAACCACCGTGCCCGGCCGAAAGCTTTTCTCTTTTATAGCTAATTTAAATCTGCATTAGCGGGGCCAGGTGCAATGGCTCACACATGTAATCCCAGAACTTTGGGAGGCTAAGACAGGCAGATAATTTCAGCTCAGGAGTTCTAGACCCGCCTGGGCAATGTGATGAAACCCCATCTCTACAAAAAAATAAAATTAACCAGACATGGTGGCACGTACCTGTGTGGCACGTGCCTGTAGTCCCAACTACTTGGGAGGCTGAGGAGAGGTTTACTTGAGCCCAGGAAGTTGAGGATGCAGTGAACCATGATCACGCCACTGCACTTCAGCCTGGATGACAGAACAAGACCCTGTCTCAAAAAAATAAAATAAAAGAAATATTCATTTGTCTAGATGGTTTTTAGTTTCTCACCTTTAGTAATATGGTAGATGACATTGATTTTTCTGATATTAAACCTTTGTATTCTTACTTGATATAATTTTTAAGGAAATTATTTTATCAAATATTAAAATTAAAAGGGTAACATGCAGAAACCTAGCTGTATACAGAAAAGGCAATATTACCACTATTTGGTGAGGTGTGCTGCGTGACGATAACCTGAAAAGAAGCACTAGGTCATAAGACTGGCTTCAGTTCCTCTGAGAATTTACAAGAGCCTTTTCTGGGGAGATCACTGGGCAAGACCCTGAGCAAATTCTGAGAAACATTGGGTTATCCATAATTAGTGTATTTTGAAAGGTGTACTGGCTACTGGAGCACACCTGTCTAGGATTAACTCCACAGAGGACTTGCTTCTGCCTCTGCTGGCAGTGTGGGAGTACCACCATTCTGGAATCACTTCAGTCCTCCCTTGAAGGTTGTGTGTAAGGATGGGAAATCATGAACAGCTTTTGCCCACTCTACTTAGTGGCCCAGTGCTCAATGTCCTGACAGCTAGGCCATTATGGGCATCCACCCTCAGGGCACCCAAACCCCCTCTCTTCTCCCTGCACTTTCCCAGATCACTGGTTTTGATTGATTTGGGGTCCCCTCTCTCCACTTCTATGAGACCAGCAGTGCTTTAATGTGTCCCAGCCAGGATCTTCCTTGTTCACCAAGAAAGTTTCCCATGTAGCCCACCACACCAGAAGTAGAAGTTCCTCCAGATTCCAGACTCTAATAGCCAGTTATTACAAAGGAAATCAATAATACCTAGTGGCTTTGTTTCTTTGGGATGTTTGGTTTTTTAACTATTAAGAATATTTACTTTAGGCTGGGCACGGTGGCTCACGCCTGTAATCCCAGCACTTTGGGAGGCCGAGGTGGGCGGATCGCGAGGTCAGGAAATTGAGACCATCCTGGCTAACACGGTGAAACCCAGTCTCTACTAAAAACACACACACACACAAAAATTAGCCGGGCGTGGTGGTGGGCACCTGTAGTCCCACCTACTCGGGAGGCTGAGGCAGGAGAATGGCGTGAACCCGGGAGGCGGAGCTGGCAGTGAGCTGAGATCGCGCCACTGCACTCCAGCCTGGGTGACAGAGCGAGACTCCGTCTCAAAAAAAAAAAGAATATTTACTTTATACAAATTAATCGGTAGTTTGAAATTAACTGGGAAATATGTCTTAATGGGATATGAGCAAGGAATGGAGGATATTACAAAATAGAAGAGCCATAATTTCAGGAAGAAAAATGTTAGCAAACTTAATAACAAGCATGTATATTTCAACAAGTCTGTGTATTTCATCTTATTTTTCTCATTTTGCCACAGATCCTCATAGGGCCTTAAATTGAGATGGGCATTTGGAAACTTCTGCTTTAAAACTTAGGAAGATTCCTAAGTGTCTTCTGACAAAAGCTGATAGATTTATAATAGTGTAGTTTTATGTATTTTTTGTAGTCTATGGTACTTTTATTTGAAATTCTTTGAAAATTGGTCATTCATGTATGATATACATGACAACTAAACTCATTAATTGGAAAAGCCCACTCTTTAACCATTGTCTTAATGATTAAATGTGTTTTTCCATTTGTATGTGAAAATATACAAACTTTTAAAACAATGAAAATGAGTTTCTTAATATGAATGGTAAACATTAAAACTTGTTAATATTCATTAAGTTCAAAATGGATCAAAATTTTTCATATATTTCTGAGACTTGAAAATGAAAAGATTAAGAATGACTGGTAAACTAATAAAGGTTATTGTGAACACCAGATTAAGGAATCTCTGTATTTTCCCTTTTCTAACGGTATTTTCCAGGGCAGAACATTTCACTTCTTACAACATTGTTAAATGTGGAGTGAGACCCCTGTTTGAATTCCAGTTCTGTCACTTTCCAGTTTTTTTTTGTTTTTTTAAATTGAGACGGGGTCTGACTGTGTCGTCTAGGCTGGACTGCAGTGGTTCACTGCAACCTCTGCCTCCTGAGCTCAAGCCATCCTCCCACCTCAGCCTCTGAAGTAGCTGGGACTACAGACACACACCACCACATCTGGCTAATTTTTGTGTGTGTGTGTGTGTATTTTTTGTAGAGATATGGTTTTGCCATGTTGCCAAGCTGGTCTCAAACTCCTGAGCTCAAGCAGTCCACCCACCTCAGCCTCCTGAAGTGCTGGGATTACAGGTTTGAGCCACCCTGCCCAGCCTGTAGTTTCCTTAGAGAATTTAACCTGTGTATCTCAGTTTCTTCATCTGCAAAATGGGGATAATAATCATACCTACTTGATTAAGTTGTTGAGAGGAGTAAGCAATGCTGTGTATTGTGCATTTAGAGCACTTGGCATATAGTAAGGACTCAATATAAACTCTTGTTAAAAGTGATAAGCACTTTTTAATAACCATATTAACAAGATGCAGTTTTCAATCAGGAGCTATCTTTAAAGACTAAAGCCCTGCTAAGGGGATCAGGTGGAACAGTGTCTAGGAATAGGGATATTCTTGAATAGCAGCCTGTTAGAAGAATAGGAAAGTCTCTTTGGGAGGCCGAGGCAGGTGGATCACAAGGTCAGGAGATCGAGACCATCCTGGCTAACACAGTGAAACCCCGTCTCTACTAAAAATACAAAAAATTAGCCAGGCATGGTGGCACGCGCCTGTAGTCTCAGCTACTCAGGAGGCTGAGGCAGGAGAATGGCGTGAACCCGGGAGGTGGAGCTTGCAGTGAGCCGAGATTGCGTCACTGCACTCCAGTCTGGGCAAGAGAGCGAGACTCCATCTCAAAAATAAGTAAATAAATAAAATAAGAAAGTTTCTGTTTCTAGCACAGGTGCTGAGAGACAAAGGGGAAAAATATTGTTCAACATTAAGCAGTCAGTAGAAGCTTGATAGGCTTGGGGAAAAAATTCAACAGTCAAGATATTGCGGTGTTAGGTATGGAACTGCCACACACATATTCACATAAGGGGTGACACCATGTAGGACTTGTAGTCTCAACACTTGGCATCTCAATTTAGGAGAATATTATAAACAGGGGCCTCTACTTTTGGTAGTAAAAAGCTCCGTGCTGGAACATAACTATCGGAGACACTTGGAACATGAACATGGCCTCTAACACATACCCTTTTAATTTCTTACAGACCTTGAAATAGACAAAAAAATGTTTATTGATACCTCTTACTTTTCCACATTTTGTTGTTTTGTACAACCCTATGCCTTGTCATGGAGAAAGAGATGTTTAATTTTAAATCTCGTTCTCAGGTAATATTTGGTAGTAGCTGGAGTCTCAAAGGCATTTAAATTTCTTTTTATTGCCTTTTATTCATAAACATTTAACCGTATTTTTTTAGTATGAATGGGGTTCCTTTTTAGTTTCACATTTCACTGTAATTTAAAATGTTTCAAAAATGTATTCTAATGAAGTAAATAATAGAAATCTGGGTAGCATATAATCCTTGAAATTAAGCTGTTGTGTAGAGACTGCTAATTGACCACCAGTATTCACTCCCATAATTTAAAAGTGAAACTCTCGCACATTTTGTTTGGCTACACAGCTGCTCAGAGTCTACATCTTCTTTTTCTTTTTTTTTTTTGAGATGGAGTTTCACTCTTGTTGCCCAGGCTGGAGCTCAATGGCGCGATCTCGGCTCACTGCAACCTCCGCCTACCGGGTTCAAGCGATTCCCCCGCCTCAGCTTCCCAAGTAGCTGGGATTACAGGCATGCACCACCACGCCCAGCTAATTTTGTATTTTTAGTAGAGACGGGGTTTCTCCATGTTGGTCAGGCTGGTGTCGAACTCCTGACCTCAGGTGATCTGCCCGCCTCGGCCTCCCAAAGTGCTAGGATTACAGGCATGAACGACCACGCCCAGCCAGAGTCTGCATTTTCTAGCCACCTCATTTGTAGTTAAGTTCTAGCCAATGGGATGTAAGTGAAAGTGATGCATGTGACTTTGAGATCATGTCCTTAAAAGTACTGGGGCTTGCAACAGGTATATGAAAAAATGCTCAACATCACTAATCATCAGGGGAATGCAAATTAAAGCCACAACGAGACATCATCTCATACCTGTTAAAGTGGCCATAATAAAGACAAAAGATAAGAGTTGGCGAGGGTATGGAGAAAAGGGAAGTCTTGCACATTGTTGGTGGGAATGTAAATCAGTTCAGCCATCATGGAAAACAGTTATGGAGATTCCTAAAGAAAATAAAAAATAGAACAACCATATCATCCAGCAGTCCCATTACTGGGTATAAATACAAGGGAAATGAAATCAGTAATCAAAGAGATAGCTACATTCTTGTGTTCATTGCAGGATTATTCACAATAGCCAAGATAAGGAATCAATCTAAGTGTCCATCAATTGGTGAATGGATTAAGAAAATGTGATATATATACATAAGGGAATACTATTCAGCCTTCAAAAAAGAAGGAAATCTTGTCATTTTTGGCTACGTGAATGAACCTGGAGGATATTATGTTAAGTGAAATAAGCCAGGCACAGAAAGACAAATACCACATGATCTCATAAGTGGAATCTAAAAAGTTAAAGTCAGAGAGTAGAATGGCAGCTACCAGGAGATGGGGGGTGGGGGGAATTGGGAGTTATTGGTCACGGCATACAAAATTTTAGGAATAAAGTTCAACACATCTATTGTAGAACATGGAGACTATAGTTAATAACAATGCAGTGCCTGTAGTCCCAGCTATTAGGAAGGCTGAGGCAGGAGGATCACTTGAGCCCAGGAGTTCCAGGCTGCAGTGACCCCTGGTCACACCACTGCACTCCAGCCTGGCTACAGAGTGAGACCCTGACTCCAAAAACAAACAACAATGTGTACTTGAAAATTGCGAAGAGAGATTTTAAGTGTTTTCACAAGTATGTGAGGTCATGCATATGTTAATCAACTTGATTTAGCCATTTCACTATACATATTTTGAACAGTATGTTGTACGCCATAAATATATACAATTTTTGTCAATTTTAAAAATAGATTTTTAAAAACTACTGGAGCATGCATTTCCCTTGCCCTGCCTCTCCTTCTGTTGAGGTAGGAGTGAGAATTCTGCAGCCATTTCAGACACTGAGAGACAAGTTGTCTGTCAAGTTTGACAAAGCAGCTGTATCGGCTGTGGACCACTCACCTCTGTAATTTGAGAAATAAACTTTTATTGTGTTTAAGCCACTGTGTTTTGGGTCTTTTTATTAAAACAACTTAGACTGTACTGAAACTAATAGAGGAATAGATGAGCTTCTGAACACAAAATGGTTAGACTTGGTGAAAAGGGGGAATTGGATGAAAGCCTTAGGTGAAATTGCCCATTCTGCATAAAGGGCCTCAAGGAGGAACATCTGTACAATGGGGAAGAAAGATTTTTTCCTTGGCCAAAAGTCACTGAACCTAATGAGTTGGCCATTTGGCCTTGGACAAGTCACTTAAACTTTCTCTGTATTTGAGACTTAAATTGGAAAAAATTGAAGAAGTTGGCCTCTCAAGGATCCTTTCTAGCTATCATTTCATAAATGTATGTTGTTCTAGAAAAGGGAATGAGAAAGCTTGAGACAGTAAGTATCCAAATTGATCCTGAGATGCTTACTAGTAAATAGGTCAACAACAGGAGTAGAGCAGATGTTATGGAGTGGGTCCAGTACAGTTTTATTATCTTCAGTCTCTGTTTACAAACTAGTGTTTGTTTGTTGAAACAGGGTCTTGCTCTGTCACTCAGGCTAGATTGCAGTGGCATAATTGCAGCTCATTGCAGCTCACTGCAGCCCCAGCCTCCCAGGCTCAAATGATTCTCCTGCTTCAGCCTCCCGAGTAACTGGACTACAGGCACACGCCACCACACCTGGTTAATTTTTGTATTTTCTGTAGCAACAGGGTTTCACCACGTTGTCCAGGCTAGCAAACTGGTTAACTGACTTAGTGTCTTTTTGTTGAACCTTGCTAAAAGCAAGGAATGGTAGCCAACACAAACTCACATTCTGGCCTTTTCTAGATGCTTTCCTCAGAGCTATATATGGGCTTGATGATCTGCCTTCCAAGTTAATATGGGTGACATTTTTCCCCAATACATTTGGGAACAGTCACTAGCCTTCTGGCCTGCAATATGTTTCCACCTGCTAACCAATGCCATATATATCTTAGATCTTTGTTATGGTAGGTGGCACACCACTTTCAGGAACCAACTTTCTCTTCTAGGGAATACACTAAGCCACTGTAACAAAGAGACTAAAAAATACAGTAGTTAAGATAAACATTTTTCTCTCATGGAACAGACCAGAGGTACTCTGCTTCAGAAGGTAATTCAGGGCCCAGGTTCCTGCTATATTGTGTTCTACAGTCCCTTATGTGTTATTCTTTGTTTGTCGTTTTTGAGATGGAATCTCGCTCTGTAGCCCAGGCTGGAGTGCAGTGGCACCATCTCGGCTCACTGCAACCTCTGCCTCTCAGGTTCAAGTGATTTTCCCCCATCAGCCTTGGAGTAGCTGGTATTACAGGCACCCGCCACCACGCCTGACTAATATTTGTATTTTTAGTAGACATGAGGTTTCACCAGTCTGGTCTCGAACTCCTAACCTCAAGTGATCCTCCTGCCTCAGCCTCCCAAAGTTCTGGGATTACAGCGTGAGCTAACTATGCCCAGCCCCTTATGCATTATTCTTGTTTTCATGGTTGTAAAGTACCACCATCACAACTAAGTACCAGCCTATATGAAAGAAGAAAGAGGGGAAGTAGAGGGCAAGCAGTTTCTGTTTAAGAATTTACCTGGCTGGGGCTGGGTGTGGTGGCTCACACCTGTAATCCCAGCACTTTGGGAGGCTGAGGTGGGCAGATCACCTGAGGTCAGGAGTTCAAGACCAGCCTGGCTAACATGGTGAAACCCCATTTCTACTAAAAACACAAAAATTAGCCGGGTGTGGTGGCACACGCCTGTAATCCCAGCTACTCGGGAGGCTGAGGCAGGAGAATCACTTGAACCAGGGAGGCGGAGGTTGCAGTGAGCCAAGATCGCGCCATTGCACTCCAGCCTGGGTGACAAGACCGAAACTCTGTCTCCAAAAAAAAAATAATAATAATTTACCTGGCTGGGCATGGTGGCTCACGCCTGTAATCCCAGCACTTTGGGAGGCCGAGGCGGGCAGATCACCTGAGGTCAGGAGTTCAAGACCAACATGGTGAAACCCCATCTCTACTAAAAATACAAAAAATTAGCTGGACATGGTGGCATGCGCCTGTAAATCCCAGTTACTCAGGAGGCTGTGGTAGGAGAATCGCTTGAAGGGAGGTGGAGGTTGCAGTGAGCCCAGACGGTGCCACTGCACTCCAGCCTGGGCAACAGAGCAAGACTCCATCTCAAAAAAATAAAAAAAGAATTTACCTGACTTAACCTAACATCTTATGATACGACACTTGCCTAACTTTATTTTTATTTTTATTTTTGACAGGGTCTCACTCTGTTGCCCAGCTTGGAGTGCAGTGGTGCAAACATAGCTCATTGGGGCCACCACGCCCAGCTAACTTAAAAAAAAAACAACTTTTTTTTTTTTTTGGTAGAGACAGGGTTTCACTTTGTTGTTCAGGCTGTGCTCAAGCAATCCTCTCGTCTTGGTCTCCCTAAATGCTGGGATTATGGGATTACAGGTGTGAGCCACCGCACCCAGCCACTTTAATGTCTTTGTGGAACAAAAATCGTAAAAGATCTGCAGAAAGTCACAGGATGATACAATTGGTAAAAACTCCTGACATTCTGTACAGTGAACCACTTAATCTCTACTTAATCATCAGATCTCGTAGTAATTATTCATTTGGTTAAGGCTTTACTTTTTCTGTTCTTTCTAATCCTAACATTTAATTTTGGTTCTCAGAATAGACCAAGTGGAAATTAGATAGAAATGTTGACATGTAGCAGTTACCCTACAATATTGAGCCGTTTGCATTTTACTAGATGCCCAATAGTAGTGTTCCTCACAATAACACACACACACACACACACACACACACACACACACCCTATTAATGTATGAAAACCGAATTTGTAATCCAGAGCTATTTACATTTTTAAAGAGCTACCTCCTGGTAAAGACACTTCAGGTCCTTACCCAAAGACCTTGGTCTAAAAGATACTTTCGGTGTCCCTCATCATGCGATCTTTCCGCTCTACCTAAGCGGTGTACCAAATGATCTGCACCAAGAACAATTTCATCCATTCTTTAATCTTTTATCTCCTGTATATCCCCCTTTCTTCTGGACTCAGGGTTGGTCACCTAAGATCAGGCTCCTAGGATCTGGTTGCTAAGAGACAAGACGCTGGGAGGGTGGGGACGCTGCACTGCGACAAGCCTGGGAGTGTATGCCAGAGGAGGAAGGAGAAGCAGCAGGCAAGGCAAGGCGACAGTCAGCCGCCGCCGCCCCTCCGGTGCCCTCCCGCCCGGCAGGGGCTCGGCGCTCATTGGCTCCGCCGCTGCGGCGCTGGCCCGCGATTGGCCGGGCGGCGTCGGCTCGGCGGCTCCCCCACCCCTCGGCGCTAGTCTCCGCAGCCGCCTGCAAGCGGGCGGGGGCGGGGTGTGAGGCGCTGCGGACGGGGTTGCGGGCTCGGTAGCGGCAGCTTCAGGGCGCGAGCGCGGGCGGTGCCGACCACTGCAGGTAACAGAGGCGCTGCGAGGGCAGCCGCGGCCCTGTGGAGGTGAGCGAGACGCCGAGGGGGCTCGGGTGCCCACCGCGGGGCGGGAAGTGCGGCATGGGGCGGTACCGCTCACAGCCAGCCGGCTCCCGCCGCGGCTTCCCACCCCGGGCGGGGTCCCACTTGCCCAAACGCCCCCGAACGCCCCCGTGCACAGCCTCAGCCGGCCGCGCCTCGAGCAGCCAGCTGGCCCGCGTCCCGTCACCCGCCCGGTCCATGTCCCTGCAGACCGTCCCGCCCGCGCACAGCGGCGGGAACCCCAGCTTCTGCGCGCCCGGCCGCGCCCCGGGCCTCTGCCCCGCCTCGCTCCCGCTGCCCGGCGCCTTTGTCCGCTCTGCGCCCCTGGAGTTTCTGTGCCTCCACGGGCGGGAGCGGGGCGCGAAGGTCTGGGGGTGCCCCGAGGACGCGCCGCGTAGTGAGCCTCCGGGCCCAAGGTTTGACTGGCTTTGACCTCATGCCGGTTCTGGGATGTGATTTTACTTTCTCCTCCAGCTGACTCCGATCTCCTGTGTGTGCAGAAGTCAGGAAGCCTGGGTACAAGGCTTCTTCCCGGTCCGGGATGACTCGGTGTTACCGCCGCCCTCTGTTAGGCCAGAGGCCTTTGACCTGCCTGCCTGCCTGCCCCACGGGGCCCCCTCTCTTCCCATCTTTCCACTGGCTAAGGGAAAACGTCTCTGTCTCCAAGAGCTTTTTTTTCTATTTGAAATAAGAAAAAAATATATCAGATTCCTGTTGTAGACCTCTATCTGGTGTGGAAGTGACTTAGACTAGTCTTCTTAATTAATACATGTATATTAAATACATAAACCAAGAGAAGGGGGTCGGGGAGGGGAGGGGAAGTATGTTCTTAAAAAATGAAGTCTGTTAAACATATTGGATTTTTATTTTTGGTAAATAACGTATTTTACCTTAAATATTGTCAAGATTTTGATATTTTATGAATGGGAGTGGATTTCATAGTAATTTGAACTTTGAGCTTTTTCTTGTCACCGTTTTTGATAAATTTATACTTTCCTGAATGAGGTGCACTATAACAGCTATTTCGAGATAATTTATGTTTTATTAAGGATTATCCATCAATGCTATGCCTTTTATACTTAAATTCAGACTCTGATTTCTTGGACATTCATTTAACTAGAATTAATGCTGGGGGGTCTTCCCTTGCCTAGTACAGTTGTATAAAGAGAAAGTCAACAGAAAAACTTTTTTCTCATTTGGATGATTTAAAGTACTCTTAAACATGTATAGCATAAATTAGTATCACATTTGAAATGTAAGCTTTTAAGTGTTTGACGTGGGTAATATTTTTGAACTTTTAAATGAATCTTTTTGGAAGTGAAGAGAAATGAGCTCTCAGGGAAGATCCTTGCCCTGAATTCCATTTTAGATTGCTTTCTACCAAGGCCCAAACAAATTATAATAAAACGCCCTGGCCGGGTGCAGTGGCTCACGCCTGTAATCCCAGCACTTTGGGAGGCCGAGACGGGCGGATCACGAGGTCAGGAGATCGAGACTATCCTGGCCAACATGGTGAAACCCTGTCTCTACTAAAAATACAAAAATTAGCTGGGCGTGGTGGTGCGTGCCTGTAGTCCCAGCTACTCGGGAGGCTGAGGCAGGAGAATCGCTTGAACCCGGGAGGCGGAGGTTGCAGTGAGCCGAGATCGCGCCACTGCACTCTGGCCTGATGAGAGAGGGAGCGCCACTCCGTCTTAACAACAACAACAACAACAACGCACTATGTGCTCTAACATGCTTCCCAAATTGTGTGGTATGAAAAGTGATGCAAGTACTAGGCAAACAAGTAGAGATCAGTGCTTTGTTCTCTAGAGAGAAAGCAAGTCTTTCAAGGATTCAAAACTAAATTGATTAATCCAGCAGGACATGATCCCCATCCATCTTTGCACATCCCCATCTATACTTAAATGTTTAAATGAGTTGTGGACCTGCAGTTTGGAGTGAATTCCAAAGGATACATTAAATGTCTCTTAAGGTTTTGTGACCTTCTCGTTAATTCAGTAAACATTTTGGCAGTATCTGCCTTGCTGGTCACACTTTTGGGGAATCAAAGATAGAAGGCCCAGCCCATCAAAGAAATCATAATCCAGCGAGTTAAAGAGAGAAATAAACAGAAATTTCTCAGGGCCCTTCCAAGGTTCTTCCAAGACTTTTTTCAAGTCTTCTTTCCCCATGTTTTCATCAAACTCAGCCTGGGACATGCAAAAGGGCATTACTTTTCAGATTCACTCACTTTTTTCATCTTACTTTGAGATGACCAACTCTTTAAAAAACAATGAAGTTCTGTAAAATATGTTTCCAACTGGGCACAAGGCAGTGCTTTACAGTTATTAAACTAATTCTTGGAAATTTTTGTGCCAATAATGGCCAAAGTGGAGAGGAGAAAAATAATAGTAATAATTTATTTATTTTATGAGCACCTTTTGTATGCCAGACAGTGTGCGGGTGCTTTATACATAGTATTATTTAATCCTCACCGTAACTCCAAAGGTTAGGTATTGTTTTCCTTACAGTATAGCTGAGACCATTGGAGCCATAGGTTGCACACTGCTAGAAGTGGTAAAGCTGGGTAAGAATCTGTAGCTGACTCTTTCTAGTCATTTTGTTGGTGGCATACTTCATTGGAATGTTACTGTCTCTCCTTTTATCTGTCACATTAATCTTTTTGAATCTGTTTAATCTGAGGATCTCTGGAGTGGTAGTGCTGCTACACACATTATGTAGTCCTCACTCTTTGCCAGGTAGCACTTTCCATATATCCTCAGAAGTATGTAAGCTAGCTACTATTATTATCTTTGTTTTACAGATGAGGAAATTGAGGCACAGAGATTAACTAATCTGAACCAGATAATGCCATAAGTAGTAGAACTGCGATGCAAACTTGGACAGTCTGACTCCAGAGTCTGCACACTTAACCACTCCACTATTCTGGCCTTCTACAAGGTACATCTTTGGTTGGTAGGAAGCTGTGATTTTAGTGTGCTAAATGTTTTTCTGTTTTTGTTTCCTTTTAATGTTCATTCAAATACATGTAGGATAACTTTATGTTGTCTACCAGCTGATGTCCTCTACCAGTGTCTTATGTAAACAATGACATAGTACTAATTATAATTAACATTTATTGAGAGCGTACCACATTCACGACCCCTGTGCTGTGTTTTAAATATTCCACATAACCCTCAGCACAATCTAAATACTATTATTTATGCAGCATCTCATTTGTGAGATACTTATATCATCTTCAAAGTGCTTTCACAAAATAATCCCTTTATTTCTTTCCACGCTGTCAGTCAGAGGTATGACCATCACCTACTTGTGTTGCTGCATTTCAGCAAGGTTCGATGACTTGCCTTGGCTAGCAGGTAGTAGAGCCAAAACTCAAATCAGAGATTCAGACTCCTGTGTACGCTGCCTTTTCCATTGTACTGGTCTGTCAGCGAATCTCTGCTTTGTACTCTCGTCCTAAAATAGATCATTTTTGTCCATAGGAGCAGTTTATGTTTGGAGATTGTATTCCCAACCCAGAATCAAGTGTCAGCTGAATCATAGATATAACTAGTCAAAACTTTTGTCATTATTTTCATCTGTAAATTAATGTTCCCACTTTAGATGCAGTGCCTGGCACACAGTGATGGCTCAGTAAATGTTTGAATAAAGTAAGAAGTATCTCGTACACATTGATATAAAAAAGTTCCTCAAATGTTTTATGTTTGAATGCATAGTTTCTTTTCTATTTGATATCATAACCCTCTCCCCACACCTCACAAACAGAAGCTTTCAAAATTACTTAATTGAATCATAACTAACTTCAAAATATATTAGACTCTGTCCCTACTGACCCTAAACCATTATTTTCAATCTGCTGTCTTAGCCCATAGTATACGTCTTGTGTGGAATGGAAAGAGCATGGATTTGAGAATCATTTTTACTTGGTTTGAATCCTTGCTCTGCCTCTTCTTAGCGCTGTGATCTTGTAAAAATTACTTAACAACTCTGAACCTCATCTTGTAAAATTGGGGACTCTGTCTCTAAAGAAAAAAAGATAAAAAATATTTTAGGCTTTTTATCGTATATTTATTCATCTCTTCATCTTTTTATACATCCATTTATCAATGCATAATATTCAAATCCTTTTTTGTGAAGAGATTTAGGCTATACTATGTTTATTTTAGGTCAGTTTTACTTTTCCTTTACATGGTAGCAGATAATTATTAGGAATGAATTATAACTGATCTGTAATGTTCTGAAAACATTTGGATTTCGGGTTTAAATAAAGCTTTTTGTCTTCCCTATCCCTAGTTCCAAAAGATGAGTCGTGGATATTCAGAAAACAACAATTTCCTGAACAATAATAACCAAATGGTATTGGACATGATCCTTTATCCATTAATTGGAATCCCTCAGACTATCAACTGGGAAACTATAGCAAGGCTCGTGCCTGGATTAACACCAAAAGAGGTAAATAACAGTCCCCCCAGAATATCTCCTGAAAATGTTCAGAAAAGGTCATCAATTTAAAGAAACACCAAGAGAGAGAAAAATATTTGAGTTTTACATATTCAAATGCATGTATTAACACTGAATAGACATCTATATAATTTGACTAGATGCAAATTACATAAATTTTATATATTATATATAGTATATAAATTTTATATATTATATATAGTATATATATTTATATATAATATTTTATATATAAATATATATTTTATATTATATATATATTTGTTGTTGTTTTTGTTTTTTTGAGGCAGGATCTCTCTATCATCCCAGGCTGGAGTGCAGTGGTGCCATCATGGCTCACTGCAGCCTCGACCTTTGAAGCTTAAGTGATCTTCCCACCTCAGCATCTCACAGTCTCTCTCAGAGTCTCACTACGTTGCCCAGGCTGGTCTTGAACTCCTGACCTCAAGCGATCTTTCTGCCACTTCCTCCCAAAGTGCTGAGATTACAGGCATGATCCACCATACCCAGCCTGGTCTTCCTTGTTTTACAAGAGCATAAATATATATGCCTTTGAGTTAAAGCACATTAAAACTCTACCCTGAATTTTAAAATATAAAAATAGAAGTTAGAGGCTTTTGCATAGTGAAATGTATACAAATATTCTAGATGTTACTCTGCAGGTTAATATTTGCTTACAAAAAGTAATTGTTGAAAAATATCTTCAAATAGAAGGCAAGAAAATACCTTCTCAATTTTTTATTTAAAAAATTCCCAAACCGCTGGGCATGGTGGCTCACGCCTGTAATCCCAGCACTTTGGGAAGCCGAGGCAGGCAGATCACGAGGTCAGGAGTTCAAGACCAGCCTGACCAATATAGTGAAACCCCGTCTCTAGTAAAAATCCAAAAAATTTGCTGGGCATGGTGGCAGGCACCTGTAATCCCAGCTACTCAGGAGGCTGAGGCAGGAGAATTGCTTGAACCCGGGAGGCGGAGGTTGCAGTGAGCCAAGATCACACCACTGCACTCCAGCCTGGGCGACAATGTGAGACTCCGTCTCAAAAAAAAAAAAAAAAATTCCCAAACCTCTGTTTCTTTCATTTTATATTATGACAGTGTGCAAAAAGGTTTGATGAATTAAAGAGCAGTGGAAGCTCGCCTGTTGACAACCAGTATAATTCCCTAATGGCTGCTGGAGAGAGTCCTGTTGAAACTTTAGCCACATATATCAAATCCTCACTTCTTGACATACATGGAGAATTTCAGGAGACTCCAGTTGGACATGATGCAGTTTCCAAAACTGGTAAGGTTTTAAACTAAAATGTAGTACTTGCCCTTATGAAAATTCTGCAGAATATTATATATTCCAATCAACTTTTCTTTCTTTGTTTAAAGGCTAATATAAACATTAATAGAGAAATGTATTCATATTTGTATCTTCCTGAATTTTGTTGTTTTTTCTTTTTGAGACAAGGTCTTGTTCTGTTGCCCAGGCTGGAGTACAGTGGCACCATCTCAGCTCACTGCAACCTCCATCTCCCAGGCTCAAGAGATCCTCCTGCCTCAGCCTCCCGAGTAGCTGGGACTAGAGACGTGCACCACCGTGCTTGGCTAATTTTTGTATTTTTTTGTAGAGACCAGGTTTTGCTGTGTTGCCCAGGCTGGTCTGGAACTCCTGAGCTCAGGCCATCCGTCCGCCTCAGCTTCCCAAAGTGTTGGGATTACAGACGTGAGCTACTGCACCTGGCCTGAATTTTTAAAATCATGTTTATCTTTGCTATTTTTTAAAAAAAGTTTTAGGGCCAGATGCAGTGGCTCACATCAGTAATCCCAGTACTTTAGGAGGTCAAGGTGGAAGGATCACTTGAGGCCAGGAGTTCAAGACCAACCTGGGCAACATAGCAAGACCCTGTCTCTACAAAAAAATAAAAAATAAAAATTAGCTTGGTGGATGGTGCACACCTGTGATCCTAGCTACTTGGAAGGCTGAGGTAAGAGGCTTGCTTAAGCCCAGGAGGTGAAGGTTACAGTCAGCTTTGATCAAGCCACTGCTCTTCAGCCTAGGTGTCTGAGCAAGACACTGTCTGTAAAAAAATTTAAACATTTTTAAAAATAAATTTTTAAATGCTAAAATATAGGTCAAATACAATCACCAAAAAAACCCACTTTACTGTATCAAAATGTTCTACTCTAATCTACTGGCCTAGTTAATTTCATGTATTTTTTTTTTTAACTACGAATATTCTTTTACTTTATTTTAGAGGGGTTTGCCCTGTGCCCTTTACTTAATATTCCTTTTTCCTGAGAGACTCTTGCTTGTCTCTCATGTTACTTTTTTTTTTTTTTTTTTTTTTTTTTTTTATACAGGTACTCTTTTTGTTTTTGGAGATGGTGGTTGCGCTGTGTTGCTCAGGCTGGTCTTGAACTCCTGAGCTCAAGCAATCCTCCTGCCGCAGCCTCCTGAGCAGCTGGAACTACACGTACATGCTACTGTGCTGAGCCTACAGCCACTCTTTATTATAGTCAACAAGAGCTTCAACTGACACAGTAGTGGGGTAAAAGATGTTTTCTGCAATTACATTGGAAATAATAACTGGTTTTAGAAATCCTCTGAGTGTAGCGAGTTATTTTAATCTCAGCAGCGGCAGAGTATTGATGTAAAAATTTGCTTCAGAAAGAGAAAACTATGCTGTTGGCATTTGAACATTTGATCCCTGTTTGTACACACCACATTAGTATTTTTTGAAATCCTTATTCTAACATTAGCAATTTATGATTCATTTTTGTACTGTTTCTTCCATATATCTTTAGAAATACTAAAGGAAAATGCCACCCTGATAAGTACCATCTTTAGCCTTGGAAACCATGCATTTACAGTATTACCATTCAATAAATAAAAACCCATTCTCAGCTAGAAACACTAACCCCCACCTTTTTTTTTTTGTATGTGTTTGTTTCTGTATTTAAGGAAGACATAGTATAGCTTCCACAAGGAATTGTTCTTCAGAAAGTGAAAATTGTACTACTCATAATGGTGGAGAAATGACTGAAGAATCTGAAGGGTAGGCGGCTGGTTGTTTGCTAGATAAGATTAAATATTAATATCAACTTCATAAAATATATGATTGGTGGTTACCATAAGGTAGGAATTTCATATTGCATAATTGCTGAAACTACTGGAATCAGCTTAGTTCATGTGTTGAACTGACCGAAACATGACTTATTCATGTTATTATTTATAAATTGGATTACAGTTTTCTATTTAAAGATTTTTATTTTTATATTTATAAATATTAGAAGTAATATCTCTTAACACAAAACTTTAAAAAGTGAATTTTAATACCCAAGGAAAAAAACTGTATGCCATTAATTCTCCGACTTTACTAAAGAAATTGGATGTGTATTTTAGGACTATTTGAACATAATAACTCATTATAGAAAATTTTAGAATTAAAATGTCTTTCAGTGTATTGCAAGTTTTGATAGTTTTGTATAGTTTTGTATTGTTTTGCCTATTTTTACAATAAACTGAATATTGTTAAGTGTTCACTTTGATGAGTTTTGAAAAATGGATGTACCATATAACCATCACCCAAATCAAGACACAGAATATTTTTATTATTTCTGAAAGTTCCTTTGTATACTTACTTTTCATGGATTTTTATGAAAATCTTACTTTTTATAGATTTTCAAGAACAGCTTGCTTTATATATAATTCATATGTCATAAAATGAACCCTTTGAAAAAGCTCTGGAGGTTGATGATTGTGCTGATTGCACAACAGTGTGAATATACTTAATGCCACTGAACTTAAAAGTGGTTAAAGTGGTAAATTTTACTTTTTGTATATTTAACCACAGTTTTAAAAATTCACCCTTTTAAAGTGTGTAGTTCAGTTATTTTTAGTTTATTGACACAGTCTTGGAGGTTTTCTTTTGAGACAAAGTCTCACGCTGTCACCCAAGCTGGAGGGCAGTGGCTCCATCTCAGCTCTCTGCAACTTCTGCCTCCTAGGCTCAGGCAATTCTCATGCCTCAGCCACCTGATTAACTGGGACTACAGGTGTGTGCCACCGTGCCCATTTTTGTATTTTTAGTAGAGATGGACTTTCGCCATGGTGGCCGGCCTGGTCTTGAACTCCTGGCCTCAAGTGATCCTCCTGCCTTGGCCTCCCAAAGTGCTGGGATTACAGGTGTGATCCACCGCATCTGGCCATATTCACACAGGTTTTTAACTGATTGGTTGGTTTGTGTGACACAAAAATTTGCCAAAAATTTTTTACTGAAATAATCTAATATTTTATACTCTAGTCTAAAAAACTATGGAAACTCTGTTTCGTTAGTTCAATTATTACCTGTTTATATTTTGACCATAATTTCTTTGGAAGAGCAATTTTGTGAAAATTTGTTTAAATTCTTTTGACTTTGATAGAGCATTGATTATAATCCTTTTTCTGGTAGCCCAATTTTATTTAATTCTTTTTTTTTTTTTAGAGACGTGGTCTCACTGTGTTGCCCAGTCTGGTCCTGAACTCCTGGGCTCAAGCAGTCCTCCCACTTCAGACTCCCAAGGTGCTGGGATTACAGTTGTGAGCCACCGTGCCTGGACCTCCAATAATGTACTTTTTTTTGTATCAGGAATGTGTGAATTAAACACACAATTCAATTAAATTCATGTTGTAGGACAGTGTGTCTCTCTCTGTTCTCTTCCTTTTGTAATGACATGAAGACAGATGTAGATCACACTGATGTTTCTTTTTGAGGTGATACAATTTTTTGTTGTTTTTGAGACGGAGTCTCACTCTGTTGCCCAGGATGGTGTGCAGTGATGTTATCACGACTCACTGGAGCTTGACCTCCCTGGGTTCAGGTGATCCTCCCACTTGAGCCTCCTGAGTAGCTGGGACCACGGGCATGCACCACCATGCCGGCTAATTTTTAAAATTTTTCTGTAGAGATAGGGTTTCACCGGGTTACCCAGGCTGGTCTGAAACTCCTGGGCTCAAGCAATCCTCCTGCCTTGGCCTCCCAAAGTGCTGGGATTGCAGGCGTCAGCCACCTTGCCCAGCCGACGTAATTTTCAAAGAAAGTAAATTCAAGGAGATTATAATTTTTGAAGCAGACTCTCTGATGTGTCATTTAAACTTGTGCTTAAATTATGTTTAAATATGGAAATAAGTACATTGTAGTCTTAGGAATGCTTTTAACTACATTTATTAATTTATATTTAATATATTTATATTTTATGTATGTGAATGCCTAGAAGCAAACTGTTTTGCTGTTAAAAGTAACAAAGCCATGCTAGTTATTCATTTGATTCTTTAGTGAAGAATTATAGCTATTTTTCCTTTTTAAAAAAATCTGAAAATTTTAGTATTTAATGATAATCTCTCTCCCACACCCATAACTGTGTAAAAGTGCTGTTTTATGTTCCCCACAGGAATTAGAGTGTGTTGCTTAATTTTTCTTTGTGAAATGGTATTATTTTTATAAACTTTATTTATTTATTTATTTATTTATTTAGAGACGGAGTCTTGCTCTGTCGCCCAGTCTGGAGTGCAGTGGAGCCATCTGGGCTCACTGCAACCTCCGCCTCCCGAGTTCACACCATTCTCCTGCCTCAGCCTCCTAGGTAGCTGGGACTGCAGGTGCATGCCACCATGGCCAGCTAATTTTTTGTATTTTCAGTAGAGACGGGGTTTCACCATGTTAGCCAAGATGGTCTCAATCTCCTGACCTCGTGATCCACCCGCCTCAGCCTCCCAAAGTGCTGGGATTACAGGTGTGAGCCACCGTGTGCGGCCATAAACTTTATTTTTAATGTATAACTTGAAAAATAAATTTCAAGGCTGGGCGCGGTGGCTCACGCCTGTAATCCCAGCACTTTGGGAGGCCAAGGCAGGCGGATCACGAGGTCAGAAGATTGAGACCATCCTGGCTAACACGGTGAAACCCCCTCTCTACTAAAAATACAAAAAAAAAAAAAAAAATTAGCTGGGCGCCATGGTGGGCGCCTGTAGTCCCAGCTACTCAGGAGGCTGAGGCAGGAGAATGGCATGAACCCGGGAGGCGGAGCTTACAGTGAGCCGAGATCACGTCACTGCAGTCCAGCCTGGGTGACAGAGAGAGACTCCGTCTAAAAAAAAAAAAAAAAGAAAGAAAAAGAAATTAGAAATTTCAAACTGTGTAAATTATTTGTCCTGTAGTAACCATATTTTGTTTTATTACGTCAGTAATTTGCTAAAATTAGTCATAATCTAAGATATGATCAGGCTAGCAAGACACTTGAAAAATGTCAAGACCCTATAAAACTGATTTGTGTTCAGAATTTTCAAAAACATCTTGTTCTCTTCCCTTCACTAAATGTCAGTATTCTTGACTCCTTTTCTAAAACTCTAATAATTTCATTTTTGTGTAACATTTTTATGAAGGCCAAACATGGTGATCCATGTGTGTGATGAAGCAAAAAACTTGAAAGAAGATTTTACTTGCCCGCGAGATCTTTTGATATCAGAAATGAAGTACTTTGCTGAATATTTATCTATGGATGCCCAGCGCTGGGAAGAGGTGGACATTTCAGTTCATTGCGACGTTCACATTTTCAACTGGTTGATAAAATACATTAAAAGGAACACTAAGGAGAATAAAGATTGTGAGATGCCCACTTTAGGTAAAAAACAATCTGTTGCTTAATTTGTAGTGAAATTTGTGTGTCACCTGGTAGTTTCTTCAGGCCAAAAGTGAAATGTGGAAAATTGTTTGGACACCGGTGTTTATGCTCATATTAGTAACAGCCTTTTAGGAAACTGATAACCTCATCTTTTTTAGTAAATTATAGTAAATTTATGGCAAATGAACAGATCTCTAGATCAGCAGTTCCCAATGTATGGTGTATGGACCAGTGGGATACTAGGGACCCTTTTAGAGGGTCTACAAGGTCAAAACAGTTTGCCTAATAATACCAAGATGTCACTTGACTTTCTCACTGTGTTGCTCAGATGGTACAAAAGCAATAGTGGGTAAAACTGTTGAAGCTTTAGACAAGATCAAGGCAGGGGCACCAAACTGTACTAGCAGTACATAGTTACATAGTTAATAAGAAAAAAAAAAAGAAAAGAAAAAAATCTAGTTTCACTTAAGAATGTCCTTGGTAAAGCAGTAAAAATTACTAATTTTATTAAATCTTGACCATTGAATATACATATCTTTACTGTGATGAAATGGAAAGTCCACTCCTACTGCACAGCAACACATGATTCTCTTGAGGAAAAGCACTTGTGCGATTATTTTCAGTCCTGAGGTAAATTAGCTGCTCTTTTAAAAATTGAAGACCATTTTTACTTGAGAGAACAACTGACAGAGAAATAATGGTAATTCAGACTTAGGTGTTTGGCAGACATTTTCTTGAAAATGAGCTGCTCAGTTAAAGCTGAAAGCATTTGTCACCTGCTGTCAGTGACAAAATTCAAGGTTTCCAGTGAGAATTACAGTTTTGGAAAACTTAACTTGCTTCCATGTGCTTGACAGAAGGCTTCTCAATACCTGACTTTTCTGATGAGATTGGTGGTCATATTAATGAATGTGATTTTTAAATATATTGTACAATGAAGTATTTCAACATTTGGAATATCTGTATAACTCATTGAGCCAACATTTTCCAAATGACCAATACATTTTATTTTCAAAAAGTCATGCGTGAGTGAAAGATTCATGCAAAGTGAAAGATAAATTAGAGAATTTTGTTATTAACGGAGTCAGAAAAGTTCACTGATACAGTTCAGATACATTGCAATTAACCTTTAAGAAACTACCATTTGTCAAGTTTGGTGTAGGCTACCCACAAATTGAATGCAGAAACAGATATGGGAATCCAGTTGTCTTCTGTTAAGTCAGACATTGAAGAGATTTGCAAAAAATATCAAACAGTGCTACTCTTTACTCTTTTTTTTTTGAGACAGAGTCCTCTCTTGTCACCCAGGCTGGAGTGCAACGGTGCAATCTCAGCTCACTGCAACCTCTGCCTCCCGGGTTCAAGCGGTTCTCCTGCCTCAGCCTCCCGAGTAGCTGGGATTACAGGTGCATGTCACCACGCCCTGCTAATTTTTGTATTTTTAGTAGAGACAGGGTTTTGCCTTGTTTGTCAGGCTGGTCTCGAACTCCTGACCTCAGGTGATCTGCCCGCCTCAGCCTCCTGAAGTGCTGAGATAACAGGCATGAGCCA
Organism: Homo sapiens; assembly: GCF_000001405.40. NCBI lineage: Eukaryota > Metazoa > Chordata > Mammalia > Primates > Hominidae > Homo > Homo sapiens. The sequence goes on from NC_000002.12 coordinate 61,078,710, forward strand.
CGGCGCCCGACCTAATATTTTTCATTTTAGAAAAGGTGGTTATTTTAGGCAGGGCATGGTGGCTCACACTGGTAGTCCCAGCACTTTGACAGGCTGAGGTGGGTGGATCACTTGAGGCCAGGAGTTGGAGACCAGCCTGGCCAACATGGCAAAACCCCGTCTCTACTGAAAATACAAAAATTAGCTGGGCGTGGTGGCACCCACCTGTAATCCCAGCTACTTGGGAGGGTGAGGCATGAGAATTGCACGAGCCCATGAGGCAGAGGCTGCAGTGAGCCAAAATTGCACCACCGCATTCCAGCCTGGGTGACAGAGTGAGACCCTTTCTAAAAAAAAAAGAAAAGAAAACATAGTTATTTTAATAAAAATATGTTAACATGTAAATAGGTTTTTTGTTCTTTGTAAATGAATTCATATTTTTTGATTTCCTCTATTTTAATTTCTAATGTGATAAATACTGGCAGATACAACCCACATAAAGAAAAACCCTTTAGGATTCTCAGTTTTTAAGATTGTAAAGGGGTCCTGAGATCAAAAGTTCAAGAGCCAGTGTTCTAAATGGTAGCATACTACTAGTATTACTAGTAGAATTACTGTAATAAGAATAATTACTGAGTAATATTTCAATGGGCATATACTTGTATGATCACACTTGTGGTTTAATAGTCTTTCTATGCACTAGAATTGCTATTTACAGTAGTATTAAAATAGAACTCTTATGGAAAATAAATCTATGCTGACAGTGTAAAAGTTTTTTAAAAAACTTAATAATTTATTGTATTCTTTAGTGATCAAATTAATAGGAGAGGTTTCTAGTGGTCCTTAAATAAAAATTACAAGATTGCTAAATCAAAAATTTCAGCCAGAATCCAGAGATTCCAGACTAACCAGCTATAATATGTATGTGTGCAATAAAAATCAAAACATGTAGAGAGAGAAAAAAAATTATTCGATTCATCATATTTATGTGTGTAGTAAAGGTAAAAGAAATGCAGCAAGCCTGGCCAACATGGTGAAACCCTGTCACTATTAAAAATTCAAAAAAAATTAGCCTGGTGGCGTGTGCCTGTAGTCCCAGCTACTCAGGAGGCTGAGGAGGAGAATCTCTTGAACCCGGGAGGCAGAGGTTGCAGTGAGCAGAGATTGCGCCACTGCACTCCAGCCTGGCAACAGAGCGAGACTCCGTCTCAATTTAAAAAAAAAAAAAGCCCGGCACTCTGGCTCACGCCTGTAATCCTAGCACACTGGGAGGCCGAGGCGGACGGATCACCTGAGGTCAGGAGGCAAGACTAGCCTGGCCAACATGTTGAAACCCCGTCTCTACTAAAAGTACAAAAATAAGCCAGGCGTGGTGGCAGGTGCCTGTAGTCCCAGCTACTCGGGAGGCTGAGGCAGGAGAATCGCTTGAAACCGGAAGGCGGAGGTTGCAGTGAGCCAAGATCATGCCACTGCACTCCAGTCTGGGCGAAGGAGTGAAACTTTGTCTCAAAAAAAAAAAAAAAAAAGCAGCAAAGCTAGTCATTCTGTTATCTTTGACCTTAAATCAGTGTTTATAAATGTAAACATTTACCAAAAAAAGTCTTTATTCTAACCAGGAAAACTACCAAAATGCTTAATTAAATTTCTAATAACCTGCCACTGGTTCCTAACTGGAATGGGGTACATTACCATTTCCTGAGGTGCTTTTTCACCAGCTTTTTCCTCCCTTCACCATTTGTGTTTAAGAGCCTTCACCGGGCGTGGTGGCTCACGCCTGTAATCCCAGCACTTTGGGAGGCCAAGGCGGGCGGATCACGAGGTGAAGAGATGGAGACCATCCTGGCCAACATGGTGAAACCCTGTCTCTACTAAAAATACAAAAATTAGCTGCGTGTGGTGGTGAACGCCTGTAGTCCCAGCTACTCAGGAGGCTAATGCAGGAGACTGTCATTAACCCGGGAGGCGGAGGTTGCAGTAAGCAGAGATTGCGCCACTGCACTCCAGCCTGGCAACAGAGTGAGACTCCATCTCAAAAAAAAAACAACAACAAAAAAAAACAAAAAACCTTGAATCTAGAGTTGTTATTTAGAGACAGATTGGGATTACTTATTTTAACCATTGTCTGCTTAGTCGTTTATTTAGAATTGTGTTAGTACTGTAATGATGCAAAACAGAGTTTTCTTTCCTTAAACATACCTCGTGGGAGATGACAGGTTTGCTAAACTACAGCATCAGGCGGCATCCCCCTTTCTTTTTCTGTATGTCTGAAAGCTCACTCATTATGCCTTTAGGAAGTAAGTTTAGGACTCTGCAGTAATAAATTTTTTATCTTTCAGAATCTTTTAAAATTAAATATTTGTTCATAACAAGCATTGAACTCTTTAAATTAGCTTTTCTAATAACAAATGCTCTCATTAATCATTTAAAAAGTTTTCTATTACTTGTATATGCAATGAATTATAGTCTCAATTATCTTTTTCCCTGATTTAGTCAAGGAGAAGATTACATATGTGATATCTTTAGCTGGAGTCTTTTTACTTTATATGAATCTAACGCCAGGGTAAATTTATTGTACATTTTCTCCATACCCTAAGTTTTAACATTGAATTTTCTTTATTTTATGTATCTAACCCATAAGCTATAATAAGATTGTATTAAATTATTCTTATTCCAGTAATGTCCTCTTTTAAGGTAAGAAGGAGCCTGTTCAGAGGAGATTGGGGTACCCATCAAAAGGGTAATCTAATTTTTTTTTTTTTTTAGAGCCAGGAAATGTCATTTCAATTCTTATTTCTTCGGAGTTTTTAAAAATGGATTCACTAGTAAGTATTGACTTAAAAAAAATCAAAGTGCTTCTGTTCACTTATGCTTTCTTTTCCTTCAAGTATCTAGAAAATTCTGAGACTTTATTAAAATTATTGTTAATTGAAAAAACAATTTAAAAAATTGTTAATTCAGGAATATAATTTCTTTTTCTTGAGACAGAGTCTCGCTCTGTCACCCAGGCTGGAGTGCAGTGGCATGATCTCAGCTCACTGCAACCTCTGCTTCCCCAGCTCAAGTGATCCTCCCACCTCAGCCTCCCGAGTAGCTGGGACTACAGGCGCATGCCACTACGCCCAGCTAATTTTTCTATTTTTTGTAGAGACGGGGTTTTGCTTTGTTGCCTAGGCTGGTCTCGAACTCCTAATCTCAAGCAATCCACCTGCCTTGGCCTCCCAAAGTGCTGGAATTACAAGTGTGAGCCACCGCACCCAGCCAGAATACTCCTTTTCTATGTTAGCAAATGTGAAGTTGTTTATTTGACTCTTTGGGGTTTGTACTAGTCCCCTGTATTCTTTTATTTTTAAAATTAAATGGAGATGGGGTGGGGTGGTCTTGCTATGTTACCCAGGCTGGTCTCAAACTCCTGGGCTCAAGTGATCCTCCTGCCTCGGCCACCCAAAGTGCTGGGATTATAGGTGTGAGCCACCTATATTCCTGTATTCTTTCTACTCCTTAGCTCTTCCCCATTTAGCCCAGCTGGTATCAGGGAAGGGTTACAGAAAAAAAGCAGAGACTAAATGAGTTTTTGAGTTTTGAAATTTTTGAAACCTTTGAATTTTGAAATCTAAGCCCTAAAGGATAATTTTTATGCCATAAGCATAAATATTTGGAAGAATACATGATTATCCTCTCTTTACTTTTAAAGTAAATAAACATACCTCAGGTTGTAGAGGTATGTTGTAGAGGATGGAAGGAAGAGAGCAAACCCAGCACAACTGAGAAAATTCGGAATTGACTGAAATTTTCTGCCACCCAGGGAAAAGGAGGCTTAAAGTTCTAACTAAGTTTAATTATAAGAAGTTACAGACCAGGCGCGGTGGCTCACGCCTGTAATCCTAGCACTTGGGAGGCCAAGGCAGGCGGATCACGAGGTCAGGAGTTCAAGACCAGCCTAGCCAACATGGTGAAACGCTGTATCTACTAAAAATACAAAAATTAGCCAGGCGTGGTGGCGGGCACCTGTAGGCCCAGCTACTAGGGATGCTGAGGCAGGAGAATCGCTTGAACCCAGGAGGCAGAGGTTGCAGTGAGCTGAGATCGTGCCACAGCACTCCAGCCTGGATGACAGAGCAAGACTCCATCTCAGAAAAAAAAAAGAAGTTTACATGTTCTGTATACTTGAGTTTATAGACTAAGATTTATACCTGCCACAATTTTAAAAGATGCATTATTATTATTTGAAATATTCTAAAGAAGGTTGAAAATAATTTTTTAGGTATGTATATATGTTGTTACAAATTTGACCTGCTAGATTGCCTTTGGAACAGTACAGATTAAGTCAAAAACTGGGTGGCAAAACCCAGTTAGTGCCTAGCAATATATGGATTAGACTTTTAATGAATTTTATCTTTGAAAGGTATTGCTATGACATTGTCCTTCATGCTACTATTTTCGACATTTATTTTCTATGATTTTTTAGGTTGAACAGTGTATTCAGTATTGCCACAAAAATATGAATGCCATAGTAGCTACCCCATGCAACATGAACTGTATTAATGCAAATCTTCTCACACGTATAGCTGATCTGTTCTCACACAATGAAGTTGATGATTTAAAGGACAAAAAAGATAAATTTAAAAGGTAATTTCAAAAGTTTAATTTTAAACCTAATACTCCTGTTAAAAGAAATATATTTCTATTTCATGTGAGTGAAATATTCTTTCTTTTTTCTTTTTTCTTTGAGAAAGGTTCTCACTCTGTTGTTCAGGCTGGAGTGCAGTGGTGCAATCTTGGCTCACTGCAGCCTCAACCTCCTGAGCTCTGGTGATCCTCCCACCTCAGCCTCCCAAGTAGCTGGGACTACAGGAATGCACCACCATGCCCAGCTAAATTAAAAAAAAAAAAAAAAATTTTGACCAGGCACAGTGGCTCACGCTTGTAATCCCAGCACTTTGGGAGGCCGAGGCGGGCAGATCACGAGGTCAAGAGATCAAGGCCATCCTGGCTAACATGGTGAAACCCCGTCTCTACTAAAAATACAAAAAATTAGCCAGGTGTGGTGGCAGGCGCCTGTAGTCCCAGCTGCTTGGGTGGCTGAGGCAGGAGAATGGCATGAACCTGGGAGGCGGAGCTTGCAGTGAGCCGAGATCACGCCACTGCACTCCAGCCTGGGTGACAGAGCGAGACTCCGTCTCAAAAAAAAAAAAAACTTTTTGTAGAGACAGGGTCTCACTTTGTTGCCCAGTTTTTGAAATTAATTTTTACTCTCTCTTTTCATTTATAGTTAGCTTATTATTATTATTTTGAGACGGTCTCTCTCTGTCGCCCAGGCTGGAGTGCAGTAGCAAGATACCAGCCACAACCTGTACCTTCAGGCTCAAGCGATCCTTCCACCTCAGCCTTCCAAGTAGCTGGAACCACAGGCGCACGCCACCATGCGCAGCTGATTTTTGTATTTTTTGTAGAGATGGGGGTTTGCTGCGTTGCCCAGCCTGGTCTTGAACTCCTGGGCTCAAGCAATCCACCCGCCTTGGCCTCCCAAAGTGCTGGGATTACAGGTGTGAGCCACCATGCCTGGCCAAAATACTCTATTTTTAGAATATATTTAGAAATATATTTCTATTTTTAAATGAAGTAAGTAAAGTGAAGTAAAATTTATCCAGAGCCAATGGCTCAAGATAAAAATTAGTAATTAGTTACTTTGTATAATGGCCATATGAACATATCGTGATAGTGAATTATGTTAAAAATTATGAAGATATTACTCAAGAGGCTGAGGTGGGATGATTGCTTGAGGCCAGGTGTTGAAAGCTGTAGGGCACTACTATTATCCCTCTGAAAAGCCACTGCACTCCAGCCTGGGCAACATAGTGAGACCCATTTCTAAACAAATAAAAATTATTAAAACAGACCTTAGATAAAGGGAAAAGTGGTATGAAACGAGGTCAGCAGTGGTTATATCATTTAAGGGTTGTTTAGGTCATAGCAAGGAGGATATACTTTAGGTGTGAATGCAAGCAGGGGAGTGACGTGATCTGATTTGTTGTTAAGAGGCCATTTTTGGTTGCTATGTGGAGAATAGACATTAGGGATTTAAGAAGCAAGGAGACCTGTTAAGAGGCTGGTGCAGTAGTCTGTTGAGAAGTGAAAGGGTTTGCACTAGGGTAGAAACGGTAGAGCTGGAAAGAAGTAGATGGACTCAGTTGTTAGATTTGACAGATTTATGAATGTAATGATGTGGGGAGAGAGAGAGGATTCCAGGATAATTATTAGGTTTTCAGTTTGAGTAACTAAGTGGATGGTAGTGCTATTAATGGAGAAAGGAAAGATTGGGAGAGGAAGGAATAGGGTAAGGGAAATCAAGAGATAGCTTTAGTTCTTTTTGAGATTATTTAACATGCTTCTTGGACATTCAAGTGGGATGGCAAGTAGATACCTGGATATATTAATCTGGAGTTTAGGTCAAAGGTCAGGACTTAAAATAGAAATTTAAGAGTAGATGAGATTTGAAACCATGGAACTGGATGAGACCATACTTTTTTTGTATGTCCTGTTCAATAAATCTTTGCCTCCCTAAAAGTGGTGAAGACATTGTCCTATGTTTTTCTGTTATTCATCTTGAATTAATTTTTTTTTGTGGTATGAGGTAGGGGTCAAGGTTCATTTTTTTTTCCCCAAATAGATATCTAGTTGACACAATACCATATGTTGAAAAGACCATCCTTTCCCCCACTGAATTGCACTAGTACGTTTACTATATGTGAAGTCTGTTTCCGAATTGTCCTTTGTGTTCTGTTGATTTCTTTGTCTATCCTTGTATCAGTAGCACACTGTTACACTGTCTTTTTTTTTTTGAGACAGAATTTCACTCTTGTCACCCAGGCTGGAGTGCAATCATGAGATCTCGACTCTCTGCAACCGCCGCCTCCCAGGTTCAAGCAATTCTCCTGCCTCAGCCTCCCAAGTAGCTGGGATTATAGGCACCCACCACCACACCCAGCCAATTTTTATATTTTTAGTAGAGACGGGGTTTCACCATGCTGGCCAGGCTGGTCTTGAACTCCTGACCTCAGGTGATCCGCCCGCCTCGGCCTCCCAACGTGCTGAGATTACAGACGTGAGCCACCACACCCAGCCAACACACTGTCTTAATTTTGATAGCTTTATAATCATTTTTGGTATCTGGTAATTTAAATTCTCAAGTTTTGCCTATCTTCAAGATTGTAGTGTTGTCTATTAAGTTCTTGGCATTTCTATATAAATTTGATAATCAGCTTACCCATTTTCTCTTTCTCACAATCACATAAACCTGCTAGAATTTGGGATTCATGTAATCTGTAGATCAATTTAGGAAGATTTAACCTTTTAATAATAGTGTGTCTTTCAATCCATGAATATGGTATAACCTTCCATTAATTTGAATCCTCCTTAATTTATTTCACCAATGTCTTGTAGTTTTCAATGTAGAGATATTTTTCCTTTTTATTTATTTTATTTTATTTTTTGAGACAGGGTCTTCTTGCTCAGTCACCCAAGCTGGAGGGTAGTGGTACAGCCATGGCTTACTGCGGCCTCAAACTCCTGGGCTCAAGCATCCTCCCACCTTGATCTCCCAAAGTTTTGGAATTAACAAGTGTGAGCCACCATACCCAACCTCTTTTTTAAATTAAATTTATTCCTAAAATAAATTAAATAAATAAATTTATTTAATAAATTAAATTGTTGGTGCTATTGTAAATGCTACTGTATTTCATTTTTTAATTGTTAGCAAAATAGTATTGATAAAGGCTACCCAATATTTAGAGATGCAGCAGAGGAGAAGTAGCCAGTTAAGAACCTGAGAAGGAGGAGCCAGTGAAGTAGAAAGAAAGGCAGAAGGAAAAAAGGTTTCCAAAGAAAGATAATGCTTAAGTGACCAAATGTGTGGAATGCTGCCATCACATAGAGTAAGATGGGGACAGAAATGTGACCAAGTGGATTTAGAAAACTTTTTTCCGGATGTTTTACTTTGCATGACTGCTGAAAAAATTAGCAGTAGCTATTAGGGATAGGTAGGCTCAAGAGAGGATTTTTTGTTTTTTTAGGAAGGGAGATACTAGATTATGTTTATATGCTGATCAGAATGATCCATTAGGAATAAATTAATAATGCAGGGGATTATTCAAGAATTTAATCCTTAAGGGGAACAACACAGAGAGGAATTATCCAAGAGCTAAATAATTGAAAACAGAAATGGAATTCTAAATCCAGATTTGGCTTTTAATAGCAGAAGACATTACACAAGGAAAGATGGAGACAGGTAGGATATACATTTAGAATTAAAGACATACTTAGAAGACTCAAGTTCAGTTATATTATGCATAATAATTAACGTTTATTGAATGCTTAACGTTATATCTAGTACTCTTTAAAAACATCACTTAACCCTCATAAAACTTTATGAGATTGGACATACTAACCACACTTTATACTTGAGAAAACAAGGTTCAAAGAGGTTAAGTAAGTGGCTAAAGATCATATACCTAGTTATTGGTAGGCCTCGGTTGTTAAATTCTCAAAATCTTTAATGTTGCATATTCCAGTAACAAAGGACTAAAAGAGGCCAGGCAAGGTGGCTCAAGCCTGTAATCTCAGCACTTCGGGAGGCCAAAGCAGGAGGATTACTTGAAGGCCAGGAGTCTGAGGCCAGCCTGGGCAACATAGCCAGCCCCAATCTCTACAGATTTTTTTTTTTTTTAATTAACTGAATGTGGTGGCACACAGTAGTCCTAGCTACTTGGGAGGCTGATGTGGGAGATCACCTGATCCCAGGAGTTTGAGGCCCAGGAGTCTGAGGTGCCACTGCACTCCAGCGTGGGTGATGGAGCAAGACCCTGTCTCTAAAAAAATAAAATAAGGCCGGGTGCAGTGGCTCACGCCTGTAATCCCAGTACTTTGGGAGGCTGAGGTGGGCGGATCATGAGGTCAAGAGATCGAGACCATCCTGGCCAATATGGTGAAACCCAATCTCTACTAAAAATACAAAAAATTTGCTGGGCATGGTCATGCACACCTGTAGTCCCAGCTACTCGGGATGCTCAGGCAGGATAATCGCTTGAACCCGGAAGGCAGAGGTTGCAGTGAGCAGAGATCGTGCTGTTGAACTCCAGCCTGGGCGACAGAGTGAGACTCTGTCTCAAAAAAAAAAAGTAAAAATAAAAAATAAAATTTAAAAATGACTGAAAGATAGCTATTTATCAATCTTATTTTTTATGGGAAAATAGATGATTGATCAAGCAGTTCTCATCAGAACTGCTTTATTTTATTTACTTAATAATAAACTGTTAATTTTATTTACTTAGAACACTAAAAATGTATTATAAACTCCCAAGAGAGCCACTAAGGATTTATTAATCTTATTTTACAAATGCACAGATTGGTTTGTTTATTTTCATCACTATAAAGTAGTGTAGAAAATTAATATTTTGGTCATTTGTTGTTAATAGCAAACTTTTTTGTAAGAAGATTGAAAGACTGTTTGATCCTGAGTACTTGAATCCAGATTCTCGGAGTAATGCAGCAACATTGTATAGGTATGCTAACATGTTTTTTTCTTTGGTGTACTTTATAATGCAGCTATATTCTTTAATTTACTACATTTACATTCTTCTTCCTGGATGTTTTTTGTATCTTCTTTGTTTATAGATGCTGTTTGTGTAAGAAACTTTTAACAAAAGAAACAGAAAGAAGAATTCCTTGCATTCCTGGAAAAATCAATGTGGATCGACGTGGAAATATTGTCTATATTCACATAAGGTGTCGTGAAGATAAAATACATACATGTATTTTTGTATATATATATATATAGTTGTTGTTGTTGTTTTGGAGACGGAGTCTTACTCTGTCACCCAGGCTGGCGTGCAGTGGTGTGGTCTTGGCTGACTGCAACCTTCCGCCTCCCAGGTTCAAGCGATTCTCCTGCCTCAGCTTCCTGAGAAGCTGGGACTACAGGCGTGTGCCACCACACCCAGCTAGTTTTTGTATTTTTAGTAGAGATGGAGTTTCACTGTGTTGGCCAGGCTGGTCTCGAACTCCTGACCTCATGATTTGCCCGCCTTGGCCTCCCAAAGTACTGGGATTATAGGTGTGAGCCACCGCTCCCAGCCCAGATTTTTTTTAAATGTGAATTTCTAGCATATTTATAAAAATATAACTACTTTTATAAGGAATGGGATAACATCTTTTCTGCATGTTATCCAACTTTCATTTAGAAAAATACTTTCTAAACAAGGTAGTTGTTAGTACATTTTATTTACTGGGTAAGTGTCATAATGTTTTACACATTAAAATGATAAAAATTATTGTATATTAATCTTGAAAGGTATTCTGGTTAGTGCCTTTAAAATGCTCTCTTTTCACTAACAGATTTTAGTTATCTGTACAAATGTTATATTGAATTTTACAAGAGAACCAAATTTACTTTCAGGTAAATTTTGGTGAGGAAAATTGTCTTTAGCATTGGATTTTCTGTCATCTATTTGTTCTTCATACTTTGTCAGTATTTCATTAATATGTAGGCCGGGCACGGTGGCTCACACCTATAATCCCAGCACTTTGGGAGGCCAAGTCAGGTGGATCACCTGAGGTGAGGAGTTTGAGACCAGCCTGACCAACATGGTGAGACCCCGTCTCTACTACAAAAAACTAGTTGAGCATGGTGGTGGGTGCCTGTAGTCTCAGCTACTTGGGAGGCTAAAGCAGGGGACTCACTTGAACCCAGGAGGCAGAGGTTGCAGTGAACCGAGATAGTGCCACTGCACTCCAGCCTGGTGACAGAGCAAGACTCCATCTGAAAAAAATAAATAAAATAAAAATTAGCTGGGAATGGTGGTGCACACCTGTAACCCAGCTACTTGGGAGGCCAAGGCAGGAGAATCACTTGAACCCGGGAGGTGGAGGTTGCAGTGAGCCGAGAGCACACCATTGCACTCCAGCCTAGACAACAAGAGTGAAACTCCATCTCAAATAAATAAAATAAATAAATACATAATACATATTTCTCTTTATGTTCAAAACAAGTTCTCATTCTGAGTTGAGGGTGGGTGTTGTAACTTGGTATAATGTCTCAGGAGGCAGAAACCTCAAAATGTGTATTCTTTGACATCCTTCATCCAGTATCATTCAGGCTGAAATGCAGTGGTGCAATCATAGCTCACTGCAGCCTTGAACTCCTGGGCTCAAGAGATCTTCTTGCCTGTATTCTCAGCATTTTGGGAGGCTGAGGTGAGAGGATTACTTGAGACCAGGAGTTTGAGACCAGCCTGGGCAACATAGCCAGACCCCATCTCTACAAAAAAATTAAAAATTAGCTGAGCATGGCAATCCTAGCTAGGAGTCTGAGGCAGGAGGATCATTTGATCCCAGGAGTTTGAGGTTGCAGTGAGCTAGGAGCATGCCACTGAACTGCAGTCTGGACAACAGAGCAAAACAAAGTTATGAAAAAGTACATAGATACATAAAAGTTGTTAGTGGTTAAAAAAATAGGATGTTCACTAAAACATTAATTGTGGTGTTACCTTTCAGTGATAGTATTACAGATGATTTTAATTTTCTTTTTGTTGTTCTTTTTTCTATATTACAAATTTATAGCACACACTGTTATGAAAGAAACCCTATGAATGTTAAATTTCATATATATATATACACCTATTAGTAGTATGTGAAAAAAGTAATTGATACTAACTTCAACATCCATTTTTGTTGTTTTATTCAAAGTATTTTCCTACATGTCAGCAGTTGATGTATACCTTTTTTTTTTTATTTTAGAGACAGTCTTTGTTGCTCAGGCTGGAATGCAGTGGTGCAATCATAGCTCACAGTCTCTCTCTGTTGCTGAGGCTGGAATGCAGTGGCGGAATGCAGTGGTGCGATCATAGCTCACTGCAGCCTTGAACTCCTGGACTTTCAAGCAGTCCTCCCACATCAGCCTCCTGAGCTAGGACCATGGGTGTGCATCACCATGCCTGGCAACCTGGCAATTGTGTATGTGTGTGTGGGCACAGGGTTTGTGTGTGTGTGTGTGTGTGTGTGTGTGTGTGTAGGCACAGGGTTTCACTGTGTTGCCAAGGCTGGTCTTCAACTCCTGGCCTCAGGCCTCAAGCGATCTTCCCACTTCAGCCTCTCAAAGCGCTAGGATTACAGGTGTGAGCCGCCATTCCTGGCAGATGTATACATTTAAAAAATTGTTTTAAAATTCCTTTTTTTTTTTTTTTTTGAGTTGGAGTCTCACTCTGTCACCCAGGCTGGAGTGCAATGGCACAATCTTGGATCACTGCAGCCTCCACCTCCCAGGTTCAAGCAGTTCTTCTGCCTCAGACTCAGCCTCCCGAGTAAGCCTCTCTGGCCTAAAATTACTTTTAAGACAAATGTGCCTGTGTAATTTGTAATAACATCATGACATTTTATTTTTGAGCTAAGCACAAAACCAGCAAAATTAGAAAAGATTGAAATAAAGACTTAAAAGAATCAGGCCTATAATCCCAGCAGTTTGGGAGGCTGAGTCAGGAGGATTGCTTAAGGGCAGGAGTTTAAGACCAGCCTGGGCAACATAGTGAGGCCCCCTTCTCTACAAAAATTGTTTTATATTAGCCAGGTGTAGGTTTGGCATGGTGGCTCATGCTTGTAATCCTAGCACTTTGGGAGACTGAGGCGGGTGGATCACCTGAGGTCAAGAGTTCGGGAAAAGCCTGGCCAATGTGGTAAAACCCCGTCTCTACTAAAAAAATACAAAAATTAGCCAGGCATGGTGGCATGCACCTGTAATTCCAGCTCCTCGGGAGGCTGAGGCAGGAGAATCGCTTGAACCCAGCAGGGCAGAGGTTGCAGTGAGCCAGGATCGCGCCACTTCACTCCAGCCTGGGCGAAAGAGTGAAACTCCGTCCAAAAAAAAAAAAAAAAATTAGCCAGGTGTGATGACACATAACCTGTAATCCCAGGTACTCAGGAGGCTGAGGCGAGAGGATTACTTGAACCAAGGAGTTTGAAGTTGCAATAAGCTATGATGATTGCACCACTGCACTCCAGGCTGGGTAACAGAGTATGACCCTGTCTCAAAAACGAAACAAAAACAAAAACAAAAAACAAACTTGAGTTGCATATGACCATAGCAAATATGGTTTTGAGGCTTTGCTATTTTTTAACTTTATATTATTTAATCTAAAAATCTATATTACCAAGACCTGATTGTATATTCTGTATCACTCAATTACTAAAAGATACTTGAAAATAGTGTAAAATACTAATACATTAATGAAATGTTATTAGTGATATAAAGTACTAATACATGAATGATTCTAATGTTTAGAATCACCAGTAACTAATAACAACTTGTCATATAACATATGCAATTAGAATAAAGCTTCCATTTAACATTTGCCTAATTCCCAACTCTTGGCCTGTTCAAACTATATTTAATTTGTAATCCTTTATCTAGCTTAGCAAAATTATTTGGTATTCAAATCATTCATACCTTTTCCTGTTGTCCACCAAATATACAAACCCTGCCTCTACTAAAAATACAAAATTAGCTGGGTGTGGTGGCACACGCCTATAATCCCAGCTACTTGGGAAGCCAAGGCAAGAGAATTGCTTGCATCCTGGAGGTGGTGGTTACAGTGAGCCAAGATCATGCCATTGCACTCCAGCCTGGGCAACAAGAGTGAAACTCCATCTCAAAGAAGATAATAATTAAATAAATAAATAAAACAAATTGTTTATATCACTTGCTTGTAAAATTGAGGCTCTTTCTCCAGAGATAAGACATGGGATGTTCATGAGTATTTGAATAGTCTTTTCGAAGAATTAAAATCTTGGAGAGATGTATACTGGCGATTGTGGGGAACAATCAATTGGCTGACTTGTTCAAGATGTTATCAGGTAAGATTTTTTTTTTTAAATATCCTGCTCTGCAAATATTGAGAGCAAGATTATTTTGATATCTGCTGTTTAATTGATATGTTTAAATGTGTTTTGACAATATCCAACATCTTTTTAAAGAAACTAGTGGCAGCTGGGCATGGTGGCTCGTGCCTGTAATCCCAGCACATTTAGAGACCAAGGCAGGTGGATCGTTTTAGCCCAGGAGTTCAATACCAGCCTGGGTGACATAGTGAGACTCCATCTCTTAAAAAAATGAAACTAGGCCCGGTATGGTGGCTCATGCCTCTAATTCCAGCACTTTGGGAGGCCGAGGTGGGCGGATCACGAGGTCAGGAAATCAAGACCATCCTATCTAACATGGTGAAACCCCATCTCTAGTAAAAATACGAAAAATTACCCGGTTGTGGTGGCACATGCCTGTAATCCCAGCTATTCGGGAGGCTGAGGCAGGAGAATCACTTGAACCCGGGAGGCAGAGATTGCAGAGAGCTGAGATCGTGCCACTGCACTCCAGCCTGGGTGACAGAGCAAGACTCCATCTCAAAAATAAAATAAAATAAAATATAAAAATAAAATAAAACTAGTGGCAAAAGCAATGGTGCTGTTAAACATTTTTTGCATCTGGTTTCATTTCTCTTGACATTGTTTCTTCTTTCTCTTTTTTTATTTCCATTCCTGAAACAATCAAAGACTTGTTGAATTTTTAGAAAAGCAACAGGTTTTGGCCAGGCACGGTGGCTCACGCCTGTAATCCCAGCACTTTGGGAGGTTGAGGCAGGTGGATCACCTGAGGTCAGGAATTCCAGACCAGCCTGACCAACATGGAGAAACCTCATCTCTACTAAAAACGCAAAATTAGCCAGGCGTGGTGGCGCATGCCTGTAATCCCAGCTACTCAGTGGGCTGAAGTGGGAGAATCACTTGAACCCGGGAGGCAGAGGTTGCGGTGAGCTGAGATTGCGCCATTGCACTCCAGTCTGGGAAAGGAGGGAAACTCTGTCTCAAAAGAGAAAAAAAAAAAAGTCACTTGTTTTAAGTGATCAAATCCAGTTTTTCAGTGAAAACAATTATTAAAAAATCCTTATTGCCTTCACTTGTTTCCAGCCAAACTATTTTCTCTGTTGTTCTATACACTTCTATAGAAATTCAGAAGCACCTTTGCAGATAGGATGCTATTGATATGTGCCTTTGTTGTTACAACAATTTTGTTCCCAAAAAGTTTTTGTTTTTTAATTAATGTTTATAATAAAAGCATAAGAAAACTTGCTACTTGTAGGAACCTATAATAAACCCTTTTGTGGAATAAATAGGTTTTTCTAAGTCACAGTCATTCCTAATTAATCTTATGTATAAATGCAGAGTTTTCGACAAATAATTTCTTTTGAATCCCTAAAGTTTTCCTCTCCCCAGTAATTTTCCTCTGTCACTTGCGTAATGATTTTCAATAGAGGGAAGGAAGAACAGCTTGTCAAAATCTTCAGATTGGGATTTTAAACTGTTTAAGTTCCCACTCAATGGGTTCTGTGTTCCCACAATTTTAAAAAGGTTTGTTGAAGTATTATATACAGTAAAATGCATCCTTTTTGTGAGTTTCGACAGTGCTTACAATTGTATAACTACCTCCGCAATCAAAGCATGTAACACTTCCATCACCCTAAAAGAAATTTCTTTGTGCCGCTCTTTAGTCAATTAATTCCCCCACCCTAGCCTCTGGTAACCACTGGTCTGTTTTCTCTATATATAGTTTTGCCTTTTCCAGAACGTCATATAAATAGGATCATATAGCATTTAGCTTTTTGAATCTAGCTTCCTTCACTTCGAATAATGGATGTAAAATCTATCCATGTTGTTTCATAAATTAGTTTGTTCTTTTTTATGGCTAAGTAGTAGTCTGTTGTATGACTATATCACAGTATGTTCAGACATTCACCAGTTGGAGGATGTTTGTGGTCTAGTGTGGAGCCATTATGAAGAAAGCTGCTATAAACAATACAGGTTTTCCTGTGAACATAGGTTTTTATTTCTCTTGGATGTATTTATTTCTCTTCTTTTTTTTTTTTTTTTTTTTTTGAGATGGAGTTTCACTCTTGTTGCCCAACCTGGAGTGCGCTGGCGCCATCTTGGCTCACTGCAACCTCCACCTCCCAGGTTCAAGCGATTCTCCTGTCTCAGCCTCCTGAGTAGCTGGGATTACTGGCATGCGCCACATCACCCGCCTAATTTTTTGTATTTTTAGTAGAAATGGGGTTTCACCAGGTTAGCCAGGCTGGTCTCAAACTCCTGACCTCAGGTGATCCGCCTGCCTTGGCCTCCCAAAGTGCTGGGATTATAGGCCTGAGCCACTGCGCCCGGCCTCTCTTCTTTCTTATTACCTAGGAGTAGGATTGCTGGTTTGTGTGGTAGTTTAACACTTGCCATGCCTAATAGTTTTCCAAAGTCCCGGAACCATTTTGCATTTCTACCAGCTACATATGAGAGTTCTAGTTGCCCCCCATCTCAGTAGCAATTGATATAGTCAGGTTTGGGTTTTTTGTTAATCTAATAGGTGTGTAAAGGTCCTCCTCACAATCGGAGTGTGACATAATCAAGGATATCAAGCTTCTAAAATCTGACTTGCTTAACATGTCAGAATGCAGAAACTTTGAGAGATTATTTTCCTCTCCTTTACAGCAAATTGAATATTGATTGATGATATTGACTATTTATTATAGAGCTCATAAACTCATAAAATGGTTTGTATGCAGAATATTGTATATAAGAGAACGTGCACCTTATAGTTTTTATAGGTTCTCAAATTTTTAAAATTAAAAACCATTATGTGAACATCACAATTGAAACTAACAACCAAAAATTCTGAATTATAGGCAGCTGAAAATTCTGAATTATAAACTATTCTTTAATGCATTTATGTTAAAGATCATTGCTTATCAAATAGCAACTTCAGTACATCATAATATAAATAGAAAAAAAAGATCAGTGCTTAGATTGTTAATGTTTTGTTTTTATTTGAATTATTTTACTAACTTGTTTTTGTTTTTAACCTGTTCTCGCTCAGAGTCCCTCTCCTCCCCGACAGGACCCTATTCAGGTTTCCCCTTCTTAAAGTCTCCCCCAGTGAGGAACTCTCTCAACAAGGGCCCACTCCTGGTGCAGTACTATAGCTTTTCATCCCACCTCAGAGTCCCCCGCAAAAAGAAACAAGTGATCAGAGTACCAGTCAGGGTACCTCCTAAAAGCCCAGCGATGTCCCCTCCATCCAGTCCAAGGTTTCACTTTTTCACCTTTTCTGGTCCTTTCCCCAACAGCTATTAATGGTATTATCCATTCAGGTCTTTCTTCACCCCAGGCCTTGTGGGACCACCCTTAATCATCCAGTGGTACTGCCCCCTCTTAGGATATACCACCACCGCTCACACAGGATCTCCACCCAGAAACAATGACATCTGGGGTCTTTCTCCAGTCCCCTGGCATGGTATTTCTTACAAACTTTCTACCTCCCACTGGCTAATGGAATTGCCCTCCCAATGGCTCCCGCAACCATGACACAAAAACCCAACACCCACTTCCTTCCTTTCTAGATAAAATGGTTTTACCTTCTCAAGATCTCCTGCCTTCAAAGCCCAACATTATCATCACCCACCAATGGTGCCCCCTGCACAGGCCCAAAAGTCTTGTCCCCTCTAGATCTGAGTAAGATATCACCTACTCAAGGATGCTCTCCCTAGCCCACAAGGCTAACAGAATCCAACCTTCAGAGCCCCATAGTATCTCTGAATCCAATAATTTTACCACTCAGAGCCTCAGTTTCCCTTCTCCAAACCAACTCCTGGGACTCAGGGTCCATCCTAACCAACCTTTTCTCAGAACTGGTGGCACAACCTCTGTCTACCCACCAGCCCCCAGCTGCCTAGTCCAGTGGTCTTCCCCATCGCAAGCAGCACCTGTGTCCACTGAAACTCCTTAGACAGTGCTTGCACCATGTTCTTTTTTTCTTTTTCTTTTTTCCTGAGATGGGATCTTGCTACATTGCCCAGGCTGGCCTCGAATTCCTAGGTTTAAGCAGTCCTTCTGCCTCAGCCTCCCTAGTAGCTGGAGTGACAGGTGTGTACCATCGTACCTGGTCCTATTTTACTAACTTATAAACAATTGAAACCTGATGTTTAATTTGACAATTAAACCTTGATAAGCTTTTATCAAAGTTTTCAAAGCCAGTGATTCAAAGTTATGTCATAATTTTTATTAATACTGATGCTAAATATTTACCTTAAAAATGCATCAAGGGGCCAGGCATGGTGGCTCACGCCTGTAATCCCAGCACTTTGGGAGGCTGAAGCAGGCGGATCACCTGAGGTCAGAAGTTCAAGACCAGCCTGACCAACATGGCAAAACCCTGTCTCTACTAAAAATAGAAAAACTAGCCAGGTGTGGTTGTGCGCGCCTGTAATCCCAGCTACTCAGGAGGCTGAGGCAGGAGAATTGCTTGAATCTGGGAGGCGGAGGTAGCAGTGAGGCTAGATGGCACCACTTCACTCCAGCCTGGGCAACAGAGCGAGATTCCATCTCCAAAAAAGAAAGCATCAAGGAATAACCAAATGAAGCAAAATTTTATTTTTCTTTGGAAAACATTTGAGGTGATTGGCCAGTTGTAAAATTGAGTGTATATCAAGATCAGTTTAATTCATCTGAATTTTGCTTAAGGTGATTTCATTTTTTGCTGTCTAATAGCTTTATTCAAGTAGAATTACACGCCATAAAATTTACTCATTTTATTTTTTTATTTTTATTAAGTTAGGTTGTGTTCAGGATTTACTCTTTTTAAGTCTGCAATTCACTTTTTTTTTGGTAAATTTAGAGTTGTACAGTCATCACCATCATCCAATTTTAGCACATTTCCATCACCTCAAAAAGATCCCTCATGCCCATTTGCTGCTATTCCACATTATAACCTTCCACCCCTGGCAACCACTAATCTACTTTGTGTCTGTATAGATTGGCTTTTTCTGCATATTTCATATAAAAATGGAACATATAATATTTGGTCTTAAGTATTTTTGAAACATATAATTTTGTTGTGGAAATAGTAGTTGATTTTATCTATGTCTTTATCAGGCCTTTCTCTGTATTGAATTTTCACATTGTCAATACCACTCAGAAACAGTGGTTTATCCTACTGCAGCAAGTTCATTGAATACTGTTGGCACTGGAATTTATCCCTGCTGTAACCAAAAGGTTCTTCGGTTTGATCCTACTCAGCTTACAAAGGTGAATTTTGAATATTGCCCTTAGTAGCTACAGTTTTTAAAGTATAACAGTAATACATTAATGTATAAAAGACTTCAAACAATACATAAATATAGTAAGAAGCCGTTCCTCTTTATAACACTCCCCCATTTTCCATCTCTTCTTAGAGATAATCACTGTTAATGGTTTCCTTTTAGACCTTCTTTTGTACCTTTCAGGCACAAATTATATATATATATATATATATTTTTTGGAGGTTTTTGTTTTTTGTTTTTTTGTTTTTTTTTTTTGAGATGGGGTCTCGCTCTGTTGCCCAGGGTGGAGTGCAGTGGTGCCATCTCGGCTCACTCCAGCCTCTGCCTCCCAGGCTCAAACAATCCTCCCACCTCAGCCTTCTGAGTAGCTGGGACTACAGGCACACGCCATCACACCCGGTAATTTTTTGTATTTTTGTTAGAGACAGGGTTTCGCCATGTTGCCCAGGCTGGTCTCGAACTCATGAGCTGAAGCGATCTGCCTGCTTTGGCCTCCCAGAGTGCCGGGATTACAGGTGTGAGCCACCACACCCAGCCTTATATATGGCTTTTTATATTGGAAACAAGATCATACTAATAATATTCTGTAATTTGCCTTTTTTACTCAACAACATAACTAGGGTATCTTTCTGTGCCATTTTATTTAACTGCTGTATAATATTCCAAGCTATGTATATATCACAATTTAACCATTCTCCTATTAATGAACATGTAGGTGGTTTCTAGACTGATGGTATTACTGTGTTGCAGTGAATATCCTTGCACATATATATTGGTGCAATGTGTGAGTATTGCTGTAGGTTAGATTCTCTGATCACAAACACTTTTGAAAATGTTATGTAATTAAATGTCACGTGTGAATGAAAGGAACCTAAAGCTCTTTATCATCATCCATACAAAAAATATTTATAAAGCACCAAAGATGTGCTATACACTGTGCAAGGCAGAGGATAGCCTGTAAACTTGGATCATTTATGCCTTTATGGAACTTACAGCTGAGGCAGTAATAACAAAAGGGAAAAAAGCACCCAAAGAAATGTTTGAAGACATATACAGGGCCATAAATGTCTGTAATAGGCTGGTATGATTCAGCCATAGATGTCAAGGAAATCCTCAAAGGAGCTGGCATTAGGTTGAGATCTGAAGGATTCGTAGGAGTACGTGAGGTGAAGAGGAAAGGAAAGAGCATTCTAGTCAGAACAGCAAGGTCAGAAGGAACATAGTGAGTAAAAGAGACTGAAAGAGCCTGAGGCTGTTGTAGAAAACATGCATAGTTCAAGACAAGGCTGGAGAGGTAGGTAGGTGTCAGTCCATGCAGGAGCAGGACCTCATAAGCCATGTTCAAGTTTTTCTTTTATCTCCATTTGGAAAATATCATTTGCAGTGTGGAAAATGCACACTTGAGGGGTAGTCAGTGGAATCACGTACAAAAGGAAGTTATCATAGAGAGAGCTGATGTTAGCTTGGACCAGAGCAGTGAAGATGAAGAGAAGTGGATGAATTTAATATTTAAGAGATAAAACTGAAATTACCTGACAGATTGTATTACAGAGGGAGAGGGGGAAGGATGACTCAGT